>NC_000002.12:100519921-100822951 GCF_000001405.40 Homo sapiens
GTTGCAGTGAGCTGAGATCATGCCACTGCACTCCAGCCTGGGCAACAGGGAAAGACTCCATCTCAGAAAAAGGAAAGGAAAGGAACGGGAAAGGGAAAGGGAAGGAAAGGAAAGGAAAGGAAAGGAAAGGAAAGGAAAGGAAAGGGTACCAAGTGGAGGATTAATAAGTTTAGTAGTAGCATTCCATTAAAAAAAAAAAAACTAAAATTACCTGAAGACCACAAATTAAATTAAAAAGCTATTAAGAAGTACAATGGCACATTTAAAGCACATTTAAGTATACACACACACACATATATATACATATATGTATATGGCAAGTCTGAAATTGCTACACCTGCAAGCACAAGAGGAATTATAAGTGCTCTAAAGGAAGAGCTTCCTTTTACATTTTTCCTGCCACTTCCACAGTACCTGGCTCCCAGACACATAAAAGTTTCTCTCAAGTTTGCAAATGCAGCAGCGTTGTTGCTTCTCTTCATTTGACTCATTTTTGAAGACTTCATGATTCATTAGCACATTCTTGTGAGATTGGGCAAGGTCAAGAAATCAATGAGACTCAATGCTTGCGTTTGCTGCTTGCTAAGACAAGAGCACAGTCCTAGTATGGGAGAATATTTCATGGTGTGACATTCTCATGCATTTAGATTTACAACAACTTACCTTCATGCTCCTGGATAAGTGTGCAGGTCTTCTGCATCTGAGCTACTTCCATGAGAGATTTGAGACAGTGAGTAATAGTTGAGCCAGGGCCTGAAGTTTGCACCAAACTCTTATGGGTTTTGCTAAACAAGACTGTACATAAATTCATCAAGCAGTGCACATTTGAAATGGGGAGAATGGAGTTTTTTCAGTTAGTTGTATTTGTGAATGTTTTCTAGGCTAGCATAAAAGTTCTTTGAACATATCCATTATGCTTTATTCATAACATTTTATTCATTTTATTTAATGGAGATTTGGCCATTAGAGAAACATATTCTGAAAGGAGTAAAGTAGGTTAGGTCTGTGATATGGTTTGGCTGTGTCCCCACTCAAATCTCATCTTGAATTGTAATCCCCATAATCCCCATGCGTCTAGAGAGAGACCTGGTGGGAGGTGATTGGATCATGGGGGCGGTTTCCCCCATGCTGTTCTTGTGATAGTGAGTTCTCAGAAGATTTGATGGTTTTTTTTTTTTTTTTTTTTTTTTTTTGAGATGGAGTCTCGCTCTGTCGCCCAGGCTGGAGTGCAGTGGCGCGATCTTGGCTCACTGCAAGCTCCGCCTCCTGGGTTCACACCATTCTCCCGCCTCAGCCTACCGAGTAGCTGGGACTACAGGCGCCTGCCACCATGCAGGGCTATTTTTTATTTTTTATTTTTTGTATTTTTTTGTATTTTTAGTAGAGAGGGGGTTTCACTGTGTTAGCCAGGATGGTCTCGGTCTCCTGACCTCGTGATCTGCCCATCTCGGCCTCCCAAAGTGCTGGGATTACAGGCGTGAGCCACGGCACCCTGCCGGGATTTGATGGTTTTTAAGAGGCTCTTCCCCCTTCGCTCCTCACTCTTTGTCTCCTGCCACCATGTGAAGAAGGTCCTTGCTTCCCCTTCCGCCATGATTGTAAGTTTCCTGAGGCCTCCCCAGCCATATGGAACCGTGAGTCAATTAAACCTCCTTCATTATAAATTACCCAGTCTTGGGTAGTATCTTTATAGCAGTGTTAAAATGGACTAATACAGTCTGATACCCAGGTCTTCCAATCTCCTAAACATGTCCTGACATTTAATAAAAATTGAACCTGACAAGGCCAGGCATGGTGGCTCACGACTGTAATCCCAGCACTTTGGGAAACCAAGGCGGACAGATCACAAGGTCAGGAGGTCGAGACCAGCCTGGCTAACACGGCGAAACCCCGTCTCTATTAAAAATGCAAAAAATTAGCCGGGTGTGGTGGCAGGCGCCTGTAGCCCCAGCTAATCGGGAGGCTGAGGCTGGAGAATGGTGTGAACGTGGGAGGCGGAGCTTGCAGTGAGCCGAGATTGCACCACTGCACTCCAGCCTAGGCGACAGAGCGAGACTCCGTCTCGAAAAAAAAGTAAATAAAAAATTGAACCTGACATTTAATAAAAATTTAGAGCAGTGGGCACAGGTGTAGCAAAGAGGAATCTTCATTGATACAAATTGACTTGCAAAGCTATGTTACATTTTGACTTTAGAGTCAAAATAAAGCAAAACGTGACAAAGGAAAACTGAGTTCAAAACACTGAGAAAATGAGATCGCTTGCAAAGGAATTAAGACTTCAGAAAGTTTGGCTCATGAAATAATATATGGAAAGAAACACACACACACAAGGTTACAAAGGTCTGATCATGGTGAAAAACAGTGGTTTTGGCCAAGCACAGTGTCTCAGGCCTATAGTCCCAGCTACTTGGGAGGCTGAGGCAGGAAGATCACTTGAGCCCAGGAGGTCGAGGATGTAGTGAGCCAAGATCACACCACAGCACTCCAGCCTAGGTGACGATGAAACAAAAAGTAAACACAGTGTTTTTCCCCCCAGGGATTGTATCCACAAAGGCTATCCCACATCTGTAGTCATCAGCACCATGAAAGTCAAGGAGAAAGTGTAATTTACAAGAAGGAATTCAGGTTTAATCTTGTTCCAGGACTGGTACTACACAAAGTGATTGGGGTGCGGGGTGTTTATCTCAGAGTGCAAAGTCCCTGCTCAGTGTTATATAATTGCTAAAGCTAATGACTGGCAGAGCAAGGTGTCAGCTGCTTCCTCACATGCCTGCAGACCACTAGTCCAAAGACTCAAGTGCCCCAGTACCAGGTGACAACTCTCAAAGCAGCCAAAAGGAAAAGCAGGGAAACTCCCAAACACTCTGAATATTGGGGCAGTATTGACAGTCTGCTGGCCCCTAGCCTTGTACCTTCCAACACCTGAAGCCAGCCCAGGTGGGCATCTGTGCCTTCTCACAAAAGTGCTGGTAGAAAATAGCAGATCCAGCTTTCCCATCAGCCTTAAAGAAAGCAGCATTTGCTTCAAGTTGGAGGAGGGAGCTGGGCTTGGTGTGGGGGTGAGCAGTCTAAACGCAGCATAAGATTGAAAATTCAAACTCCTTTATGGCAATTATTGATTTTGAATGTGCTTTCTCTAACTCCCCTTTCCTCTCTTTTACTGGGCAGATCTCGTAAGTTTTCTAGACATGCTGAGTTATTGGAGTTCAGTCTGGTTTAAATTCTTGCCCAACTAATTTAAATCTCATGCCTTCTGCATTAGTTTGTGAGGGCTGCCATAACAAAGAGCCCCAGACTGGGTGGCTTAAAGAGAAAATTGGTTTCTCACTTCTGGAGGCTGGAAGCCCAAGATCAAGGTGTCAGCAGGGTTGGGGCCTTCTGAGGCCTCTCTCCTTGGCTTGTGGACACCGACTTCTCTCTTTACATGGCCTTCCCTCTGTCTGTGTCTGTCTCCTAACTCCTCTTCTTCTAAGGACACCAGTCACATTGGATTAGGGCCCACCCTAATGACATCATTTAACCTTAATTACTTCTTTGAAGGCCCTATCTCCAAATACTGTCACATTCAGGTGTACTAGGGGTTCAGACTTCAACATGTGAATTGAAGGGGATACAATTCAGCCCAAAACACCCTCCCTTTCCCAGCAGAGAGGTGAGGAGCTGCCTCAGGAAAGGTGAGAAGGTGGCCTGGTTCTGAGATTCCACCACTTCCTCCCTATCAGAGCCTAACTCCTCTGATGTTGGGGCCTGGGAAGGACAATGGAAGAGGAGGGGTAGGCACTTCTTACCTGGGCTACAGCAGTTGGTGTCCTCAACTGCTTTTCCTGCCCGTAGTTCCCAGCCTGCCCTTGGTCCTCTTCAGCAAACAGCACACGTGCGACTTCCTCAGAGGGGTGTGGTGAGCATCCCACTGCACAGCCCCGCAGGAGCTGGCTCCCCTTCTTCCTCCACTCGACTCTTCACTCCTGCAGAAGCCTCAGTGCCCCTGAAGTGCCAGAGGCCCTCCCCAGAGACCATGCAGCCCCCTTTGAATGCACCAAACAGAGAGATTCGAACCTGGTTATTTCCAGGCTCCTGGAAAACTGTTCTTGCCAACCAGATGATGGCCAAGCAGGCCGCTCCAGTTCCCTGCTCAGGGTGGCACAAGGGCAAACTTGCTCATCTCCTGTGTCAGAAGACATCTAACTAATAGGATGCAGAGAGTTAACCCACATCTTAGAAAGTCAAAGGGAGGTATCTGGCCTCAACCCATCATTTTTTGAGAACATGAGTTTATTTCACCTATGACCTTTGTTTGGGCTTCATATGCCCATCCCTAGACAATAAGAAAAGTCCCACTCCATTTCTCCATACCCCCAAACCATCATGGCCAAGGGCAGTCAGAATCTATCCCTGCTCATTCTTGCTGTGATAAATGTGGTCCTTGGGAGTCTAGAGAAGTTGGTTGACAAGAGACCGATGCTGGTGATAAAACAGTTGAATATGGTGAGATCTGAGCCATATTTGGAGACTGACTTTGCAGTAACAATTTCTGAATCTCTACCTTCCTTCCCTCCACCCTACCATGACTCATCTTGATATTTTAAATCATAACAAAGCTTTGTACTCATTTCCCAAGGCTCAATAATGGAACCTTCGTCATTTGTGAGGCTTCTAAAATCATTTGACATGACAAAGCAGCCTGTGTTCATTATTACAGAGTGGATTCTAGACTCTAAAAAAAAACAGACAAGGCTCAGCACTGTGGCTCACTCCTGTAATCCCAGAACTTTGGGAGGCTGAGGCAGGTGGATTACTTGAGGTCAGGAGTTCAAGACCACCCTGGCCAACATGGTGAAACCCCGTCTCTACTAAAATACAAAAATTAGCCGGGCATGGTGTCAGGCACCTGTAATCCTAGCTACTTGGGAGGCTGAGGCAGGAAAATCGCTTGAACCTGGAAGGTAGATGCTGCAATGAGCTGAGATCATCCCACTGCACTCCAGCCTGGGCAACAGAGCGAGACTCTGTCTCACCAAAAAAAAAAAAAAAAAAAAAAAAGAATGAAAAAAAAAAAAAAAGACAAATCAGGCCTCTGTCCTTGTATAACTTTGAGCCAACAACAGTTTTCACAGAGAATTTTGGTGACTTTCTCACATGGTGAGAATAGCCCTGCCCTACGTTTTAGAAGATACTGATATATTTTTCCCAGCCCCAATTTTCTGGTCTTCAACTGTGAGACACTGAGTAGGAATCCAGTCAAATGAAAATACCTGCTATTTTGCATGGTCACTGTGATGATAAGCCATATTGTATTCATTATATATTTAGAAGACTTTAAGAGCCAGGTGCCAGACAAAACTGAAGAATGGTCACACATCCTGAGTCAGACAGCCACCAAAGGCAATGATTGAAACATTGACAGCAAGCGGGACTCTGCTGGCTCCCTGGACTCTGGAGGCTAAGTTCAGATGGACTTAGATGAACAGCACCTTACCAGCAGCCTCCTTTAGAGGGGCTGCATGATTAAATGCCAGCACCACCCCAGTCTGAATAACCAACATAGACAATCATGACTTATGTCACGGGGTCCACATATTCTTGGTCTCCCATGCACACAGGGGGCTTTCCACTTCAAAAGGAATGCAAAATACAGAATAGGAGTCTTCCTGTTTATCACAGGATATGTCTTATAAGTGTGAAAGAAAAATAAATCTTGGGATCCCAAGCTCACTAAGCCAAAGGGAAAACTCAAGCTAGGAATGGCATCACACAAAGCTGCCTCCCATTTTGTTCCTAAATAAGATAGCTACAAAGATAAAAGGCTACATACCTCCCTTGCAACTTGCCCACTAGGAAATTCCTTGTGGGTCCCAAGATCTTTACCCTAAAACAGTTCTGTTGAATTTCACCCTGACAATGTCAATTAATAGCTGATTTTCACAGGTGCAGGACAGAAAGTCATCCTTCTGCTCACCTGAGACAGGTGCATATCTGATTGCTTCTTCTGCCCTCTGTTCATTTTATCTTATGTAGAAATGCAGATTCACTGGGTTCGATGAATGCGTAAGTGACTATTCCTCTACCCTCCTTTCACATGCGAACAGCTGATCAAAGACTCAAAAGAATACAAGTGCTTGCCTCTTACTTGCCTACACCTTTAAAAGAAATTTCTGGGCCAGGCGAGGTGGCTCATGCCTGTAATCCCAGCACATTGGGAGGCTGAGGTGGGCAGATCACGAGCTCAGGAGATCGAGACCAACCTGGCTAAGATAGTCAAACCCTGTCTCTATCAAAAATACAAAAAATTAGCCAGGAGTGGTGGCACGCACCTGTAGTACCAGCTCCTCGGGAGGCTGAGGCATGAGAATTGCTTGAATACAGGAGGCGGAAGTTGCAGTGAGCCAGGATCACACCACTGCACTCCAGCCTGGGCAACAGAGCAAGACTCAGTCTCAAAAAAAAAATTTCTTCCTCTTTCCCCAATGTCCTCCCTTTCCCCTTTAAATATTGAAGTCCTCAAAATCATCTTTGGAGAAAGACACAGACTTGTCACCTTGTCACCTGGCACCTGCTCAACCTTGGCAAAGTAAACTTCTAAATTGAGACTTGTCTCAGATACTTTTTGGGTTTACCTAAAAATAATGTCTTGGATTCAAATTTTAAAATACTTGCAATTAAAAGACATTCTAACATCCATTAATTCTTATTTAAAGCACAGCACCCTAAATTAAGATGGGGGTTGTGTGACTCTGCACATGTCCGGGAGCCTGATCCCCAAATCAGATCTCCTAAGCCAGGGCCCTGGATTTCTTCACCACTTTATCGGGAATGAGCTCCAGAGGGATGTGGGGGAAGACATGGAGCTGCCACAAAGGAGCACAGCCTGTTGAGTGCCTTGTTGCCATACATGGCCAACTGGATGTGACTGGACTTCATCTACATGGTGGCCTTGCTTTCCTTGGCTTGGGAGGCACCTTGCTGGTAGGCTCCAGCACTTGGGCTGAGAGGACTGCAGCTTGACAGCCACACAGACAAACACCTCCATATACACTCTCTGTGCATAGCAGCCCCTCCTCAGGTAGCTGTGAATGCAGCCATAGGGAAATGTGGGCCTACCAGGGAGGCTCTACTCCCCTTGGCTCCCAGATCTTTCTGCACAAAGGGACATGGCCTGTAGGGAAGTGACCAGAGGAGACAAGTAGACATGGTCAAACCAGGCTCCTTCAGTAAATATTTGGGCCAGCTGGGAACACGATGATAAACAATCCTGCTATTAAGGAGCTACAAGACTAAGAGGCACAGACAGATCATCATCATATAGCACTGCAGGTGCAAGGAGGAGGTGTGCAAAGGCATCCAGGTGAGATGGCAACCAGGTCCTATAAGACACAGGTGCAAACACATTCCTGTGCCCCCCAGCCATTCCCTTCCACAAGTCATCCGTCCTTGGTCTTCAATGCTTCTCCCCTAGGTTGAGTGGCTCAGGTCACCACCAGCAGCAGGGCTTTGGACTTTGTAGAAGCTAGGTCTCCTGCAAAGCTAGTTCTAGTCTGCTGTCTGCCAGGGAAGGTACCACAAACACTTGCAAGGAGGGAACTTAGCCCTTCTCAGCTAACTGACACTTTTAAATTCACTTCCCTCCACCGCCCCCCTGCCCCCATCAAAAGAGTACATTGGAGAGCTACTCCAGTAGGCCAGCTATCAAGAGCCCTGCTTCCGTCTTAGATACTCTACTTAACAGAATGCATTTTGCAGTCACTGTTTCTCCTCCACCTGACTCTAAGCAGGCTTCAGGGCTCTCTCGGCTCCTCACTCCAGGGTAAGGAATGAGCTTGCAGTGTTATTAGAAAACACTGCTCAGACATTCATTGGTAGCTCCTGTCAGGAGTGTTTTAAGATTCACTGGAGAGAGTTGCTGCAAGCATGAAACAGGGGCCAGCCCCGCAACAGGGTAGGCAGGTGGGTGGGGCATGGCTGCAGACAGAGGAGAGCAGAGGGCCTCAGAACGGCTCGTTCGTCTTTCAAAGGATATACCATGGGTGGTGCTTTGGGCCAGAGCAGTACTTGGCTAACCACTTTTGTATTAGTCTGTTCTTGTGCTGCAAAAAAAAATACCTGAGACTGGGTAGTTTATAAAGAAAAAAGGTGGCCGGGTGCAGTGGCTCATGCCTGCAATCCCAGCACTTTGGAAGGCCGAGGTGGGTGGATCACCTGAGGTCAGGAGTTCGAGACCAGCCTAACTAACATGGTGAAACCCCGTCTCTACTAAAAATACAAAAAAAAAAAAAAAAAAAATTAGCTGGGCATGGGATGCATGCCTGTAATCCCAGCTACTAGAGAGGCTGAGCAGGAAAATCGCTTGAACCAGGGAGACAGAGGTTGCAGTGAGCTGAGATCACGCCATTGCACTCCAGCCTGGGCAAAAAGAGTGAAATTCCACCTCAGAAAAAATAAAAATAAAATAAAATAAAAAAGGTTTAACTGGCTCACGGTTCCGCAGGCTGTACAGGAAGCATGGCTGGGGAGGCCTCAGGAAACTTGCCATCATGGCGGAAGATGAAGGGGAAGCAGGCACATTTTATGGCCAGAGCAAGAGGAAAAGAGAGAGGGAAGATATGCCACGCACTTTTAAACACTGTGATCTCGCGAGAACTCCTTCATGAGAACAACACCAAAGGGATGGTGCCAAACCATTCATGAAGGGTCCACCCCCAGGATCCAATCGCCTTTCACCAGGTCCCACCTCCAACACTGGGAATGATAACTGAACGTGAGATTTAAGTGGGGACACAGATCCAAACCATATCAACTTTGATTCCAGTTCTGAGCAAAATCCAGTCTCCACTCACAGCCTGGGGAGCTAACATAGCTGAAAGAGATCTATTGATGAAAAGTAAGGGTCGGGAGTCTCCAAGTGTGTAGCCTTGACACTCCTGGAAGGACACTGGGAAACCACTACTGAGAATATTTGGGGGAAGCCTGCCTGCAGGTGCTGAGTTTGTGGAGTGAAGCCCCTTCTTGTGCTTGGTGGTCCCTGACACTCCACTTACTAATGTCTCTATTACGGGGAGTTTTAGCTTGTTATAAGCCATTTCTCACTATAAGAAGGGCACATGTTCATTATATAAAATGTCAAAATTCAGAAATTTAAATAGAAGAGTGTCCTGTTTTCCTACCACCCAAGGAAACTTGATCATATTGTCATGCATTGCTTTAAAATCTTCACTCTTTTTAATTTTCAAACCAATTTTTGCACCAACAGAAAGCGTATCTGTTACCAGTACTAAAGCGGCCATAGACTTGGTTCACAGATGAGAACATTTAAACCAGGACACAGCTCCATCACCAAGAGGCTCCTGCTGTAATTGACTGGCAAAGAAGAGACAAGCTTCATTCACTGAGACCACATCGGGCTGCTGCAGGTGGACGTTTTCATACATCATTTCTTTTTCTTTTTCTTATTTATTTATTTATTTATTTATTTATTTATTTATTTATTTATTTATTTATATTGAGATGAAGTTTTGCTCTTGTTGCCCGGGCTGAAGTGTAGTGGGGCAATCTCAGCTCACTGCAGCCTCCGCCTCTCAGGTTCAAGCGATTCTCCTGCCTCAGCCTACCAAGCAGCTGGGATTACAAGCGTCTGCCATCATGCCCGGCTATTTTGTATTTTTAGTAGACACGGGGTTTCACCATGTTGGCCTGGCTGGTCTCCAACTCCTGACCTCAGTAATTCCAGCCTCTAATCCCAACTACTCAGTGGTGCTTTATATCCCTCTTTATATTGCCTCGGCCTCCCAAAGTGCTGGGATTACAGGCATGAGTCACTGCGCCTGGTCGGACATTTTCATTTCTAACCCTGGATGCATGATCTTCATTAGCACCTATTCCAAGATGCTGCCTCAGGAGGCTTATGCAACACACCAGGCATCATTTTGCACCCTGCCGTATCCTCTACGTTCAACCAGCACCTCACATGGACGATGCCAGGGTCCCGGGATCTTGGTCTTCAGGGGGACCAGGTAAGAAAGTTGGGGAGGAGTCCTTCCCAGACCATCCCCATTGTGGGGAACAACACAAAAGTCATGCCAAATCCTGTACGTGACAGCTCTCCCTGCTGCCACGTGTAGCAGACTTCCTAGCAGGAAGGCAGTGAAACAAGATTTGACTCAGAATTGAATCATTTTTCAGACACTATACAGCTGTGAGTCAGGACCCCTGGCTTCAGCCGTTTGCTCTCTATGTAACTTGATTAGGTGGCTCAACATCTGGGGTCCTCAGCTTTTCATTAGGAAAACTGGAGATAATCCTGCCTGCTCCACCAGGTTGTTGTGAGGTCAAACAAGAAACAGGGTGAAAATGCTTGTAGTTGGCCGGGCGCAGTGGCTTACGCCTGTAATCCCAGCACTTTGGGAGGCCAAGGCAGGTGGATCACCTGAAGTCAGGAGTTCGAGACCAGCCTGGCCAACATGGTGAAACCCTGTCTCTACTGAAAATACAAAAATCAGCCAGGCATGGTGGCAAGTGCCAGTAATCCCAGCTACTTGGAAGGCTGAGACAGGAGAATCACTTGAACTCAGGAAGTGGAGGTTGCAGCAGTGAGCCGAGATGGCACCATTGCACTCCAGTGAGCGAGACTCCATCTCAAAAAAAAAAAGAAAAAGAAAAAGGAAAAGAAAAAAAATCTGTGGTCTGGTAACCACACAGTCAGTTTGATTCTTGGTGAGCATCATCAGTATAGCCAGGCTGACCTCAGAGGAAGGCAGCCATGTCCATAGTGAGATTTTAGCAGGGTAAAGAACTGCTCCTCCCCAGCTGGCAGTGAGACGAGATCATGCCACTGCACTCTAGCCTGGGCGACAGAGTGAGACTCCGTCTCAAAAAAAAAAAAAAAAAAAAGAACTGCTCCTCCCCAAATTACCTCCCCACCATTCCATATTCCATTGCCATATGGAATGCCTTGGCTAGACATTCACACCATGGATTTCTGTCTTTTTTCTCTCTTAAAACCAGAGCTATAAATATATACTTCTGAAATTTGCTCAGACATCAAGACTTGGTTCAATACTCTTAACTCGGCAGGTTATAAAGTACAAAGTCAAAATATTCAATAAGGATGTGGGAAAATTTGAAAGCACAGGGAAATCAATTTTATTATGTCAAGGATATGCAAATGTCATGTAGAATTTCTAATTTGATCCTTTAAAGTAAAAGAAAAAAAAAAAAAGCTGGGCTCAGTGGCTCACGCCTATAATCCCAACACTTTGGGAGGCCAAGGTGGGTGGATCACTTACTTGAGGTCAGGAGTTTGAGACCAGCCTGGCCAACATACTGAAACTCCGTCTCTACTAAAAATACAAAGATTACCCGGGCGTGGTGGCAGGCACCTATAATCCCAGCTACTCAAGAGGCTGAGGCAGGAGAATCGCTTGAACCCAGGAGGCGGAGGTTGCAGTGAGCCGAGATCGTGCCATTGCACTCCAGCCTGGGCTACAGAGCAAGACTCTGTCTCAAAAAATAAAACAAAAAATAAAAAAATAGGAAGTCCAAGATGGGCCTGGGGGACAAAAGGATGATTTACCTCAGTAGCAAGAAATGTAGGCACGGTTGGCCAGGCACGGTGGCTCACACCTGTAATCCCAGCACTGTGGGAGGCCAAGGCAGGTGGATCACAAGGTCAGGAGTTCAAGATCAGCCTAGCCAAGATGGTGAAACCCCGTCTGTACTAAAAATACAAAAAAAAATAGCCAGCCATGGTGGTGGGCACCTGTAATCCCAGCTACTTGGGAGGCTGAGGCAGAGAATTGCTTGAACCTGGGAGGTGGAGGATGCAGTGAGCCGAGATCGTGCCACTGCGCTCCAGCCTGGGTGACAGAGCAAAACTCCATCTAAAAAAAGATAAAAAAAAAAAGAAATGTAGGCAGGCTTTACTTAGGAGAACTGCGTGCTGAGAAGGATGAAGGCCAACTTTTTATTCTAAATGTTGATGCAACTTCTGAGTTGGTCTCAATATTTAAGCAAATCAGGTTTCAGTTTTTTTAAAACATAACTGAAATAATAATATTACATCTTTAAAGTACCAGTATTGTGGCCAGGCAAGGTGGCTCATGCCTGTAATCACAGCGCTTTGGTAGGCTGAGGCATGCGGATCACGGGGTCAGGAGTTTGAGACCAGCCTGGCCAACATGGTGAAACCCTTCTCTACTAAAAATACAAAAAATTAGCCGGGCGTGGTGGCAGGCGCCTGTAATCCCAGATACTCGGGAGGCTGAGGCAGGAGAATCACTTGAACCCGGGAGGGAGAGGTTGCAGTGAGCCAAGACTGCACCACTGCACTCCAGCCTGGGTAACAGAGCAAGACTCCATCTCAAAATATATAAATAAAATAATAAAGTACCAGTATTTTGGTACATAAAAAAATGGTATAAACTAAACTGATCTTGCAATCTCTATTAATCCATTCATCCCCTCTTAGAAATATAGTTCCACAAGTTGCTCATAGCTTTTCATCTTAAGATGAAAATTAATTTTATTTGTTTGTTATATTTGTAAGTCTATAGTCATTTGATGAGATGAAACGTTTTTAAAACTCAGATTTGGCCGGGCATGGTGGTTTACACCTGTAATCCTAGCACTTTGGGAGGCTGAGGTGGGCAGATAGCTTGAGCCCAGGAGTTCAAGACCAGCCTGGGCAACACAGTGGGACCCCTGTCTACAAAAAATACAAAAATTATCTGGGCATGGTGGTACACACCTGTAGCTCCAGCTACTCAAGAAGCTGAGTTGGGAGGATCACCTGAGTCTGAGGAAACTGAGGCCGCAGTGAGCCACGATCACGCCACTCTACTCTAGCCTGGGTGACAGAGCAAGATCCTGTCTTAAAAATAGATCAATAAATTGGCCGGGTTCGGTGGCTCACGCCTGTAATCCAACACTGGGAGGCCAAGGTGGGTGGATCACTTGAGGTCAGGAGTTCGAGACCAGCCTGACCAACATGGTGAAACCCTGTCTCTACTAAAAATACAAAAAAAAAAAAAAAAAAATCTGGGCATGGTGGTGCATGCTTGTAATACCAGCTACTGGGAGGTTGAGGCAGGAGAATCGCTTCAACCCAGGAGGCAGAGGTTGCAGTGAGCTGAGATGGCGCCATTGCACTCAAGCCTGGGCAACAAGAGTGAAACTCTGTCTCCAAAAAAATAGATAAATAAAATAAAAGTAAATAAATAAATAAAACTCAGATTTGGTTCATACACATCTTCTGCTAGCCCACCCTCAATATCTCCAGTTGCAAGGCATAGGAGGTTCCCCATCTCCTGCCCTACCTCTTCAGCCATCCCTAAGCTCCCCTCACACCTAGCACTTCTGAATATGATTAAAAAGCACATGACAGCCTTCTGCCTTGGTGCCTTTGCTCACTGTGCCCGCTCCCTCTGCACTGTTGGTGTCTGCCTGGTTGGCACCTCTGATCTTTCACTCTCTTTCTATAGCAGCACCTCTTCTATGAAATCCCTCCTGCCTCCTGCCCCTGCCGCCCCAACAGGATAGGTTTCTTCATTTCTATCCCCCTACAAATTTCCATGACACTCCACAGGTGGGGAGTGCCTAAAGGGCCAGAAAATGATTCTCTTTCTTCTAGGCAGATCTCCCTCTCCACCGTGGATTCTGGGCAGCTCCTGTCACTTGCTCTGGCCAGTGAAAAATCAAATATGTTACAGAAGATGCTTTCAAAGTGCATGAGCACTGGGCTTAGTCTCTTGTTGCTTTTCAGAATCCTCCAACTCCCATGTGAAAAAATCCAGGTTAGCCTGCTGGATGATGAGCGACACATGGCCCAGTCACCCACTCCCATCTTACTGGTTGAGCCTACCAACCACCAGATATGGGACTGAGGTCATAAGAAATAGTCCAGCCACCAGCCAAGCTGCCAAATGACCATAAGATACATAAGAGAAATCAGCAGAGATCAGTTGAGCTGGCTCAGAACTATACAACTAATCCTCAGAATCATGAGTTAAATAAAAATGGTTGTTTTAAACTACCAAATTTTGAAGTGTTTGTTACACAGCAAGTGGTAACTGATACACCCTACATAATATTTGATTAAACTTATTCATTTACTTATCTTCCTATTCAATAGTGAGTACCTTGAAAGTAGGAATTTTGTGTTTTATTTATCTTTGGATCCATAGCATCTACCACTGGGTATAGAACATGGTAGGAGCTCAATAAATGTTGAGCTCAATAAGTGTTCATTAGGTCCCTAAGTGAATGAATATAAAAATATTTTACTCAACTAGCTTCCTATTGATTAGGTGGGTTATTATGCAAAGATGAAAGACAGCTCTAATGCTTGCTACTTTTCTCCTAAATTTCTAGATTTTATTTCCTACACAAGATCTAAGAAATTGAGGGAGAATAGTCTCAGTGATTTTGGTAGTGCTTTTGGCCACCCTGCTCCATGTCACTGGGTGTTCCAATGTCATTGGCCAGGGACACCACAGGAAAAGCTGCTGCAGTCATTGGTGCATTGGCTTAGAAAGTTCATTTCTCCACTTGCCTCCTTCAGACCCCTGGACCCTTCCCAAATACCAGCTCCCCTCAGTTCGCAAGTGCTTCGAGTTGGTGCCATTGACCTTGACTCAGACCCAGCCACTCCATAGAGCACTGCTGCCATCTGTCCCACAGACCATGGAGAGGACTTGAGGCAACAAGTCACGATGTTTGGCCCTGCAGTGCCTCCAATCAAGCCTTTGGCTATTTGGCCCAGCTCGTTAGGACAGGGAAATGGGTCACCCCCTTTCAGACTCTCTCAATTTTACTAACTTAAAGAGATGTCAGAAGCAACAAACCCTTGTTTTGAAAATGAGTGATTTTGTTTATCTTTTTTTTTTTTTTTTTTGAGACAGGGTCTCACTCTGTCACCTAGGCTGGAATACAATGGTGCCATCATAGCTCACTGAAACCTTGACTTGCCAGGCTCAGATGATTCTCTCACCTCAGCCTCCCGAGTAGATGGGATTACAGGGGCACACCACTACATCTGGCTGATTTTTGTATTTTTTATAGTAGAGATGGGGTTTCACTGTGTTGCCCAGGCTGGTCTCGAACTCCTGAGCTCAAGTGATCCACCGGCCTCAGCCTCCCAAAGTGCTGGGATTACAGGCATGAGTCACCTTGCCTGGCTCTTGATTATTTTTATCTTAATCCCTTAGGAGAAAAACAAACTGTTGTTTTGAGTAGTACAGAAATAAGATTTAAGGATATTGCAGGCCGGGCGCGGTGGCTCACGCCTGCAATCCCAGCACTTTGGGAGGCCGAGGCGGGTGGATCACAAGATCAGGAGTTCAAGACAAGCCTGGCCCAAATGGTGAAACCCCATCTCTACTAAATATATACAAAAATTAGCTGGGTGTGGTGGCAGGCGCCTGTAATCCCAGCTACTCAGGAGGCTGAGGAAGGAGAATCACTTGAACCCGAGAGGTGGAGGTTGCGGTGAGCCAATATCATGCCACTGCACTCCAGCCTGGGTGACAGAATAAGGCTCCGTTTCAAAAAAAAAAGAAAAAAAGAAAAAAAAAAGAATATTACAAAAAGCAGACCAGGCGTGGTGGCTCATGCCTGTAATCCCAGCACTTTGGGAGGCTGAGGCGGGCAGATCACAAGGTCAGGAGTTCGAGACCACCCTGGCTAACACAGTGAAACTCCGTTTCTACTAAATACAAAACAATTAGCCGGGCGTGGTGGCGGGCGCCTGTAGTCCCAGCTACTTGGGAGGCTGAGGCAAGAGAATGGTGTGAACCCGGGAGGCAGAGCTTGCAGTGAGCTGAGATAGCACCACTGCAGTCCAGCCTGGGCGACAGAGCGAGATTCCGTCTCAAAAAAAAAAAAAAAAAAGAATATTGCAAAAAGCTTTGAATTTCGATGTGATTAGTTCAAGTGGAGTTTTATTCCTTCATGAAGGTTGCTGAACACATTTTTTTTTAAGGACCTGCTATGGGTCATACTGATATCGTATTGCTTGGTCAGTCCTAAGACTTCTGTTTTACTGTGAATGCTGGTCAGCTGTACCTGAATTCCAAAGGGAGGTGAGTAATGAGGCATTCCCCATCCTCCCCCTTTCTTATTATGGCCTGAGCTAGAATTTCAGATGAACTCTGGAGTGCCCTTGGCCAAAAGGAGCAGTCCATTCAGTCGGTTGGGGGACTTAGAATTTTATTTTTGGTTTCCAGTGTTTTTCCCAACCACCAAGTAGCAGACAGCAGCTATGTGCCTTCAATTCAGTCCCCACACTCTCTACCTAGGGATAGCATCAGATCTTGTTGACAAAAAGAGTCAAACTCTGTAAAATATTTGGATAGATTTATTCTGAGCCAAATGTGACAATGGCCCATGACACAGCCTCAGGAAATCCTGAGAACATGTGCCCCCACATTTCTTATTTGAATCTTTACATATGCTAGAACAGATGAACAAAGATGCTTAAGTAATTTTCCTGGCAACATATAAATATAAAGCAAAGCAATGGATGTAGTTTATTGAAAATGTTTGCACTAAGTATGTATTTCCATTGATTAAAAGCCTTGTCTGAGGTGGTTGGCACAAGGGGAAATAGCTAGGCTGTGTTCATCTCAAACATTCAATACATGTAGCATTCAAAACACTTTAATAGTTAACCACCTCTTCCTCCTTGTCTCGGCCCCTCAAAGTGCTGAGATCAAAGGTGCGAACCACCGCATCCAGCCTAAAATCTCCCTTTGATGGATCGCATTAACTATTTAAAAACGTTTTCTCTAATATATGCTACTTATCTAAATCACAGTCTCCAGATTTAGAGAATTCTATTCAAAGAGAAGGGTGTCCCCATAGCCTTACATAGCAAATAGCAAGATTAGACCTCTAAGAATTTCAACTAATTAAATTATTAACTATAAAATAGCCGGGTGTGGTGGCTCACGCCTGCAATCCCAGCACTTTGGGAGGCGGGTGGATCACGAGGTCAAGAGTTCAAGACCAGCCTGGCCAAGATGGTGAAACCCCGTCTCTACTAAAAATACAATAATTAGCAGGGTGTGGTGGCAGGTACCGGTAATCCCAGCTACTCGGGAGGCTGAGGCAGGGGAATTGCTTGAACCCAGGTGGCAGAGGCTGCAGTGAGTGGAGATCACACCACTACACTCCAGCCTAGGCGACAGAGTGAGACTCCATCTCAAAGAAACAAACAAACAAACAAAAAAACTTAAAATTAGCCAAGTGTGGTGGCACATGCCTGTAATCTCAGCTACTCAGGGGGCTGAGGCAGGAGAATCGCTTGAACCTGGGAGGCAGAGGCTGCAGTGAGCCGAGATTGCGCCACTGCACTCCAGCCTGGGCAACAGAGTGAGTCTCTCTCAAAAAATTTAAAAAGGGAGATTTTAGATAAATATTTTCTTCCTTTAATAACACTGATATCCAAAACCTCTTTAAAGATACAATCTTGCCGAGCGCAGTGGCTCACGCCTATAATCCTAGTGCTTTGGGAGGCCGAGGCGGGCAGACCGTGAGGTCAGGAGTTTGAGACCAGCCTGGCCAACATGGTGAAACCCCATCTCTACTGAAAATACAAAAAGTAGCTGGGCATGGTGGTGGGTGCCTGTAATCCCAGCTATTCAGGGGGCTGAGGCAGGAGAACTGCTTGAACCCAGGAGGTGGAGGTTGCAGTGAGACGAGATCAGGCCACTGCATTCCAGCCTGGGAGACTGAGCTAGACTCCGTCTCAAAAATAAAATAAAATAAAAATAAAGATACAATCTTCACTGACTGATACAGCTCCGATGAGTGGAGGAACACCACCAGGGCTCTTGTCTCCCACGAATTGGGTAAAACGACATGGACACACATGGAGTGGTTTTAAGGAGTGGAAAGTTTAATAGGCAAGAAAGAAGGAAGAAGCTCCCCCATTCAGTGACAGTCAGAGGGGACTCCAAATCCAAGAGAGGAGACCCCATGTGCCACAGAAAAGTGGCTGCTTATATGAGTAGGCTGGAGGAGGTGGTGTCTGATTTGCATAGGGCTCAGGGGATTGGTTTGACCAGGGATGTCATTCACCTAGCCAGCAAAAAAACTGGCCCTCCGACCCTAGCCTTTTAATATACAAGGCGTCAGGATGTTGTACCCACGTGGGGATATGTGAGGGCGGCCATATTGTCAGGCACAGGTCAGGGCAAGGGCAAGGAGAAGAGGGCGGAAATCGCCTTGTTTGGCTGGACTCAGTTTCTAATGGCTTGCATTTGCATATCAAAGGTTGCCACTTGGCTCTAAGAGCTGGGGCTTTCCTGCTAGACAAGAAACGTTTCAGCCAGGGGTGGTGGCTCACGCCTGTAATCCCAGCACTTTAGGAGGCTGAGGGGGCTGGATCACCTCTGGTCAGGAGTTCCGACCAGCCTGGCCAACATGGTGAAACCCCGTCTCCACTAAAAATACAAAAAATTAGCCAGGCATGGTGGCGGTTGCCTGTAATCCCAGCTACTCGGGAGGCTGAGGCAGGAGAATCGCTTGAAGCCGGGAGGTGTCGGTTGCAGTGAGCCAAGATCGAACCATTGTACTCCAACCTGGGCCACAGAGCAGGACTCTGTCTCCAAAAAAAAAAAAGTTTATGGAGCTGCTTTAAAAGAAACAACTTTCCAAGGACCCCTTTTCTTCTCTATCTGCCTAAAATAATTTCTTAATAACTCACACAACATTACGATAATTGTTGTCACATGATATAAGCTTCAATTATTTCATAACACTGGTCCTGTCCTTCTTTCAAAACATCATAGCTGACTCAACACTAGATGGGTAAGAAATGCTATATTTTGCTTCCCTGATTCTCAAAACTATAAAAAAGATACAACTTTGAAAAGTTTCATAGAGTAGGCTGGGAAACACTGATGTCACGTTGCAGAAAAATCTAGGCTCTGAAATAACACCACGTCCCACCCAACCCAACCCCACCCTGTTTTCCCTTATCTCTGATAGCTGAGTGATTATGTTAGCAAAAAGCAAGAGGATTTTAAAATTGAATGTGCCTCCCAAGAGCTCTCAGTGTACCAGGGCTGACTTTTAATATTATTAAGGCTGGAGTGGTGGCTCATGCCTGTAATTCCAGCACTTTGGGAGGCTGAGGCAGGCAGATCACAAAGTCAAGAGTTGGAGACCAGCCTGGCCAACATTGTGAAACCTCGTCTCTACTATAAATACAAAAATTAGCCGGGCATGGTGGCGCGTGCTTGTAGTAATAATATAGACTCCGTCGCAAAAACCATACATATATATATATATATAATTTAAATATTAACATTTTAATATTAAAATTTCTGAAGATGATTCAGCTCCTTATAGAAAAGGATCCAAGTAAAGCCAGGCTGTTTTCCACCTCCTATTGGAGGACATCTTAGCAAGACAATAGATTGTTGTGGGGTTTTGGCTCCATAGTTTGGGGAAGTAGCTTAGGATGAATGTTTGGCATCACCCAGTCTTACAGATGGTCACAGCTTGAAAGAGCTTGCTCAGATCCTCGTGCATTCAGGTTCTAGCTGGATGTGGCAGAGCATGATTCAGGCTTTCTTCTTCTCACAAACATTTTCAGATAGATATAGCAGTTTGGCAACCAGGTATTCTATCACAACTGCTTGATAACTGAAAGCCAAACAGCTAGTTCTCTAAGTATGGTTGCCATTTCTCAAGTGCTTGTGAAGCTAGCCCAAAGGAAACTGCAAATCAGCCCTGGTACGCTGAGAGCTCTTGGGAAGAGCATTCATTTTTAAAATCCTTTTGCTTTTGCTAACATAATGGCTAAGCTATCAGAGATAAGGAAAAACAGGGTGGAGTTGGGTTGGGTGGGATGTGGTGTTATTTCAGAGCCTAGATTTTTCTGCAACGTGACATCAGTGTTTCCCAGCCTACTCTATCAAACTTTACAAAGTTGTAGCTTTTTTATAGTTTTGAGAATCAGGGAAGCAAAATATAGCATTTTCTTACCCATCTAGTGTTGAGTCAGCTATGATGCTTTGAAAGAAGGATAGGACCAGGGTTATATAGAACCTAACTAGGGCCCACTTGCCCGGCACGGTAAGACCAGATAACTGCACAATGGTTTGCAGCAGAAGAAAGGAAGATATTTATTTGCAGGGCACCATGCAAGAAGGATGAGGCAGCTAATGCTTAAATCCTGACTTCCTTGATGGCTTGCAGGTGTCAATGAAAAGAGTCAGACTCTGTAAAATATTTAAGGAGGTGTATTCGGAGCCAAATATGAGTGACCAAAGCCCAAGGCAGAGTCTGGAGAGAACTTGTGCCCAAGGTGATTGGATTACAGCTTGGTTTTTATGCATTCTATGGAGACAATAAGACACTAATCAATACGTATGGGGTATACATTGCATTGGTTCCATCCAGAAAGGCAGGACAAAGTCTAAGTGGGTAGGGGGAGGGGAGGGGCATAGGTGGATTTAAAGATTTTCTGATTGACAATTGGTTGAAAGAGTTAAGTTATTGTCTAAAGACCTGGAATCAACAGAAAGAATTGTCTGCATCAAGATAAGGAGTTGCAAGGCCAGGCGCGGTGGCTCGTGCCTGTAATCCCAGCACTTTGGGAGGCCGAGGTGGGCAGATCATGAGGTCAGGAGATCGAGACCATCCTGGCTAACACGATGAAACCCTGTCTCTACTAATAATACAAAAAATTAGCTGGGCATGCTGGCAGGCACCTGTATTCCCAGCTACTTGGGAGGCTGAGGCAGGAGAATGGCGTGAACCCGGGAGGCAGAGCTTGCGGTGAGCCGAGATCTCGCCACTGCACTCCAGCCTGGGCGACAGAGCGAGACTCCATCTCAAAAAAAAAAAAAAAGATAAGGAGTCACAGAAGTCAGGGCCACGCTGTCCTTAGACACAATCGATGGCAAATGTTTCCTATGCAGACCCTTAAAGTACTAGACTTTCAGTCAATCTCCTCAGGATTGGGAGGGGCCTGGAAAGGGGAACAATCGAGTTATAGCAACAGAGGTTCTTGGGTGGGCATGGTGGCTCACGCCTGTAATCCCAGCACTTTGGGAGGCAGGCAGATCCCTTGAGCTCAGGAGTTCAAGACCAGCCTGGGCAATATGGTGAAACTCCATCTCTACAAAAAATACAAGAAGTAGCTGGGCATGGTAGCACACACCTGTAGTCCCAGCTACTTGGGGGACTGAGACAGGAGGATCACTTGAACCCAGAAGTCGAGGCTGCCGTGAGCTGAATTGTGTCACTGCACTCCAGCCTTGGTGACAAAGTAAGACCCTATCTCAAAAAAAAAAAAAAAAGAAAGAAAAAAAAGAGATTTTTTTGCAGATGCAATCTTCCCCCACAAAAAATGACTTTGCAGGCCATTTCAAAATATGGCAAAGAAACATATTTTGGGGTAAAATATTTTTATTACCTTATCTGTCATGTGATATTATGTAACTGCCCAATGGGTTCACCTTGCCCGCTGCCTAGACAGAGTCAATTTATCAAGACAGAGGAATTACACTAGAGAAAGAGTACTTCATGCAAAGCCAGCTGAGTGGGAGACCAGAGTTTTATTAATCAAATCAGTCTCTCTGAGCATTCAGGGATCAGACTTTTTAAGAATAATTTGGTGGGTTGGAGGAGGGCAGTGAGTCGAGAGTGCTGACTGGTTGGTTGGGTTGGAGATGAAATCACAGGGAGTTGAAGCTGTCCTCTTGTGCTGAGTCAGTTCCTGGATGGGGCCACAAGATCAGATGAGCCAGTTTATTGATCTGGGTGGTGCCAGCTGATCCATCAAGTGCAGGGTCTGCAGAATATCTCAAGCACTGATCTTCGGTTTTACAATAGTGATGTTATTCCTAGTAGCAATTTGGGGAGCATCAGAGTCTCGTAGCCTCCAGCTGCATGACTCCTACACCATAATTTCTAACCATATGACTAATTTGTTACCCCTAACAAATTAGGTAGGCTGGTCCCCAGGCAAGAAAGGGGTTTGTTTTTAAAAAAGGGCTGTTATCATCTTCGTTTCAAACTATAAACTATAAACTAAATTTCTCCCAAAGTTATTTCAGCCTATTCCCAGGAATGAACAAGGACAGCTTGGAGGTTAGAAGCAAGATGGAGTTTGTTAGCTCAGATCTGTGTCATGGTCTCAGTTATAATTTTGCAATGGCGGTTTCAGTTATACCAGAGTCAGTTTGGAAAGCAGGCCATGTTATATCAGGTTAAATAAAACCTCTCTGATGAGATTTTATGGTTTGTAGGGCAAACCTAGGCCCCTTAGATAGGAATTTGGGCAAGAGAGGAAGAAGGTCAGAGTTTAATCCTCACAGGTAAGAGTTCTTAAAGGCAGGGTAAGTTTCAGGAAAGCAGAAGTTACAGGCAAAATCGTAAATCAATACCTGGAGGTTGCACGTGGGCATTGGCTGAAAGAGGTGGGATGTCTTGAAGTGGGGACCTATCTACAGGTCATAGATAGATTCAGAGATTTTTCTGAGTGGCAATTTGTTAAGGAAGAAATACTTTGTTTAAAAATTTGAGGGCTTGGCGCAGTGGCTCACGCCTGTAATTCCAGCACTTGGGAGGCCGAGGCGGGAGGATCGCTTGAGCCCAGGAGTTCAAGACCAGCCTAGGCAACATAGCAAGAGTCCATCTCAATTTTTTAAATAAGTAAGCAACAAAATAAATAAAAATAAAAATTGTGGGGTCAGCAGAAAAGAATGTTAGCTCTGGCTCGTAGGTGTAACTTTCTCCAGGCCCCTCAGGAAGAAATGTAGAACAAAAGAACAAGACATGGTGGTCAGAGTTCAGTCTCCAGTTCCCCCTTATCTGAGGTCTGCATGCTGGTGGATCTATTTGGTAAGGGTCTGAGTTTCTGAAAAGAAATTCAGAGACATATGTTAAAATGTTATCTGTAGTTTCTATAGGAAACCATATGTCCTTTGATTCTAGCTTTCTTGGCTATTGTTTTAGGCTACTATTAGCTTCTTTTTTTTTTTTTTTTGAGACAGAGTTTCACTCTGTCCCCCAGGCTGGAGTGCAGTGGTGCAATCTTGGCTCACTACAACCTCCACCTCCAGGTGCAAGTGATTCCCCTGCCTCAGCCTCCTGAGCAGCTGGGACTACAGGCGTGCACCACCACACCCAGCTAATTTTTGTATTTTTGGTAGAGACAGGGTTTCATCATGTTGGCCAGGCTGGTCTCGCCCTCCTGACCTCAGGCAACTCACCTGCCTTGTCTCCCAGAGTGCTGGGATTACAGGCGTGAGCCACCACACCTGGCCGTAGGCTACTATTACCTTCTTGATGGTCAAGTTGCTTATTTACTTCTCAGTGCTAACTAGGTGGCTGGAATTTTCCTTAAGGGAACTCAAGATTTTCCTTTATTTCCGTGCTCAAAGGGTGCCATAGGCCCCTAAGAGTGGATCCTTGCTCCATCTCACCTGCAGCTAGGGCTCAGATTTCAGCCCCTCTTCTGTCATTTAATGGGCTTGTCTCTTGATCTGATCCTCCATTTTCTCACCTATGAAACAGAAATAATACCACCTTGTTCACATGGGTGTTGAGTAAAATGAAGAGTGCTGTGCCAATGTTGTAATGTTGTTACTGGGAAGTGTGGGGTCCTAAGTTCTTAGTCTTCTTGGAGAAAAGAATTCAGCCAAGAGACCAATTGGTAAAGTAAACAAGAAGGTTTATTAAGGAAATAAAAGAACACATCATGAGAGGGGCAGGCTGACCCAGAGCAGCCCTGAGAGCCTTGTGTTGTGGTTTTTATTATGTTGGACTGTTTATTTAAGTGCCTACTTCTGTCTTAAGTCTCTGTCTTTGTCTTTGTCTAGTTTCCTGTTCCTGTCTTAAGTCCCTGCCCAGGTTTGTGGGATTCCTCCTTCTGGTCAGTTGACGTGCATGCATGAGGCATGGTGATCAATACAAATCCTACCTAATGGTAGCCTTGCTCGAGACCACCACACCAGGAAGGTCTACAGCAGTCAAATCTGTACCTATTGTGCCTGTGTATCTCTTAGGAATTCCCCCTTTTTCCTTTTTCCCTTCCTATCAGCATACAGCTAGCTACATTCTGACAGTTTACCAGCAGAATGAGCAGCGACTGGGCATCTGATGGGGTGTTTGGGACATTCCTTTCTGCATAGGTATCTTCCCCTGTGCTCATATTTAGCATGCAGGTTTCAGGTGGTCTCTGGAGCTTCCTCCCCCAGGGGCTCCCTTTCCTGCTCATGTCTAACTGTGTGCCAACTCTACAAGTGTGATAAACAATAAGAATGCCTGACTCCCTCACAAAGCCTTGGGTGTCAGCACCAGTGAGCTTGGTGGGCAGGGAGGGTGAGGCATGGTGATGGCTGAAGAGGCTCAAAGGCTTTCTGGGGTTTTGTGCCACATCGGCTCCCTAAAACCCCACAGTTCCTATTTTTCTACCCTAACCACTTAACATTTCATTTCCCCCAAGCTTCCATCTCTGTCCTGAAGGTTTATAGCCTGTGAGATGCAGACCTCGATCTGTGTGGGTGTGGATAAGGGCACTGCAGAGACTTTGAAAGGAAACCGAGAAGAACTGGGCAGCAGCTGCCAAACATTGTCTTCACACATATGTCAAGTATGTGAAGTACATATGACATAGACCCATTAAAAATCAGGTTCCTTTAGGTGTGGTAATCAGGTCATGGTAACTTCTGGTGATTTGACATCTCAGGCATACCTTTTCCATGCCAGTGGAATGGTACAATTCAATTTTTTTTTTTTAGACAGACTCTCACTCTGTCACCCAGGCTGGAGTGCAGTGGCACGATCTTGTCTCACTGCAACCTCCGCCTCCTGGGTTCAGGCGATTCTCCTGACTCAGCCTCCTGAGTAGCTGAGATTACAGATGACCACCACAGCCCAGTTAATTTTTGTATTTTTAGTAGAGATGGGGTTTCACCATGTTAGCCAGGCTGGTCTCGAACTCCTGACCTCAAGTGATCTGCCTGCCTTTGGCCTCCCCAAGTGCTGGGATTATGGGCTTGAGCCACCATGCCCGGCCAGAATTCTATTTTAGAGAGACTTTATCATATCAAAATAGTTGGGAGCCACCGAGATAGTTTATAATTGGGGATTCTACTCCAAACTGTGATTTCTTCTCTTTCCTCACTAGAAGTCTGCATCCTTCCCAGTACAGTATCAACAAACACTGTAGATCCACGTTGGCTCCGGTCCCTGTTTTCTCAGCTGTTGGAGAGAAAAGAGCAAGGGTTTTTTTAAAACGTATCCCTTCATTTTCTAGCTGTGTAACTTTGCATTTACTTAAATTCTGATAATTTCTTTTTCCTCAGAATATGAAAAATCCCTACCTACCTCTTAGAGATGCAGTGAGAATCAGGTAAGAATACATGGGCGGTGTTAGGTCATCAGTGCAGGAATCGATATTGACAAATGCTTACATTCAAGTCCAACAAACCTGCCTCATAAACTCATTTGAATTCAAGGAGAGAAATTGCAGCTTACTCATCAAATATTCCATGAGAAAGATAAACACCTGTTTTCTCTCAATCAACTTTTAGAAGTTGGAAGACTTCAAACCTGAAGATTATCTCTCTCATGGCCCACATGGCCATCTCCAATGCAGGTATGTCAACCTGAAAGGAAAAAGCTTAGGCAAAATTAACATAAGCAGGCAGTTTATTTGGGCCAGGCTTGAGGACTGCAACCCCAGATCATAGATTAAAGTTGTCCTGAATATGCGCTCAAATTTGTAGCAGTTACAAGGGGATTTTTAAAGGCAAAACTTGGGGGCAGGGAGTGGACTGATACAAAGCTGTTTGTCAGGAATTCTCATTTGTTTACAGAAATAACATTGCCTATTGATTGGCTATACATTGTTAAGCCATAGAATGTGGATTATCGTGTCTAATGTGGCAATAGCAAGCAGTTGATCAATACATAGCTCAAAGCGGGGAGTACAGCGTGATTGCTTTCTCAATTCAATGTCTCTCTGGGCCTGATTATTAAAAGGAATTGCCTTCCTTACATAAAAGTTATTTTCTTTATTCTTTTCCTTTTTTTTTTTTTTTTTTTTTGAGACAGGGTTTCACTCTGACATCCAGGCTGGAGTGCAGTGGTGTGATTACAGCTCACTGTAGCCTCGACCTCCTAGGCTCAAGCAATCCTCCCACCTCAGCCTCCCATGTACCCTGGCTAATTTTTTTTATTTTTTGTAGACACGGGGTCTCACTTTGTTTTCTGAGCCAGTCTTGAACTCCTGGGTTCAAGCAATCCTCCTGCCTCAGCCTCCCAAAGTGCTGGGATTATGGGCGTGAGCCCCCACACCCCTCCTAGAAGTTTTTTTTTCTCAGATGCTTTATCAATTTAAGGCTCACCCCCATGCTAGTGTTTTCCCCTTTTTTTTTTTTTTTTTTTTTTCTGAGACTGAGTCTCACTCTGTTGCCCAGGCTGGAGTGCAGTGGTGTGATCTCAGCTCACTGCAATCTCCGCCTCCTGGGTTCAAGTGATTCTCCAGCCTCAGCCTCCTGAGTAGCTGGGACTACAGGTGTACACCACCATGCCTGGCTAATTTTGTATTTTCAGTAGATATGGGGTTTCACCATGTTAGCCAGGCTGGTCTCAAACTCCTGACCTCAGGTGATTCGCTCCCAAAGTGCTGGGATCACAGGCGTGAGCCATGGTGCTTGGCCACCCACCTCGCCCAGCCAATTTTTTTTTTTACAGCAATGTTCTTCCTATTATTTTTTCTTTTTGTGACTTCCTCATTTTCAAAGAGTTATTTCACCAAATAAACCACACTAATCATCCACTCTTCCAAATTATGTTTGTCAGAAACATCATTGGTGTAATAATCTCTATAATATTTGTCATCCTAAAAACGTAAAGAACTGTGATATTTTGGTGAACTTCAGATGCATTTTCTACCAGGCTGCTTGAAATATTACTGGTTCCCACTTCTACCAATCTTACTTAAATGCTGGCCTCAAGCTAAGAGCTAGTTCTCACAGCAGGCTGTGGGTAGCGGGCTTACCTGAAGAGCTCACATCCCCCGGAGAAACCAGACTCTCAGGAGCAACCAGCTTCTTCCCTGTTACCTGCTCTTTTTCTTTCTTTTTAATTTCTCTTTACTAGGTAACACCGCTATCCCACCTTCTGCCGGATCAAATCATTGGAGCCCCCTGAATCAGGCAAACCACCGTGGGTCACTCAGTCCTAGCCTTTCACCAGGCGCTCAGCATCATTGCCTAGGACTCACATGTGGGTGGCAGTATCAAGGGTCCTATCATCATTTTATATCAAACCTCCAAAAGCTCAGGCCTCCAAGCTCAGCCTCTTAAGATTGGCCTTTTCTTTTCCAGATTTATGGTCCCTAGGCTTGGCTGAGAAGTGTAGAGTAGAAATTTAAACCACATAGACATTTTTCTTAGGTCTCAAACAAGGGAAAGCTGCATTTCACCTTATTAAATCATTTGTTTTTACCTTGGAGATATTGTAAATCTTGAAACTGATAGAGCATTCCTTGTTTTCTAGGAAGCTCAGGGCTGAGTTTTCAGCCCCTTTTGCAACTAGGAAAGACATGGCAGCAGTGATTTAAGTAATGACACTACTCCTGGTTTATTTTTTCCTAATGTTTTATGTTCCCTCAGTCTTGAGTTTCTCATTTACTTATTTTTCATCATATCATATTATGTGTATCTTTGTAGTGTAATAGAATATTAATGTGTAAGGGATCCAAAATCATGGGAGGAGGCCGGGTGCGATGGCTCATGCCTGTAATCTCAACACTTTGAGAGCCCAAGGCGGGCAGATCACTTGAGGTCAGGAGTTCGAGACCAGCCTCGCCAACATGGTGAAACTCCGTCTCTACTAAAAATACAAAAATTAGCCGGGTATGGCAGCACATGCCAATAATCCCATCTACTTAGGAGACTGAGGCAGGAGAATCACTTGAACCCAGGAGGCGGAGGTTGCAGTGAGCCAAGATGGCGCCATTGCACTCCAGCCTGGGAGACAAGAGCAAGACTCTTGTCTAAAAAAAAAAAAAAAAAAAAAACATGAGAGGCATTTTCCCTTCCACACACCAAGAAGGCAGCTGAGTGGGTGCTCTGTGTTCTGGCATTCTTGTTTCATCATGCGTTTGGGGAGGGCATGCACGGGGGGGTCAATATTGAGGATTCCAGGACATTTCTTTCTATTTCAGGAACTCTCCTGAAGTCAACCTACAGCTGATGTTTGGTTAGGACATGGAGGTGAATAGGGAACGAGAGAATGAAGGTGGCATGATTCAGGTGGGAGAGGGAGAAGGGGGACAATTTAATGCTGGATTATATGTGGGGTATGAGAGAAACTGAAGCATTTGGGCTGAGCCCAGTGCTATCAGAATGGGAATACTGGAGGGAGTAGATTGGGGTTGAAGTTCTCTGAGCTCTGTGTCTGACATGTTAAATTGACACAGCTGACAGACATCCAGGTAGGCTGTTGGGTCTATGAGTCTGGAGTTCAAGGGAGAGTCCAAGGGTGGAAGCTCCATTTCCAAAGCCTTCAGCATACTGATGGCACTTACAGCCATAGGACCTATTGAGATCACTCAAGAAGAGGGTGTAGGGATCAGCGGTATCCAAGGGAGAGAATACAGTCATGGGTTCTTAGTTTATGTTTCTGGGTGGGCCAGTAAAGCCCCTTCCTCATCCCTTTTTTCTGCTTATCACTGGAGACAGAAACTAAAAAGCAGTTGTTAGCAGCCATGGTTTCAGGCTGCTAAAAGCCTAGAGCAAAACAAAACAACAACAACAAAATAAGGCAGGTTGGACAAGCTTGGTAGGCAGAGGAGAGGGCCAAGAACTGAGCCATTGTTCAGTTTAGGAAGAGAAGAAGGATCCAGCTAAGGGGGCAAAGGAGCAGCCAGTGAGGTGGGCAAATCAGGAGAACATGATGTCTGGGTAGCCAAGCAAAGAAAGGGTTTCACACAACCTCGGCAAGTCCACTGAGAGTAGAGGAAGATGTGCATAGAGAGTGGGTTATTGCATTTCCCATTGTGGAGGTCAAGAGTGACCTCAACAAAGGCCTATTCATTGGGTGAACAAAAGCCTAACTCAAATAAGTTGAATAGAATGGGAGGGAGGAGGTGCAGACAATGAGCTCACTGGGATCTTGTTGGAAAGGGGCTAGAAAGGGGCTGGAGGAATCTATCTGTAGCTGGAAGGAAATGTGAAGTCAAGGAATGTTTTTTTGTCTTTATCATTGAAAATATTTTAGTATGTTCATATGTTGATGAGAATGATCTCCTAGAGAGGGGAAAACCTACAGCGGGCACAGGAATGGGAGGAGGAATTGCTAGAACAAAGTTTAGCTGTGATAAAAGAGACAGGGGAGGCCAGGCGCGGTGGCTCATGCCTGTAGTCTCAGCACTTTGGGAAGCCGAGGCGGGCAGATCATGAGGTCAGGAGATCAAGATCATCCTGGCCAACATGGTGAAACCCCATCTCTACTAAAAACACAAAAATTAAGCTGAGTGTGGTGGTGCGTGCTTGTAATCCAAGCTACTCGGGAGGCTGAGGCACGAGAATCACTTGAACCCAGGAGGCAGAGGTTGCAGTGAGCCGAGATTGTGCCACTGTACTCCAGCCTGGCGACAGAGCGACACTCCATCTAAAAAAAAAAAAAAAGATCGAGACCATCCTGGCTCACACGGTGAAACCCCATCTCTCTACTAAAAAAAAAAAAAAATACAAAAAATTAGCTGGGTGTGGTGGCGGGCGCCTATAGTCCCAGCTACTCAGGAGGCTGAGGCAAGAGAATGGCATGAGTCCGGGAGGCGGAGCTTGCAGTGAGCCCAGATCACGCCACTGCACTCCAGCCTGGGTGACAGAGCGAGACTCCGTCTCAAAAAAAAAAAAAAAAAATGCAAGTGTGCAAAGTGGGTGCTGCCCTTTCTCAGAAGCACACACAGGACAAGCACAGGGCTGGAAAACAGTCCGGTCAATGGGTTCAAATGCATGGGGATCTGAGGAGCTGGTGATTGCAGCATGGGGAGGTGATCTTCTGAGTGCTTTGGTTTTCTCTGTGTATTAATATTCAAGATTCTTTTCTGAGAATGGGGAGAGAGAGAGGCATTGGGATTTTGAGAAGAGAGGAGAAGGTGTAAAATAGTTATTTAGGACAGAGCGAGAGTGAATAGAGCAGGGAAATGTAGTTTGGGGAGCCCGCTGGAGATGTGTGGTCATACATGTAAAGCAAGGCTAGTCAGATTGGTTACGTGTGTTTCTATGGCCATGCTGGGGGCACCCTGGAAGTAAGTGAGGCCTTTTTGGTTGCTGCAGTGATGGGTGGGGTCAGGCGGGTACTGCTGCCATTCATTGGCCAGGAAAGGTCAGGATGCTAAATGTCCTACAAGACACAGGCCCTTTATTAGCTGTAAAGCCTGCTTACATTTAAATATAAATTTTTTCTAGTTTTAACTGAATTTTTCTAGGTATACACCAAATTTTCTAGGAAAACAACTTTCTTTTACATTGAGGGTAAATTGTACTTTGGAATTTTACCAAGTTGTTCACTATTTTAGAAAATCAAGTCATTCTCTCATATTTCAGTTACCAAAGTAACATAGTGTTAGTCTGCATTAGTACCAGTGGTAGTCACAGTGATTCTACTTGTGTATAGACAAATGTGCTTATGTAGCTCTTATTTCAAAGTATTTGAAGTAAAGAAAAATGAATATTTTCCCTTAGAAATTTATATAATCTCCTGATGACTTGATTGTGTATTCTAGTATAGTTGTGCTACAGGATTTGCATACTGAAAATTTACCATTCTACTTTATACTTAAGGCAGTATGTTGATTTTTTTTTTTTTTTGACAGAGTCTCACTCTGTTGCCCAGGCTGGAGTACAGTGATGCAATCTCCGTTCACTGCAACCTCTGCCTCCCGGGTTCAAGTGATTCTCCTGCCTCAGCCTCCCAAGTAGCTGGGATTACAGACGACCACCACCATGCCTAGCTAATTTTTTGTATTTTTAGTAGAGACGGGGTTTCACTATGTTGGCCAGGCTGGTCTTGAACTCCTGACCTCATGATCCACCCACCTTGACCTATGTTGGTCAGGCTGGTCTTGAACTCCTGATCTCGTGATCCACCTGCCTTAGCCTCCCAAAGTGCTGGGATTACAGGTGTGAGCCACCGCGCCTGGAGGCAGTATGTTGATTTTTTAAAAATTGTTTTGCATGTAATTATGATATCTATAGACTTCATTTCAGATTAGGATGGAGGGCATACATCCTTGTTACCTAGGGGGCAGTGGGTCTGTTAAGAGTAGGGAGCCACGGTGCAAAAGGAAAACCAGGAAGAGATTATTGTCATAACTGAGCTGAAGTGGAAGAGTGGTCTGGGAGCTTGCTGGCACAGAGATAATTCAAGTATGTGATTCAGAGCAAAAGAGAGTACCACGAAAGGGAGGAACCCCCGGAAAAAGATGGGCAAGACAACTGGGATGCACAGTTGGAATGGCCAAGGAAGCCATGATAATAGAGAGAAGTGACGCTGTCCCCCTAGAACCTCGTAGGGTTGTTAAAGGCTTGCATGTATTTATTTATTTATTTATTTATTTATTTATTTATTTATTTAATTTCAATAGGTTTTTGGGGAACAGGTGGTGTTTGGTTACATGAATAAATTCTTTAGTGGTGATTTCTGAGATTTTGGTTCACCCATCACCCGAGCAGTTTACACTGTACCCAATGTATAGTCTTTCAGCCCTCACCTGCCTCCTGCCCCTGAATCCTCAAAGTCCATTGTATTATTCTTTGGGTCCTCATACCTTAGCTCCCACTTATGAGTGAGAACATACAATGTTTGATTTTCCATTCCTGAGTTACTTCACTTGTCTCAAAAAATATATACATATCCCAGCACTTTGGGAGGCCGAGGTGGGTGGATCACAAGGTCAGGAGATCGAGACCATCCTGGCTAACACGGTGAAACCCCATCTCTGCTAAAAATACAAAAAATTAGCCGGGCATGGTGGCAGGCGCCTGTAGTCCCAGCTACTCAGGAGGCTGAGGCAGGAGAATGGCTTGAACCTGGGAGGCGGAGCTTGCAGTGAGCCAAGATCTCACCACTGCACTCCAGCCTGGGCTACAGAGCAAGACTCCATCTAAAAAAAGAAAAAAAAATATATATATATATATATATATATATATATATATATATATATATATATGTATGTATACATATATACACACACACACACACGTGGGTATACATATATATGTGTATATATATATATAGAGAGAGAGAGAGAGTTTTAAAATATATTCTGGATATTAGTCCTTCATCGATATATGATTTGCAAAATTTTTCTACCATTCTGTGGGATTTCTTTTCAGTTTCTCTCCTTTGAAGCACAAGATATCTTAATTTTGTGTGTGTGTTTTGAGAAGGAGTCTTGCTCTGTCACTCAGGCTGGAGTGCACTGGTGCAGTTTTGGCTCACTGCAGCCTCCACCTCCCAGGTTTAAGTAGTTCTCCTGCCTCAGCCTCCCGAGTAGCTGGGATTACAGGCACCCACCACCACAGCCAGCTAATTTTATTTTTAGTAGAGACTAGGTTTCACCATGTCAGCCAGGCTGGTCTTGAACTCCTGACCTCAAGTGATCCACTCACCTTGGCCACCCAAAGTGCTGGAATTACAGGTGTGAGCCACTGTGCCCAGCTAATCTTTTAATTTTGATGATCCCCAGTTTACCTAATTTTGGATGAGATTAGGCACATTCAGGGTGGTATGGCCGTAGACAGTTTACCTAATTTTGTTGTTGTTATTGCTTGCGCATTCAATATCATATCTAGGAAACTCTTACCTAACCCAAGGTCATGAATATTTACACCTATATTTTCTTCTGAGAGTTTTATAGCTTTAGCTCTTACTTTTAGGATTGTGATCCATTTTAAGTTAGTTTTTGTATACTGTATGAGGCAGGAATCCAACTTTATTCTTTTGCATGTGTCTCAGCCTCCCAAGTAGCTGGGATTACAGGCACTTGCCACCATGCCTGGCTAATTTTTTGTATTTTTAATAGAGACGGGTTTACACTATGTTGGCCAGGCTGGTCTCGAACTCCTGACCTCATGATCTGCCCGCCTCGGCCTCCCAAAGTGCTGGGATTACAGGCGTGAGCCACCGCACCTTGCCTAGGCTCAAAACTCTTATAATTCAATATGAAAAGTCAAATAACTCAATTTTAAAATGGGCAAAAGATTGCAAAAGACATTATCCTAAAAAAAGATATTCATATGGCCACTAAGCACATGAAAAGATGCTCAACATCATTATTCAGTGAGGAAATGCAAATCAAAACTATAATGAAATGCCACTTTCCACCCACCAGGACAGCTATACTCAAAAAGATGGACAGTAACAAGTACTAACACAGATGTGGAGAAATTTAAACCCTGATACAATGTTGGTGGGAATGTAAAATGGGGCATCGGCTTTGGGAAACAAAACTCTTCAAAGTTACACAGAATTACCATATGACCCAACAATTCCACTTCTAGGCATATACCCAAAAGAATTAAAAACATGTATTCACATAAAAATTTTTTTTTTTTTTTTGAGACAGAGTCTCACTCTGTCGCCCAGGCTGGACTGCAGTGGCGTGATCTCGGCTCACTGCAACCTCCACCTCCCGGGTTCAAGTGATTCTCCTGCCTCAGCCTCCTGATTAGCTGGGACTACAGGCACCGGCCACCACGCCCAGCTAATTTTTGTATTTTTAGTAAAACGGGCTTTCACTGTGTTGGCCAGGCTGGTCTTGAACTCCAGACCTCAGGTGATCCACCTGCCTCAGCCTCCCAAAGTGCTGGGATTACAGGTGTGAGCCACCATGCCTGGCCTCACACAAAAACTTTTATGTGAATGTTCATAGCAGCATTACTCATAATAGCCAAAAAGTGTAAATAACCCAACTGCCCATCAACTGACGAATGGATAAACAAAACATGGTCTATCCAGACAACGGAATGTCATTTGGCTATAAAAAGAAATGAAGTACTGAAACATGCTGCAACATGAGTGAACCTCAAAACATTATTTTAAATCAAAGAAGCCAGATACAAAAAGCCACATATGTATCATTCCATTTTACACAGGATAGGCAAATCCACAGAGACAGAAAGTAGAGTAATGGCTGCCAGCGGGGAATAATGGCTGTCTTGGGGAAAGGATACATGGGGAGGTGAGACTGCCAACAGGCACAGGATCTCTCTGGAATTAGAGAGTGGTAATAGTTGCACAACATTGAGAATACACTATAAACTACTGAATTGTACTCTTAAAACAGTGTATTTTATGCCATGAGAATTTTATCTCCATAAAGCTGTTATTTTAAAATAAAGCAATACAGACATACCAAAAAAAGTGAAAAACTAGAGAAACTAAATGGCCATCATTTCACTATGTTAGTCAGGGTCCAGGGAGGAAAAACGAAGATACACTAGGTGTATTTGTCCTTTCTTGCATTGCTATAAAGAAATATCTGAGACTGGATAATTTATAAAGAAAAGAGGTTTAATTGGCTCTTGGGTCTGCAGGCTGTACAGGAAGCACGGCGGCATCTGCTTCTGGGGAGGCCTCAGGAAGCTTCTAATCATGGTGGAAGGCAGAGATGGAGTGAGTGTCTTACATGGCAGGAGCAGGAGTCAGAGAAATAGAGAGGGGAGGGCTACACACTTTGAAACAACCAGATCTCACAAGAACTCACTATCAAGAGAACAGCATCCAAAGGAATGTTGCTAAACCACCCTTATGATTTAATCACCTTCCACCAGGCCCCACCTCCAAAATTGGGGATAAACTCCAAGATTAGTAACTGCAGAAAGCACCTATCATCCTTAGGGCTAGGTAGAACAAAAGGGAAGGGATGGTGTTCCAAGAATCTGGAATGACCTGGAAGTTTGCTTACTGTAGGGTGGGCTCTAAGGAGTATTAGGACAGCCAAGGTGGGGCACTAGGCTGGTCCCGCAACCATGGAGAGGCGCTGCTGGGCATGAGAAAGGATGCTTGGGGCCCTCTCTGTGCTGCTGCTGCTGGAGGGAGGGGTGCCCACAAAATTCAGAAACAGGAAGTGCCTCGCCTCCCCGCCTCCACTCCTCTCACCCTGCTTCCCAGAATCAGAACCTCGCAGGAGGCCAGCGAGGAGGGAAGTGGCAATAATTAGTTTGTGGGTCTCAGTCCCCTAGTAAATTTCTGCTGGTTGGAAATAGGGAAGGAGAACAAATGGGTCCATGACTGTCCACCACAAATCTGACACAAGTGAGGTAATGTTTTGTATACTGATTTCATTTGAAGGAGACACTGTTTTAGGTGTTGTAGTAATACTATATCGTATCTCCTACTTATACCTGCTTTTTTCTACTTGACGTTATATAATGACATGGAAAATGCTTACGATAGTCTGGACTATTTTTAAAAGATCAAATAGAATTTCAGTGAAACATCGAAGTAGTATTAAACATAATGTGGTCTAAAGACCACCAATACCTGAATCACCTGAAATAGTTATCCAAGAGGCAGGTTGCTGGGCTGTACCCCAGCAACCTGCAGAATCAGAAACTCTGGGAAAAGGACTTGGAATCTACATTTTTAACACTCCTTAAGTAATTTTTACATGCACCAAGGTTGGTGAACCACTCCTTATGAAAGCTACAAAAGCCTACATAGTGAACTGCTCTTAAAATCAAAAGCTGTACTGTATTTTCATTTTGTTTCTTTTCCTAGAAAATTGTTGCTGAATTCTTTCTTTTATTTATTTATTTATTTTTTTCATTTTGAGACAGAGTCTCATTCTGTTGCCCAAGCTGGAGTGCAGTGGCGTGATCTTGGCTCACTGCAATCTCCACCTCCCGGGTTCAAGTGATTCTCCTGCCTCAGACTCCCGAGTAGCTGGGACTACAGGCACTCGCCACCACACCCGGCTAACTTTTGTATTTTTAGTAGAGACGGGGTTGCACTATGTTGGCCAGGCTGGTCTTGAACTCCTAACCCCATGATCCACCCACCTCGGCCTCCCAAGGTGCTGGGATTATAGATGTGAGCCGCCGCACCCAGCCAGTGCTGCTGAATTTCAATAGCCAATTAACTTTCTGTGAAAACAGGCTGGGTGTGGTGGCTCACGCCTGTAATCCCAGCACTTTGGGAGGCTGAGGCAGGCATATCACTTGAGGCCAGGAGTTTGAGACCAGCCTGGCCAACATAGTGAAGCCCATCTCTACAAAAAATTAGCTGGGCGTGGTGGTGCATGCCTGTAATCCCAGCTACTAAAGAGGCTGAGGCAGGAGAATCACTTGAACCCAGGAGGGGGAGGTTGCAGTGAGGTGAGATCGTGCCACTGCACTCTAGCCTGGGTGACAGAGCAAGTCTCTGTCTCAAAAAAATAAAAAAATAAAAACTTTTTCTAGGAAAATAGCTCTGCCCATAATCATGGGTTACCAAACCTTCCCATAGACATTTATTTCAGTGTTTGCCTCACTGGGTTCAACACTCCTAAAAGTTCTACAACCTTCCAGATGTTTTTATTGTAGACACTATTTTAGCATCTAGTTGTACCTTCAGCCATCTCTTAATCATCTTAATTTTCAGCTAGTCTGAAAACGGATAGAAGCCAGCAGCCAAGAACTCAGCTAAATAACACACCAGCACACACTCTTTCCAATTCCTTTTTTTTAATACAAGTAAATCAGGGATGAGAGACAATTCGACAAAAGGAAGGGGAAAGGAGTTTCCTTTTCACTGAGAAGTTTTTCACTGAGAAATTACACACAAGTAAATCTTGGGAAGATGGTTGTCTAAAGATCAAACATAAATCGCATTTGAAAAATGGAATTCCAGTGTATTTGGCAGTAGCCATGGAATCCCACATTTAATGATAGCTCATTGAAATTGCTCTTTTAGCCACTGCCACTCAGCTGAATCTTTACATACAGGCCTTTTATCTTAGAAGGAAATGAAATTTTGACATCGCTTGTTGTGTTATTCTATTTGCCTGTTCCCCTTAAGGAGGAGAAGGAACTGTGAGCTAATAACATCATTTCTATGTCCAAGATCCCATAAGGGCAAAGACTTACAGTCATCAAACTTCAACACCAGCTGCAGCAGCTTTTCCAGCAATTTGCACAAGGTCATTAATACCAGGTATTTTGCTTAGAAAATTGCTCTTGTAAAGGAAGGGTAACGTCTTACGCAGTTGTGCATAGAAGGAGTCCTATGTAAGTCTAGGCGTGAGTCACATGACTATGAGTGCTTGAGCTAAGTTGAAACATATTTCTAGTACTTGTTAAGAAATCCATACATTGTATATAACTTTAGAATTTGTCTTCCTCTCTGTTTTATTAAACCCATTTATCTTTTGTGAGAGATCATAAACACCTAATCCAGAAGGGACTGGGGAACAAGCAGGCACTGTATGGAGGGCAGACAGGCCAAACCCAGGTCTTCCGTCTCTGCAGGGAGCAAATGTGTGCAAACATATCAAGAAAAGTTGACATTGTTACAGACACTGCCAGAGGTAAGGAGAAAAAAATCAACATCTGGTAAAAGCCATCCCAAAGCTTTGCACACACACCAAAAAAAAGGTTGATTGGTGGAAATTAGCTACAAATAATAAAGTGGGCTCCAATTAACAGGAAATCACTATGGCTAAGGGAAAGCTGAATTGAGGCTATATTTACTGATAAGTATTTGTGTGGTTTGCAGTTGTCTCCATGCATGATTATTGCTGACCATCTCAGGGCAGAAATGACTTCCAAGAATACCACTACCAGCCACTCATTCAGTGATGTGACATGAAGTTTCAGGGCCAGAGAATATAATGGGATATGAATATAATCTTTGGAGCTCTGTTTCGATGAAGTATTTGGGTAGTTCTAGAAGAATATTCTAAATATTCACATTCATGCCTAGTTTTTCAGTCCCAATTTTGTATTCTTAAAGAGGGCATTTGTCTTAGTCTGTTAGCGTTGCTGCAAATGAATACCTGAGGCTGAGTAATTTGTAAAGGAAAGAGGTTTACTTGGCTCACAGTTCTGCAGGCTGTACAAGAAGCATGGCACCAGCATTTGCTTCTGGTGAAGCCTCAGGCTGCTTCCACTCATCGTGGAAGGTGAAGGGGAGCTAGTGTGTGCAGAGATCACGTGGCAAAAGCACAGAAGAAAGAGAGAGAGGACGGAGGTGCTAGGCTTTTTTTAACAATCAGCTGTCTTGCAAACTAATGGATGGAGAACTCACTCATTCCCACGGGAACTGCATTAAGCCATTCATGAAGAATCTGCCCTATTACCCAAACATCTCCCATTAGGCCCCATCTTCAACACTGAGGATCAAAATTCAACATGAGGTTTGGGGGTCAAACAACTGAACTACAGCAGCATTCAGGATTCAAAGTGCTTGAAGTCTATTTGCTCCTAAATAAAAGTTTATCAGAAGTATCTCATTTCTATCTCTGTCTTCACCACTTCATCAGCTCCCTCCTCAAATAGTTAACCATTTCCAAAAATTCCTGGTTTCCTTTTCCTATTATCCTTTTTATAAAATTAAGCAAATATGAATATACACATAAATGTTTTTTTTTTTTTTTTTTTTTTTTGAGACTGGGTCTCGCTCTGTCTCCCAGGCCCAAGTGCAGTGGTGCAGTATCGACTCATTGCAACCTCTACCTCCTGGGTTCAAATGATTCTCCTGCCTCAGCCTCCCCAGTAGCTGGGATTACAGGCATGTGCCACCACGCCAGGCTAATTTTTTATATTTTTAGTAGAGACAGGGTTTCACCATGTTGGTCAGGCTGGTCTTGAACTCCTGACCTCATGTGATCCAGCTTCCTTGGCCTCCCAAAGTGTTGGGATTACAGGCATGAGCCACTGCGCCCGGCTGACATAAATGTATTTTATTTCACCTTTTATTTTACACAAAAGGCAGCGTGCTTATATACATTATTTCTATACAAAAAAACTAAGTAGTAGAATCATTGTTTTAATTTGATTTCTTTTAGACTTTTAGTAATCAAAGTTTTTTTCCATTTTTAGGTTATAAAGAAATTATGCCATGTGTTCTCCTAGTACTTTTAGTTTTTACTTTTTATTCTGATATACACTGTGAAGTATGTATCCAATTTTATCTATTTCCAAATGGTTATCCAGTTGTCCGAACACCATTTATTTAAAGTCCATCCCAGCAGATTGAGATACCGTCTCGTCTAAGCATACACTAATGTTTATATGTACTGGGCTCTATTTCTGGGCTTGTTCTGAACTTGCTGTGCTGCTCTCTTGATCTCTTTGTCTATTTATGTACTAACACCACATTGTTTTAAGGTTTAGTAGGGCTAGCTCTCCCTTCTGCCTTGTGCTATTCTTGATAAAAATTTTGGAGTCAAGCTGCCTAGCCTCAAAAAATAATTTGTTGGATTTTTGACATCGTGTTAAATTTTACATATTGACTTGGAGAAAATTGATATCTCTATGATGTTGAGTCATACTATCCAAAAATAAAGGATGTTTGTCCATTTGTTCTAGTCTACTTTTGTATCTTCAGAAAAGTTTTTAAATTTAACTAATGCAGGTTTTGCCTACTTCTTTGTTTCCAAGAGCTTTTTCTTTTCTGTTGTTATTGTAATTGGAGTCCATTTTGTCTTGTAGTTTGTTATTGTAAACACGGATGAAGACTATTTTTGTGTTAATTTTATATCCTGCTCCTATACTGAATTATCATATTGTTAGTATGAATTTAAGACTCGGTTCCGCTGAGTTTTCCAGGATGCTATATCATCCACAAATAGAAATAGTTTATTTTTTCTAATTCGTATATCTCTGATCTTTTCTCATAAGCTGTAATTATTTTCTCCACAGCCAAGAAGGATGGAAAGATGAAAGAAGTCCCTGAGGGAGGTGAGAGGATCTGGAGCACAGGTGGAAAGAATAACAAAAGAATAATTTTGACAAAAGCAAGAGGGATGGGGCTGGGCGTGGTGGCTCACGCCTGTAATCCCAGCACTTTGGGAGGCTGAGGCTGGCAGATCACGAGGTCAGGAAATCAAGACCATCCTGGCTAACACAGTGAAACCCTGCCTCTACTAAAAATACAAAAAATTAGCCGGGCGTGGTGGCAGGCGCCTGTAGTCCCAGCTACTCGGGAGGCTGAGGCAGGAGAATCATTTGAACCCGGGAGGCGGAGCTTGCAGTGAGCCGAGACTGCGCCACTGCACTCCAGCCTGGGTGACAGAGCGAGACTCTGTCTCGGAAAAAAAAAAAAAAAAAAAAAAAAAGAAAGCCAATCACTGGGATGACAAGTATTCCCAAGGAAGAAGCCTTTAATTGGGTGCTGCAGCCGAGGAGACAAGGAGACGAGACAGGAGATCAGTCTCAAATCCATCTCCCCGACTGACTAAAACTAGGGGTTTATATAGCAGGGAAGAAATGTAACATGGTGTAAGAAAACAAGAAGAGGGAAGGGCAAGGATGCATCTGGTGAGGTCATCTGTTGAGTTTCAGTTCTTTGATACTTTTTCTGAGAGGCCTGAAGGTCCTTTCCTAAGGAAGAAACTCAGATTAAACAGATACAAGTTTCAAGCTTTAACAGCAGAAGGGTCAATGTCTATGTTTATCCAAAAACAACTGTCTGTGGGACTATTGGGCCAGATTTCATAACTACTGTCTTTCCCAATAATCTATATTATTGTTAAAACAAAACTTTAAGAATGCTTTTGTTCTTGGCTGGGCGTGGTAGCTCACACCTGTAATCCCAGCACTCTGGCTCACGCCTGTAATCCCAGCACTTTGGGATGAGGAGCTCAGGAGTTCGAGACCAGCCTGACCAAAATGGCGAAACCCTGTCTCTACTAAAAATACAAAACTTAGCCCGGCGTGGTGGTGCATGCCTGTAATCCCACGTACTTGGGAGGCTGAGGCAGGAGAATCACTTGAACCCAGGAGGGGGAGGCTGCAGTGAGCTGAGATCTTGCCATTGCACTCCAGGGTGGGGAACAAAGAGAGACTCTCAAAAAAACAAAACAAGGCCAGGTGCGGTGGCTCACACCTTTAATCCCAGCACTTTGGGAGGCCAAGGCAGGTGGATCACCTGAGGTCAGGAGTTCGAGACCAGCCTGGCTAACACAGTGAAACCCCGTCTCTACTACAAATACAAAAAAAAAAAATTAGCCAGGCGTGGTGGCGCGCACCTGTAATCCCAGCTATTCGGAAGCTGAGGCAGGAGAATCGCTTGAACCCAGGAGGTGGAAATTGCAGTGAGCCGAGATCACGCCATTGCACTCCAGCTTGGGCAACAAGAGTGAAACTCCATCTCAAAAAAAAGAAAGAAAAAAGAAAGCTTTCAGGACACCAGGCCATTTCCTGGGTCTGTTGTCTTAGGTCTGTTTGGTAAATATTCTGTGACTAAGCATGCGTAACCTTCTGGGAATACAACCCAGTAGGTCTCAGCCTCCTTTTCCCCATCCCCTATTCAGGATGGATTGGCTTTGGTTAGAATGCCTCTGACCGGATCATGTGGGGAAGAGCAACTGTAGAATAGCTGAGTCCTGGAAAACAGGCCTCAGGGAACAGCAAAGGCTGGGGATGAGGAAAGGACAAAACACCACCTGCTCTGTTGCTGTGCAGGACTGAGCAAGAAGCACAGGATCAAACTCAAAGTTAGTTCCAGTCCTGATTTTGGTGGTAAGACCCAAGGAAAATTCATTAACAAACATTGTGCTGCCAGATACATTAATAAATCCCTAAAAGGGCCTGTAATTCAGTTGAAATGAGTGAGAAAAATCTTAAGGATCCTTATAAATTAAATAAAAACTCCTTGCTCTCAAGCAATCATTTGATTCACTCTATATCAACGACTGTGCACTTTAGCATCACCTGAGGATCTTTAAGAAAGTATCTGTGCTAGGCCTCATTTCCAAGGATTTAATTTGTCTGGGGATGGAGCCCCAGGACATTCCTAGTTTTTGAGGGCTTCCAGGTGATTCTAATGCATAGCCACGGTTGGAAGCCCTGCGCCTATCTCACAGGTGTGTGGGTCTCTACTCTCTGTGTCCGCTTAGTTGCCAGGAGGCAGCAAGTTAGCCCACGTGTGCAAGATGCTTCCTTCCATACCAGGTAGGAATATTGCTCTCTTAAACTTGGAGTGTGCCTGGGCAGAAGCTCTGGAGCCCAATACCTGCATTTTACAAGTCAGATTGCTGCTTTTTGCTCAGTGCCTGTGTGCCTGCATACATGGGTCTCCTGATACTCAGGCACGGCAGATGACTTTCACCTTTGTTTTAGTGTTTTGCTCACTGCTGCATCTGCAGAGCCTAGAATGGTGCCTGGTACACAGCAGGCTCTCAATGTCTTATTAATGAGTTGCCTTTTCCAAGGCTGAAGTGATCGTGGGTGAATTCCAGAAGACCCTGCATCATTTTTATTTATTTATTTATTTAAGACGGAGTCTCGCTCTGTAACCCAGGCTGGAGTGCAGTGGAGAGATCTCAGCTCACTGCAAGCTCCGCCTCCCCCGTTCAAGCAATTCTTCTGCCTCAGCCTCCAGAGTAGCTGGGATTACAGGCAACCACCACTACGCCCGGCTAATTTTTTTGTATTTTTAGTAGAGACGGGGTTTCACCATGTTGGCCAGGCTGATCTCGAACTCCTGACCTCAAGTGATCCGCCCGCCTCGGCCTGGGATCACAGGCGTGTGCCACCGCGCCCGGCCTAGAGGCAATTTTCTATTTCTGACTTGTTAGGCTAGTCAGAGCGAGACGTCTTTACAGGTTTGGGCCGGCAGCTGGAAAAGGCACACGGCCCCGGGCTCCTCCTCCACCCAGCCCCACCCCTCCTCCGCTGAAGACCAGCCCTAATAAGGCAGCCACCAGAATTAGAACCAGGTCAAGTGCACTCCGAGCAGGACAGTAGGCAGATCCTATCTGGCGCATGCGAACGCTTCTGTGCCAGTTCCTTGAAGAGCAGGCGCAGACTCAAGGCTGTTGCTTCCGCCCTTACTCCCCGCCGCTCGTCCCTGGGCGGGGCGAAGGCTGGGCTGGGGGAAGAGGCGTGGCGGCGCTGTGCGCGTGCACAAAAGAGAGCTGAGGGGCGGGGGCGCTGCGGCACAGCTGGTTTGAGCAACTGAACTGGAAACAAGATGCAGGTGAGCTAGGACGGGTCTCGGGTCTGGGGGCTGCGGCCCGTTCCTTTGTCTCGTTAGGCCCGGGCGGGCAGTGGACGCCCGCCCTGGGGGAAGCTCCGGCGCCGCAGGCACGAGGGAGGCCCGGCGCGTCCAGGCCCTGCGCAGGCGCAGTGCGGGAGGCGGGCGTGGTCCCACCAGGACCCACGGCCTGGGCGTCCCCGCCTCGGTGTGCCGGGTCCCCCAAACCTCGTCCTCCGGGACTATGTCTTCTCGCGGTCTCTACCCACCCGGGCCTGTGAAGGTCTTGCCGGATCCCGCCTAACAAAAGTTACCTCCTCTCCTGAACTCCCCTAAGGCACACCTGGGCAGAGGTGTTAGGAAGCGGAGGGTCCGGCCTGGGGTCTTCCGCACGTAAAGCAGCGCCACAGCCGGTGTTCCTGGCTCCACTGAGAGCCAGGTGAGGGCTTAGTTACACCCTCTTCCCCCGAGCCCTGGGATCCGCTTGGGGCGTGTTCCCTATCTGACCGCTCGGGTTCCAGAGCTCCCCGCGAGGGTCCCTCTGTTTCGTCCTTTTTTTTTTTTTTATTAAAATAGGTAAAATAAATTATTTTTCTGTAGCTGCAATTTACTAGCGGAATTTGGTTAAAGCCTAAGGAGAATGAATGAAAACACCATGGAAATGGGCACTATTGTGGGTGAAAACCTATGCCAACTAAATTTTGTCACTGTCCAAAGATCCCGCAGTGGTCAGAAATTCTAATCTCTGCTTAGTGGCAGATGGAGAGGAGAGGGTGCGGGTTTTGCTGGGGAGGGAGGCATTAGGGGCTGGAGGGGAGGGCGTGTCTGCCAGGAGCCAGACACTGTTTTTTTTTTTTTTGAGACCGGGTCTTGCTCTGTTGCCCAGGCTGGAGTGCAGTGGCTCTGTCACAGCTCACTGCAACCTCGACCTCCCGGGGCTAAGCCATCCTCCCTTGTCAGCCTCCGGAGTAGCTGGGACCACAGGCGTGCACCCACCACTCTGGGCTAATTTTTTGTGCAGATGGGGTCTCCCTATGTTGCCCAGCCTCAGCCTCCCAAAGTGTTGGGATTACAGGATGAGCCACCGCACCTGGCCTAGACACTCTTAAATGGTGAAGTGGTAGCTTGAGGGCTGCCCTGGCCTCCTTTGCATTCCCTGTCCTTCAGGTCCCTTGAGGCCTTCCCTGACCACCCTGTAGAAAGGATTCTGCTCTTTTTGTTTGTTTGTTTGTTTGTTTCTTTTTGAGACAGAGTCTTGCTCTGTCGCCCAGGCTGGAGTGCAGTGGCGCGACCTCGGCTCACTGCAAGCTCCGCCTCTCCAGTTCACGCCATTCTCCTGCCTCAGCCTCCTGAGTAGCTGGGACTACAGGCGCCCGTCACCACTCCCGGGTAATTTTTTGTATTTTTAGTAGAGACAAGGTTTCACCATGTTAGCCAGAATTGTCTCGATCTCCTGACCTGGTGATCTGCCCGCCTAGGCCTTCCAAAGTGCTGGGATTATCGGCATGAGCCACCGCGCCCGGCCTCATTTTTCTTTTGATGTATCTCAGAACTGTTACACAGGGTTGGGGTTGGAGACCGATTATCCCGGTGCCCTTTTCACAGTGCTCCTGATTTCATATTCCAAAGCAAGCCTGAGCTCCATTAGCAGTGTTCTTGCCACACCATGCAAACCGGTGCTTGGGCAGCTGGGTTCTAGATCTAAGAGCCACTTTTACATCAGTCTTTGTGACAATGATCCTTTGTGATTTTGATGCTGGCTGATTTGGCCAGCCGTTCTAGCATGGCAGTGCCTCTAAATGCCGTGCCTCTCCTAGGCTTGTGAGGATTCAGGGACAAGGTACAAGAAAAAGGGCTTAGAGTGCCCTGTATTTTATGAGCTACTCTGAGACGTCTCAGCTTTTCCTCTCAGGTTTGGCCATTAGAGAATTCTGTCAGCCAAGCCTCATCTGCAGCCTGAGATCCTCAAAATGTCACAGTCTCTTTGCTCTTGGGCAGTATGCATGCCGCAGGCCGCTCTGCCTGGAAGATTATTTTCTTGATTACGGGCGTGCACCTGGCTAATTTTTGTGTTTTTAGTGGAGATGGGGTTTCACTATACTGGCCAGTCTGGTCTTTTAACTCCTGACCTCAGATGCTCCACCTGCCTTGGCCTCCCAAAGAGCTGGAATTACAGGCGTGAGCCACTCCACCCAGCCTGGAAGATTTTTTTTTTTTTTTTTGAGACAGAGTCTAGCTCTGTCGCCCAGGCTGGAGTGCAGCGGCTCGATCTCGGCTCACTGCAAGCTCCACCTCCCGGGTTCCTGCCACTCTCCTGCCTCAGCCTCCCGAGTAGCTGGGACTACAGGCGCCCGCCACCACGCCCGGCTAATTTTTTGTGTTTTTAGTAAAGACGGGGTTTCATCATGTTAGCCAGGATGCTCTCGATCTCCTGACCTTGTGATCCACCCACCTCTGCCTCCCAAAGTGCTGGGATTACAGGCGTGAGCCACCGTGCCCAGCCTGGAAGATTATTTGTAAGCCCCCAGACTCCTATCACAGATTGCTTTCCACCCTCAGACGGAATGTCACCTCCTCTGTAGGGAACATCCCTATCTACTCTGTGGAATGTGGGTCCTGGGTAATTCTCTAAAATGGCAGCCTGTTTGTCATTGCACTTGCCACAATTTTATCTCTCTATGTATAGTTTGTATATATACTTGTTTGTTGCCTGTCTCTTCCTCTTGTCTGTAACACAGGTGACTCTCGCATTCACCACTCTTCCCCATTGCCTACAATAATTTACATGTGGTAGATACTTCAGTTTTATCTGTTGAATGAATCACTCAGTCATTATTATTATTATTATTTTGAGACTGTGTCTTGCTCTGTCGCCCAGGCTGGAGTGCAGTGGCACGATCTCGGCTCACTGCAAGCTCCGCCTCCCGGGTTTATGCCATTCTCCTGCCTCAGCCTCCCAAGTAGCTGGGACTACAGGTGCCCGCCACCACGCTCGGCTAATTTTTTGTATTTTCAGTAGAGACGGGGTTTCACCGTGTTAGTCAGGATGGTCTCTATCTCCTGACCTCGTGATCCGCCTGCCTCAGCCTCCCAAAGTGCTGGGATTACAGGCGTGAGCCACTGTGCCCGGCACTCTCAGTCATTATTAAAAATATTGAACACATGCCAAGTCAGAGCCTTGGTATCCGTATTGATACTGATCTGCACTCCCTATCCTAATTTTTACCCCAAGAATAGCTCCTCCATTCAGGGAGGGGTAGACAGGAAAAACAAAACGGGGGCTATGGATCTTTTGACACTTTCTCAGAAATAGTTCACAGACTGGTGTGCATTCCTCCCTTCCTGTCACTTTTCCCATTTGGCCCCTTGCCCAACGTGGCACCCTACATACTAGACTTAGCACTCATGGTAACCTTGGTCCCGCTCTTCTAGGACCCCAACGCAGACACTGAATGGAATGACATCTTACGCAAAAAGGGTATCTTACCCCCCAAGGAAAGTCTGAAAGAATTGGAAGAGGAGGCAGAAGAGGAGCAGCGCATCCTCCAGCAGTCAGTGGGTGAGTTCACTCGCTTTCCTCTGCACCTGTCTGGGTTAGGAGATGGCTCCCTAAGCCTCTGACTGCCCTGCCAGGAGACAGGTTGGAGTGCCAGCATGGACACTCTGTGTCTGTGGGACCTCAGACAAAACACAGGGCGTCTCTCACCTTCACCTTCCTGAGCCATAGACTTAGGGGACTTCAGATATGTCCCACAAGTCCTTGTCCATGTCACATGAGCACTGAAGAAAATACTTCTTTCTGCTTTCTGGTCTGTGATTCCCTTTGATAATGTCATGGAAATTTGTTCAAGGTTTTTAGTACTTGTATTTTCCTGAGCATATACTTTATTTTCTGTGGTTTCATTGAGGATATTAACTAAAAATTGCTTCATTTGGGGAGGCATAAGATGTTTGCAATGTGTGGGAGTCTGAGGGGGGTTTTCTCAAAGGCAGTTGTACTGTCTGAATTGGAGTCCCTTGGAGTGCTGGTAACCCCACCCACCTAGTGTTTACTGAAGCAGTCTCTGGAATGAGGCCCAGGAATCTGCATTTTAAACAAGTGCCTTAAAGGATTCTGATGCGTGTCATAGTTTGAGAAGCACTGGTCCCAGGGACTAGTACTTTTGTCCTCTGTTGACACATTAGAGCTAATTTAGAGAAGGATTTATTAGAAAGTATCCAGCGAGTGCTTACTGCATGATTATCATTGTCAGGTGCTTTTCTGGGGTTGGGGATTTAGCTATGCATAAGCCAGAGACAATTCTCTGCCCTCAGAGAACCAACATTCAAGTGGGGGAGACAGACAATAAACAATAAAGAAAATAAGGCAGTAAAAGGGACTAGAAAGGGTTGGAGGAGAAGCAGGCTCAGAGAGGGCCTCACTGAGATGACATTTGCATGGACCTGAAGGAGGTGAAGCTGGCATTTGGGTAAAGACCTGAAGGAGCTGAAGAACACATTTGAATAGACCTGAGGGAGTTGTTGAGACCTGAAGGAGGTGAAGAAGACATCTGGGTATTCCTGAAGGGGGTGACGTGAGCGAGTGAAATATGGGCCCTGGCATGGCTGGGAATCCCTGAGGAGCTGGAGGCGCTGGGGGAGAGAGTTCAGAGCAGCCTCAGCAGACCCAGAAGCTTCTAGTAAGGACCTTGGCCTTTACACCTAATGAGGCAGGAAGCTTTTGGATGTTTAAACAGAAGAGTGACATTTTCTCTTTTTTGTTTTTTTTTTGAGATGGAGTCTCGCTCTCTTACCCAGGCTGGACTGCAGTGGCGCAATCTTGGCTCACTGCAACCTCCGCCTCCCAGGTTCAAGCGATTCTCCTGCGTCAGCCTCCCGAGTAGCTGGGATTACAGACATGTGCCACCACGCCTAGGTAATTTTTTGTAGCGATGAGGTTTCACCATGTTGGCCAGGCTGGTCTCAAACTCCTGACCTCTAGTGATCCGCCCACCTCAGCCTCCCAAAGAGCTGGGATTATAGGCGTGAGCCACTGCACCCAGCCAAGGGATGCATTAACTTGGAGATCCCTATTAGACAAATAGCCACATTAAGAGGGCCCTTGGGTATGTTTTTCTCTACATTAGAGAAGTCTGGGCTGGAGGCCTATACTTTGGGAGTTGTCAGCATATTGATAGCACTGAAAGCCATGAGATTAGATGCAATCACCGAGGGAGTGGGTGTGGATAAAGAAGAAAAGTAGTCAAAGGTTTGAGCCTGGGGAATTTTAATCAGCAAAGGGTTCAACAGTAGGGCGGCTGGCTCACTCCTGTAATCCCAGCACTTTGAGATGGGCAGATCACTTGAGGTCAGAAGGTTCAAGACCAGCTTGGCCAACATGGTGAAACCCTGTCTCTATTAATGATACAAAAATTAGCTGGGTGTGGTGGCACACGCCTGTAATCCCAGCTACTCAGGAGGCTGAGGCAGGAGAATTGCTTGAATCTGGGAGGCGGAGGTTCTCAGTGAGTCAAGATCGCACCATTGCACTCCAGCCTGGATGACAAGAGTGAAACTCTGTCTCCAAAAAAAGGAAAATAAGCGGGGCAGGGTGAGGCGGAATAGGAGAAGAGAGGGGAGGAGGATCTGAGGGCTTGGGTAAAATGTTGTCAGTCAATAAATTGGGATTACAGGTGTGAGCCACCATGCCTGGCCTCTCAGCTTCTAATGTAGTGTGGTGCCTTAAGTAATTTTTGTTTAGGTAGGCTAAGGATCTGGTGTTGTGTGCATATCTTTAGGAGAAAAGAGAGGGGAAAAAAGAAAAATACATGTTCGTTCATCTTTTTAAATTTTTGCTTTTTGCCAATGTAACCAAATTCAGTGAAAACATATGAAGATATGACTTTGGAAGAGCTGGAGGATCATGAAGACGAGTTTAATGAGGAGGATGAACGTGCTATTGAAATGTACAGGTAAGCGCCACCCAGAGGGGCTGTTTGTTTTTTTGTTGTTGTTTGTTTTGTTTTGGTTTTTTTTTTGGCGTGGCAATAAAATGTGTGGGCTGAGCATGGTGACTCATACCTGTAGTCCCAACACTTTGGGAGGCTGAGGCAGGCAGATCGCTTGAGCTCAGAAGTTTGAGACCAGCCTGTGAAACCCCGTCTCTATAAATAATACAAAAACTAGCTGGGTGTGGTGGTGAACGGCTATAGTTCCAGCTACTCAGGAGCCCTGGAAGTGGAGGTTGCAGTGAGCTGAGACTGTGCCACTGCACTCCAGCCTGTGTGACAGAGCCAAACTCTGTCTCAAAAAATAAAATGAAATGTGTGTCCTTCAAAAAATTAATTTTCAGCTGAAACATCTAGGAGCGACTGCAATTAAATAATATTGTGAATTTTAGCAAACTGATCTTAGATTTTTGCCATAAGACCAATAAATAAACCTGGGCTTTTACAAGGATTGCCTTCTAGACGATGTGTGTGTACACGTGTTTGTGACGTAAGATGTTTCTCTCCTTGTTTTGTGCAGACGGCGGAGACTGGCTGAGTGGAAAGCAACTAAACTGAAGAATAAATTCGGAGAAGTTTTGGAGATCTCAGGGAAGGATTATGTTCAAGAAGTTACCAAAGCTGGCGAGGGCTTGTGGGTCATCTTGCACCTTTACAAACAAGGGTGAGCTGATCTTCCACTCCATCTATCAAATGTTAATTTGAATTTATGTCTTCAGGATCTCAGGCGTTACCTATATCAGAGGGTTAAGAAATTTTTTTTTCTGGGCCAGGCGCAGTAGCTCACACCTGTAATCCCAGCACTTTGGGAGGCTGAGGCAGGTGGATCATGAGGTCAGGAGATCAAGACCATCCTGGCTGACACGATGAAACCCCGTCTCTACTAAAAATACAAAAACAAAATTAGCTGGGCGTGGTCGCGGGCGCCTATAGTCCCAGCTACTTGGGAGGCTGAGGTGGGAGAATGGCATGAACCCGGGAGGCGGAGCTTGCAGTGAGCCGAGATTGCGCCACTGCACTCCAGCCTGGGCGACAGAGCGAGACTTTGTCTCAGAAAAAATTTTTCTGGTACTGAGTTTTTTGTGTTTTTTTTGCTGGTTTGCCCAAACCTTATTACTTAATTTTTTTATCTTAAGACTTTCAAGTTAATAATTTGTGACTAATATGAATGCCTTTGTTAAAGTATAGCAATGAAGACTATGCTTTTCTGTTTTTGAAAAGGAATTCCTAAGTTATTTATTCCTTTACAGGAACTCTGACATTTCAACATTCTATGTAATGAATTTATCTCATAGATGGCAAGGTTGGCCTTTACAGTAGTAATTGCCTGAACTGTGTGATACTGAGGGCCTCTGATTTTTCTCAGCTCTCCAGTCTTGTCTTAAACTGTAGAGTCCAGTGCTTATTTAGGAATTTCTTTTTTTTTTTTTTTTTTGTTTGAGACAAAGTCTCACTCCATTGACCAGGCTGGAGTGCAGTGGCATGATCTCGGCTCACTGCAACCTCCGTCTCCCAGGTTCAAGCGATTCTCCTGCCTCTGCTCCTGAGTAGCTGGGATTACAGGCGCCTGCCACCGCACTCAGCTGATTTTTGTATTTTTAGTAGAGACGGGGTTTCACCATCTTGGCCAGGCTGGTCTTGAACTCCTGACCTCATGATCCACTCATCTTGGCCTCCCAAAGTGCTGGGATTACAGGCGTTAGCCGCTGCACCTGGCCAGGAATTTCTTTAAAGCAGAAAACGTTTTCTGACATTTCATACTTTCTAAACCTTCAGCGTTTTCTCATTCAACCTTATAAGAAATGTATAGCAATTTTATCTTTTACATTGAAGCTGTTTTTCTGACTTGTTTTGTCAAATAAATTGGACTTTGGATTTGTGTTCTTCACTTTCCCTCAGCATATTAGGAAGTTTTTAAGAAATGTTAATTCAGCTGGGCATGGTGGCTTACACCTGTAATACCTGTAATCCCAGCACTTTGGGAAGCCATTGCGGCCGGATCTCGAGCTCAAGAGTTCAAGAGCAGCCTGGGCAACGTGGTGAAACCCTGTCTTTACAAAAAAAAAAAAAAAAAATCAGCTGGGCATGGTGGTGTGTGCCTGTAATCACACCTCCCGAGTAGCTGGGATTACAGGCGCCTGCCACTGCACCCAGCTAATTTTTGTATTTTTAGTAGAGATGGGGTTTCACCATCTTGGCCAGGCTGGTCTTGAACTCCTGACCTCATGATCTTGGCCAGGCTGGTCTTGAACTGCTGACCTCATGATCCACTCACCTTGGCCTCCCAAAGTGCTACTTGGGGGGCTGAGGTGGGAGCATTGCTTGTGAGCCGAGATCACACCACTTCACTCCATTTAGCCTGGGTGAAAACAAGACCCTATGTCAAAAAAAACATGTTAATTCATCTTAGCTAGCAGCAGAATTACTTGTGAAACTGTTACAAGGTTTTACTTAGGGTAGAAGGGTCATTGAGCTTTGTTCTGTATAAATGTAGGATCATAATTGCTTCTGTTTTCTATGTGTGTTTTATAGAATTCCCCTCTGTGCCCTGATAAATCAGCACCTCAGTGGACTTGCCAGGAAGTTTCCTGATGTCAAATTTATCAAAGCCATTTCAACAACCTGCATACCCAATTATCCTGATAGGAATCTGCCCACGATATTTGTTTACCTGGAAGGAGATATCAAGGCTCAGTTTATTGGTCCTCTGGTGTTTGGCGGCATGAACCTGACAAGAGATGGTAAGGGCTCTGGGAGACAGGCGGGGCAGTGAGAGATGGGAGGCGCATTTCTGTTGGAGAGAGTGTCTATTTCCTGGACTCCTGTTACGATGGTGGGTCAAGTTCACTTCTGCCTGTGTATGAGGACGGAAGCACGTTTAATCTCTCATCTTAGTTGCGTAATCAGGAACAGTTACAACTGGGCTCTACTGATTCTTAGTTCAAGGAAGGCGTGATAGACTTAAATATAAACATTTTTTATATTGGTGTGGAATATATTTTGTCTCTACAGTTGGATGTTTTTGTAGCTTGAAATCACAACATTCACTTTTGCTTTAATTCACATGAACACAGGGAGACGTTAATGTATGTATTTGTATTTTTCTACAGAAACATTCTCAGTTGAGTATGTTAGTAGCTTTTACATTTATTTACTTAGTTATTTATTTTTTGAGACAGAGTCTTGCTCTGTCACCCAGGCTGGAGTGCAATGGTATGATCTTGCCTCACTGCAACTTCTGCCTCCCAGGTTCAAGTGATTCTCCTGCCTCTGCCTCCCAAGTATCTGGGATTACTGGCACCTACCACCACGCCCAGCTAATTTTTGTATTTTTAGTGGAGACGGGGTTTCACCATGTTGGCCAGGCTGGTCTCAAACTCCTGGCCTCAAGTGATCTACCCACTTCAGCCTCCCAAAGTGCTGGGATTACAGACGTGAGCCACTGCGCCCGGCTAGTAGCTTTTATTTATTTTTTTTGAGACAGAGTTTCACTCTTCTTGCCCAGGCTGGAGTGCAATCACGTGATCTCGGCTCACTGCAACCTCTGCCCCCCAGGTTCAAGTGATTCTCCTGCCTCAGCCTCCCTAGTAGCTGGGATTACAGGCATGTGCCAACATGCCTGGCTAATTTTTTTGTATTTTTAGTAGAGACAGGGTTTCTCCATGTGGTCAGGCTGGTCTCAAACTCCTGACCTCAGGTGATCCACCCGCCTCAGCCTCCCAAAGTGCTGGGATTACAGGCGTGAGCCACTGCGCCTGGCCAGCTTTTAAATTAAATTAAAATTTTATTTAATTCTGCCTGTTAGCTCGGAAGGATGTGGTTTTTGTTTGATTGTTTGTTTTTTTGAGATGGAGTTTTGCTCTTTCGCTCAGGCTGGAGTGCAGTGGTGCGATCTTGGTTCACTGGAACCTCCACCTTCTGGTTTCAAGCAATTCTCCTGCCTCAGCGTCTCAGGTAGCTGGGATTACAGGCGCCCACCACCACGCTTGGCTAATTTTTGTATTTTTAGTAGGGACAGGTTTTCACCATGTTGGCCAGGCTGGTCTTGAACTCCTGACCTCGTGATCTGCCCGCCACAGCCTCCCAAAGTGCTGAGATTACAGATGTGAGCCACCGCGCCCGGCTGTGTTTTTAAATTCCTTTCTACCTGTTAAACATGGAGGTATCAAAATACATACCCACACAGAACGTGAAGGAGAACCTCAGCCCAGAGGCATTCTTGCCAAGTGAAACTCTTTATCTCTTTATTGAAATAATATTTCCAACTATGCTTTACCAGAAAGACATTTTTAAACATGACTTTATATACTGTACCACTAAGATACTCATCTGGCGGCCGGGTGCGGTGGCTCATGCCTGTAATCCCAGCACTTTGGGAGGCCAAGGCGGGTGGATTGCCTGAGGTCAGGAGTTGGAAACCAGCCTGGCCAACATAGTGAAACCCTGTCTCTACTGAAAATACAAAAAATTAGCTGGGCGTGGTGGCGGGCACTTATAATTCCAGCTACTCGGAGGCTGAGGCAGGAGAATCACTTGACCTGGGAGGCAGAGGTTGCAGTGAGCCAAGATCATGCCATTGCACTCCAGCCTGGGTAACGAGCGAAACTCTATCTCAAAAAAAAAAAAAAAAAGATATTCAGCTGGGGAAAGTATAAATATACAAACATACATAAACACACACATATAGGAGATACATCAGTTACATATTCCAGTGTTCAAAGGCGTACAGCATTTCAAACTAAATACATGTTTGCATCTTATTTTGACCTTTTTTGAATGTACCATGAGGGGAGAGAGAAGTGTGCAATTGTTTTTATTTCTAAAAAAAAGTCTTGAAGTCTAGTGAACTTACATATAACGATTGCTTTGTGTAAGTGAACAGTAACATTAAACACTTATGTACGTATGTGTGGATATATAAAGATATATATATAGAGAGAGATATATATATTTTTTTAATTTTTGAGACAGGGTCTTGCTCTGTCACCCAGGCTGGAGTGCAGTAGCACTATCTTGGCTCACTCCAGCCTCAGCCTCCCGGGTTCAAGCAATTCTCGTGCCTCAGCCTCCTGAGTAGCTGGGACTACAGGCATGTGCCACCATGCCTGGCTAAGTTTTGTATTTTTAGTAGAGACGGTTTCACCGTGTTGCCTAGGCTGGTTGTGAACTCCTGACCTCAAGTGATAAGTGATCCACCTGCCTCAGCCTCCCAAAGTTCTGGGATCACAGGCCTGAGCCACCACATCTGGCTGGATATAAATTCTTGAGTCAGGAATCTGAAGTCTTGTTTTTTTTTTTTTTTAAGAAACAGGTTGAATTTATATAACATTCAACCAAAGTACCTAGAGCCGAAAATACTGGTGTTACTCATCTTCGTGGAACACTTTTTTTTTTTTTACCCAGCATGACTGAGGTATGATGACCAAAACAATTGAATATATTTAAGATATACAACATGGAGATTTAATAGAGGTACAATGTGAAATGATTACCACAATCCAAGTAATTAACCATCCATCATTTCACATAGCTGCCCTCACTGTGGTGAGAATCCTTAAGATCTACTTTCCTAGCAAATTTCAAGTATACAATACGTTATTATTCACTGTAGTTACCATGTTCTACATTAGGTCTTCAGAACTTACCATCTTATAACTGAAAGTTTGTATCCTTGGCCAACATCTCCCATTTCCACTCCTCCCCTGATAACCACCATTCTATTCTCTGTTTCATGGAACACTTTAAGTTAATAAGTAAAATTCAACTGAGCACGTTGGCTGAAGCCTGTAATCCTAGCATGTTGGGAAGCTAAGGCTGGAGGATTGCATGAGGCCAGGAGTTTGAGACCAGCCTGGGCAACATAGCGAGATCCCATGTCTACAAAAAAGAAAGTAGCCAGGTGTGGTGGTGCACACCTGTAGTCTCAGCTGCTAGGGAGATGGGCGGGAGGATCATTTGAACCCAGGAGTTCAAGGTTACAGTGAGCTATGATTGCACCCATAGCACTCTAGCCTGGGTGATGGAGTGAGAGCCTGTCTCCAAAAAAGTAGATTAAGATAAGACTTCAGTAAAATTGGTTTTCAGATTTTTTTTATTTTGAGACAGTCTCGCTGTGTCGCCCAGGCTGGAGTGCAATGGCGCGATCTCGGCTCACTGCAAGCTCCGCCTCCCACGTTCACACCATTCTCCAGCCTCAGCCTCCCGAGTAGCTGGGACTACAGGCACCTGCCACCATGCCTGGCTAATTTTTTGTATTTTTAGTAGAGACGGGGTTTCACCGTGTTAGCCAGGATGGTCTCGATCTCCAGACTTCGTGATCCGCCCACCTTGGCCTCCCAAAGTGCTGGGATTACAGGCATGTGCCACCGCGCCCGGCCTGGTTTTCAGATTTTAATCGATGTGTCCAGTTAGCAGAACTCTCTGCCTTGATGTTCCTTTAAGCGAAGCCATTTGTTGTAGAATCTCTTACGTAGTCCTTTGGTTCTGCCTGGGCTCTTCTCTGAAGTAGGCAAATACATCACTTGATTTTGCTTCACTTGGTCTCAGACCACAAGAATTTTGCTGATTTTAAGAGTGAAGTATTGGAGCTGAGTCTTCAGTTACTGATTCTTTATTATCTGGTGCTTTTTTGATTAGTTGGAACAAATGTGTAAGTTCTAGGGTATCACCATACATTTATTCTTTGACCCCAATAGATTGAGATACTGGACATGAGGCTGAAGAGTTTATTAAAATTGGATTTAATGATTAGATTGCCAGAAGGTCTGTGGAAATTATTTCCTTCAAATTTTTCATGCTGATTTCCTTCCTGGGAAATTGTAGTCATCAGAGGATAGGTTTATTCTTTGTATTTTTGAGACAGGGTCTCGCTCTGTCGTGTAGGCTGGAGTGCAGTGACATGATCATGGTTCACTGCAGCCTTGAACTCCTGGGCTCAAGCGATCCTGCCACTTCAGCCTCCCAAACAGCTGGGATTATAAGCACACACCACCACTGTACCCAGTGAATTTTTATGTTTTATTTACTTTTATTTTTATTGTTGAGACAGTCTCACTGCTGCCCAGGCTGGAGTGCAGTGGTGTGATCTTAAATGTCTGCAACCTCTACCTCCCAGGCTCAGGTGATCCTCCTGCCTCAGCCTCCCAAAGTGTTGGGATTACAGGCGTGAGCCATTGTGCTGGGCCAAATTTCGATAATTGTATTTTCTACTTAGAAAAAACTAGGTTGATGGACTTAGGGCGAGGGAACCTTTGCAGCACAGTGCCTTAGGCAATTTGCTTTTTCTTTACCATATAGAGTTGGAATGGAAACTGTCTGAATCTGGAGCAATTATGACAGACCTGGAGGAAAACCCTAAGAAGCCGATTGAAGACGTGTTGCTGTCCTCAGTGCGGCGCTCTGTCCTCATGAAGAGGGACAGCGATTCCGAGGGTGACTGAGGCTACAGCTTCTATCACATGCCGAACTTTCTTGTGACAAATTGTCTGGATTTTTTAAAAAAGGAAAAAGCAAGAATGAATCCTTGTGGTTTTTAGTTTTGTATAAATTATGTTTCAAATCTTTACATTTTGGAAATAATCATTGCTGGAGATTCTGTTAAATATTTTGGAACTCTTTTTTTTTTTAAATTATAGTATTTCCTCTAAAAAAAATTAAAACCAGCCATTTGTATGGCAAATGTCTGTTTTCCTCATTTATATTTTAAGTAAGCCATAAAACCTAGTCACTATTTTTTGACATATAACTATAAAAAGAAATACAGTTTTAAATGTGAATAAATTATACAGTGGAAAATTGCAGACTAAGCCTTATAGATACATTGTTTATTTTTATTTTATAAAGAGAGCAGTGAGATTATTAAACTACAGGAATGGTCTCTAGGACAAAAGAATGTTAGTATTGAAGAAACAGACAATTTTTGTGAAACATTCCCTTATTGAAGCAATAACTGAAAGTTTCCAGTTTACTGCCATATTTGGTTAAATGTGTTTTCTTGTTAAAATAGTTTATCTCAGACTGTTAACTAATTTTTTTTTTTTTTTGAGATGGAGCTTTTCTGTGTTGCTGAGGCTGGAGTGCAGTGGCACAATCTCAGCTCACTGCAACCTCCACCTCCCGGGTTCAAGCAATTCTCCTGCCTCAGCCTCCTGAGGAGCTGGGATTACAGACGTGCACCATCACGCCCATCTAATTTTTGTACTTTTAGCAGAGACGGAGTTTCATCATGTTGGCCGGGCTGGTCTCGAACTCCCAACCTCAAAACTCCTGATCCACCCGCCTCGGCTTCACAAAGTTTTGAGATTACAGGTGTGAGCTACCATGCCTGGCCTGTTAACTAATTTTGATTACTATAAGAAGACATTAAATTTATGGAAATATATAAGCATACACATAAATAAACTGTTAATAAACTCATTTTGTGGTTCATAAGTACGATCACGTATGTGAGATGTGCCCCCCTCAAATATCGTTAGGCTGTTGGCACATTACCCATATGACATGAAAAAACAACGTATCAAGATGTTTTGTGAGCCAGATCCTGTATTTCTCACTTAACAAACATTGATACTGAACAATTAGGAAATATTATTTTCTGATATTTGTGTTGAATGATGTATTACTTAGTGCTGGTTTGAATCTGAAATAAGAATCAGCATGGATTTCTTTTAGATTATGTTGTAAAATTTATTTTTGCTTTAATTCAAAGAATGACAAGCAACTTGGACCCATTTTATCAGAAGTATCTGTCTTAGATATTTGGATTCCACCCCCTCCTTTTTTTTTTTTTTTTTTTTAAATAGAGATGGAGTCTCCCTGTGTTACCCAGGCTGGTCTTGAGCTCCTGGGCTCAAGTAATCCTGCCATCTTCGACTCCCAAAATGTTGGGATTACAGGTGTGAGTCACTGCACCCCGCCCACATACACTAGAGCCAGCACTGCCAATAACATATTCCCTGGTGGTGTACTTTGAAAGTGTTTCATGGAATTGCAGGGTTGGAACAAATTTGGTCAGTCCTCTTACTTGGATGCTGGTTCCGTGGGGTTTGTAGGAGAGCTACCTTCTTAGATTTTGGTCTTGGTAGCTGACATGAGATCTTGAGGGAAGAGCAAAGGTGGAAAGTTCAATTCTGCATGTGCCTGAGAGCCTTAATGTGCACATTTACAAAGAAAAAAAGGTGGTGCATGAACAGGGGGCAGCGTCCACAGTGACAGATAAGAGCTTGAGTCCACTATGAAGCCCACACAGGATCTAATTCTAAATTATTAGCTGTGCCACTTCAATCAAAGTGTGAAAACTGCACCTCATAATTTTGTCTGCACACCAGATGAAGGCATTTAGTTCGAGCACAGCAAAAGCTCAGGTGCCTGTGGCATTGGCAAATGAGCCCTGATTAATTCTCGGAGACTTCCCTGTAATACTATTATCTTCTTTCTAATTCCTTTGGCACATTAGTGATACGACAGAGGTGTAAGACTTGGTGCTTAAGCACTGAGTTCCCCCAGTTCCACAGCAGGAACACAGCAGTGACCAGTGGGGGACACAAGGACACCTGGAAGCTGTCTTCTGTGCTTGGAGGGAAGGGTTGTGGGGAAAGGTTAAGCCGGTGCTAGGTAGCCACCCCCCCGCCCCCACTTTTTTTTTTTTTTTTTTGAGACAGGGTCTCCAGTTGCCCAGGCTGGAATGCAGTGGCATGATCTCATCTCACTGCAGCCTCAACTTCCCAAGTTCAAGCGATTCTCCCACCTCATCCTCCTGAGTAGCTGGGACTACAGGTGAGCACCACCATACCAGGCTAATTTTTTTTTTTTTTTTTTTTTTGTATTTTATGTTGAGACAGAGTTTCACCATGTTGCCTGCCTGGTCTCAAACTCCTGGGCTCAAGCGATCCACCCGCCTCAGCCTTCCAAAGTGCTGGGATTACAGTTGTGAGCCACTGTGCCCGGCTGGGGTAGCCCTTTCTTAAGTGATTGGTGGGAAATGGTTCCAGAAAATTGGGATAATAAATGATTGGGAATAGTGAAATTGATAGGATTGTATAATCAAATACTTCCTTCTTTTGTGGAGGAGAGAAAGGATGTGGATAGATGACATACACCTCCTTCATTGCACACCTAACTTCACCTTCTCACGCCCTGAGTCATTGCTTCTGCAGAGACCTACAGCTGAGCCGCTTCCTGGTGGTTCAGAAGGACTTCAGAAAGTTGCGCTGGGCTGGGCGAGGTGGCTGATGCCTGTAATCCCAGCACTTTGGGGGGCCAAGAGGGGCAGATCACCTGAGGATAGGAGTTTGAGACCAGCCTGGCCAACATGGTGAAACCCCAACTCTACTAAAAATACAAAAAATTAGCAGGGCATGGTGGCACAACGCCTGTAATCCCAGCTACTTGGGAGGCTGAGGCAGGAGAATCACTTAAACCCGGGAGGTGGAGGTTGCAGTGAGCCAAGCACACCACTGCACACTCCAGCCTAGGTGCCAGAGTGAGACTCTGTCTCAAAAAAAAAAAAAACAACAAAAAAAAAAAACAGTTCTGCTGGCTATGAAAGGCATCTATGAGAGAGATGGAAGGGCAATTTAGAAGGGTGTCCCTCTGTCATCAGGGAGGGCCAAAAGTTTTTTTTTTTTTTTTTTTGGCATTTATTACCTCCAGCTTTAAACTCAACCTTCTTATATAATCCCAAATATATATATATATATATATATATATTTTTTTTTTTTTGAGACGGAGTCTTGCTCTGTTGCCCAGGCTGGAGTGCAGTGGCGTGATCTTGGCTCACTGCAAACTCCGCCTCCTGGGTTCACACCATTCTCCTGCCTCAGCCTTCCGAGTAGCTGGGACTACAGGCGCCCTCCACCACGCCCCACTAATTTTTTTGTTGTTGTTGTATTTTTAGTAGAGATGGGGTTTCACCGTGTTAGCCAGGATGGTCTTGATCTCCTGACCTCGTGATCCACCAGTCTCGGCCTCCCAAAGTGCTGGGACTACAGGTGTGAGCCACCGCGCCCAGCCTATAATCCCAAATCTTGACCAACTACCTTTCAGGTATGGCAGGCAACAAGTGTTGTGACTGCAGCGCCTGCGTGAGAAACATGCTCCCATGAAAGGGGCCGGGTACAGTGACTCACACCTGTAATCCCAGCACCTTGGGAGGCCGAGGTGGGTGGATCACCTGAGGTCAGGAGTTCCAGGCCAGCCTGACCAACATGGTGAAACCCCATCTCTACTAAATACAAAAATTAGCTGGGCATGGTAGCGCCCTATAATTCCAGCTACTTGGGAGGCTGAGGCAGGAGAAGTGCTTGAACCTGGGAGGTGGAGATTGCAGCGAGCCAAGATTGCGCCACTGCACTCCAGCCTGGGCAACAAGAGTGAAATTTTGTCTCCAAAAAAAAAAAAAGAAAGTGCTTTTGTCCTGCTTACAGAAACCAGCTATTACTCACAGATATAACCTTAGAGACAGGTGGCTGTCAGTCTCAAGTGAAGATGTGCCTGTTTCCAAGTCCCCTCCCTCCCTCTCTGCTTTTGACCACATTCTCTACCCCATTCTTTGCTTCAGTAATCATCCGTCTTGATTTCCGCTTCTCCCTGGACATGGGGCCTTCAGGTAGTAACAGTGTTAGGGTCCTGTGGCAGAGAGTGCTGGTTGCCCACCAGTATCCAGGATTCTCCCCCTCTACTCCAGTGGCAATGGGACCCGCTGGAAGAGTAAACCCCGGCCTCTCTTGAGCTGTGGGTGGTTGGCTGGGAGTTCAGTTCTGGGCAAGCTGCTACTAGGAGGAACAGACAACTGTCATGTGCCCTTTGTGGGCTTAACCCCCTTCCTTCTACTTTCTGACGGAAGTGTGCATGCGACTGCAGCCTGCGTGGGCCGTGAGGTATTTATACATAGAGGCAAAGCAGTAAGGACAATATTCCCAAAGATGCTGTGGAGCCACTATATCCCAGCCCTTGACTGTCCTCTCTGGACTTCTGTCATTAGGAAAGACGTAACTTCCGTCTTGGTCTCTGTTAGTAGCAGCTGATGCATTTCCTGATAAAACCACCCGTCAAAGAAAACCTCAAACAAAACATTCATTCTAGCTTTCTACTGCCCGATGCTGAATTACTTGACATAACACAAGAGTACTCTGTATTCCCTGCCTCTAGCTGTCACCATTGCCTTTCAGTAACTTCATGGGCCCGGCTTTTGGACTTCCATTTCCAGCACTTGAGGAACACTAAAAAACCCACCTGATGATGACTCAAGCTGTTGGAGAAAACTTATTTTTAAATGTTATGTTCTTAACTGTTTCACTGAGTTGGTAAGAAAGGAAAACATTCTGAGAGGCCAAACACAAAGTGAAAGCAGAACTTCAGGAAGGTAAGGGGGCATTCAACTTTTCTCCCTAGGGATACAAACCAAATCTTAGTGATGCTGTGCTTCTATTAGGATGGACTTGTGGGGCCCAGGTGACAGGGGATTAGCGTGGGGAGTGCCTAAGTTGGGGGTCTGATTAGGAAGTCTCTGTGCAAACAGCTGGAATCCCAAAAGATTGCATTCAGTGTTAGGGGAAACTGGCACTAGCTGGAAGAGAACATAGTTGTCTCTGAGATGCCAACTACAAGCCTTCCCTCATGCAGGTTTGTAGTTCTAATTCTCATGCTACATCAGGTCTAAAATCCTCTCAAACCAGGTTCTCAAAGAGGCCCTAGGCTGGGCGCGGTGGTTCATGCCTGTAATCCTAGCACTTTGGGAGGCCGAGGAGGGTGGATCATCTGAGGTCAGGAGTTCCAGAACAGCCTGGCCAACATGGTGAAAACCTGTCTCTACTAAAAATATAAAATTAGCTGGGCGTGGTGGTGGGCGCCTGTAATCCCAGCTACTTGGGAGGCTGAAGCAGGAGAATCACTTGAACCTGGGAGGCAGAGGTTGCAGTCCAGCCTGGGCAACAAGAGCAAAACTCTGTCTAAAAAAAAAAAAAAAAAAAAAAAAAAAAGAGAAAGAAAGAAAGACATCCTAAGCTGGTAGTACCTCTTAGTTCACGGCCAAAGCAACTGCATATCTATGCTAGAGCACACCTTTGATTTAGCCTCAAATGCTCTCCACAGATAAAGCCCCAGCCGGGCACAGTAGCTCACGCCTGTAATCCCAGCACTTCGGGAGGCTGAGGCGGACGGATCACAAGGTCAGGAGATCAAGACCATCCTGGCTAACACGGTGAAACCCCGTTGCTACTAAAAAATACAAAAAATTAGCTGGGCGTGGTGGCGGGCACCTGTAATCCCAGCTACTTGGGAGGCTGAGGCAGGAGAATCACTTGAACCTGGGAGGCAGAGGTTGCAGTGAGCTGAGATTGCGCCATTGTACTCCATCTTGGGCAGCAAGAGCAAAACTCTGTCCCCCCTCCCCCCAAAAAAAGGCCGGGTGCGGTGGCTCACGCCTGTAATCCCAGCACTTTGGGAGGCCAAGGCGGGTGGATCACGAGGTCAGGAGATGGAGACCATCCCGGTTAACATGGTGAAACCCTGTCTCTACTAAAAATACAAAAAATTAGCCAGGCGTGGTGGCGGGCGCCTGTGGTCCCAACTGCTCCGGAGGCTGAGGTAGGAGAATGGCGTGAACCCGGGAGGCGGAGCTTGCAGTGAGCCGAGACTCCGTCTCAAAAAAAAAAAAAAAAGAAAAAGATGCCCTAAGCTGGTAGTACCTCTGAGCTCATAGCCAAAGCAACTGCGTATCTATGCTAGAACACACCTTTGATTTAGCCTCAAACTCTCTCCTAGAAGCTCCAAGAACATGAGCTTCTAGTAAAAATATCACAAACCCACAAAATCACAGGATGCCACAGATAAGGCATCCTGAATGAAAGCCAGCAGAAAACAGACAGCACAGCCAGACCTGCAAAGACAGGAGAGAGGAATTTTCAGACATAAAATATACGATGAATGTTTTTTATATGTTATATAAAAGTGTAAAAACGTATAAAAAAGTTTTTTATGTTATATAAAAGTGTAAAAAAAAAGAGTACCTTAGATAAAAATGAATTCCTTAAAAAAATAACTAACAGAACAGCGAATTAATGAACTAGAAAGCAGAGCCAATTCCCCCGAAGCACAGGGTCAAATGGGTGGGACAAATTTTAAATGTTACATTTAAAATCTGTGATCCTGGCTGGGTGTGGTGGCTCACGCCTGTAATCCCAGCACTTTGAGAGGCTGAGGCAGGCAGATCACTTGAAGTCAGGAGTTTGAGACCAGCCTGGCCAACATGGTGAAAGCCTGTCTCTACTAAAAATACAAAAATTAGCCAGGTGTGGTGCACACCTGTAGTCCCAGCTACTCTGGAGGCTGAGGCAGGAGAATCACTTGAACCTGGAAGGTGGAGGTTGCAGTGAGCTGAGATAGTCACGCCACTGCACTCCAGCCTGGGCACGGAACGAGATTCCATCTCAAAAAAAAAAAAAAATGTGGTCTTGTGTTAATTTGCTAAGAAAAAAGATGTGGAAGACTGAGGTTTTCTTGCATGTCTCAGATAAACTTTAGGAGAGAACTGGAAGTAGAAAGTATTTGAAAAGATAAAGACATTTTCCAGAATTGATGCAAGCCACCAATTCACAGATTTGGAAACTTACACACATCCCAAGTGAGTTAAATAAAATAAATCCATACCTCCATATATATTGAAGCTGCAGGATATCAGGCAGTGACAAAAGTCAGACCACCTATGAGATAGTAACGATGAGGCTTACTGACTTCCCAACAGCAGGAAGGAAAGCCAGAAGACAGTGGAATAGTGTCATCAATGGCTTAAGGGAAAAAGCAGCTCTTAACCCAAAGTTGTTTATAGCCAGTGAAGCTGTATTGTAGGGATGAACTAGAATGAACTAGGTGAAATAGACATTTCAGACATAGAATAGATGTGTTTGTCACCAATGGACACTCACTAAAGGAAAGTTAAGGAATTTGCTGCCAAGAGTGGTGGCTCACACCTGTAATCTCAGCACTTTGGGAGGCCGAGGTGGGCAGATCACCTGAGGTCAGGAGTTCCCAAGAGCAGCCTGGCCAACCTGGTGAAACCTCATCTCCACTAAAAGTACAAAAATTAGCCGGATGTGGTGGTGGGCACCTGTAATCCCAGCTACTTGCAAGGCTGAGGCAGGAGAATCGCTTGAACCCGGGAGGCGGAGGTTGCAGTGAGCTGAGATCGTGCCACTGCACTCCAGCCTGGGAGACAAGAATGAAGTTCCGTCCAAAAAAAAAAAGGGAATTTGCTTTGTGCAGAAAGATGATGAGCTGATGTAAGGTCTAAGGTTCAAGAAAGCATGTTGGCCAAAAAAGGGGAATGGAAATCTTAATGAACATTGACTTCACATAGTAATGCAAAGTCTGTCTTCTTTGGGACATAAAGAACAAAATACAACTAAAAAACAGGACAAAAGAGTACACAAGCTGAAGGAGGATAAACTGGAGTTCAAGCATTCTTAGACCTTTACAAAGTATTCAAGAGTTTGGCAAACTTATGCATGTTAAAAATATTTTTTTCAAGGTAACAGTAAAAGAAAAAAAATTGAGTGTATAACTTTGAAAGTAATGGGGGAAAAAATCTCAGTTAATTCAAAAGAAGACCAGATGGAAGAATAAAAAGAAACAGAAAAGCAGGTCTTAGAAAGTCCAAAATAAGATTTTAGAAGGAAATCTAAAACAGTAATCACAGTAAACATAAATAGATAACACTCTTAATAGTCTTACCATACGATCCAGCAATCATGCTCCTAGGTATTTACCCAACTACTTGAAAACTTAAGTTCACACAAAACCTGCACACAAATGTTTATAGCATCTTTATTCATTATCGCTCAAAACTGGAAACAATCAAAACATTCATCAATAGATGAATGTATAAACACACTGTGGTATATCAGGACAATGGTATCTGCTTCAAAAGGAAATGCGCTATCAAACCACACACACACACACAAAACGGATGCTAAGTGAAATGAGCCAGTCTGAAAGGGGATGTGGATATTTATCTCCTGATCCTCATGATGAAACTTGACCCCAGTGTTGGAAGTGGGGTCTAATAGGAGGAATTTAAGTCATGGGGGTGGATCCCTCATGGATAGATTAATACCCTCTGATATGGTCTGGATCTGTGTCCTGCCCAGATCCCATGATGTTCAATTGTAATCTTCAGTGTTGGAGTTGGGGACTGGTAGGAGGTGGTTGTATCATGAGGGTGGATTTCTCATGAATGGTTTAGCACTATCCCCCTTGGTACTGTCCTCACAATTGATAGTGAGGGAGTTCTTGTAAGATCTGATTGTTTAAAAGTGCATAGCACCTCTCTCTTCACTCTCTCTCTTGCTTCTGCTCCCACCACGTGAGGCACCTCACTCCCCCTTTGCCTTCTGCCATGACTGGAAGCTTCCTAAGGCCTCCCCAGAAGCAGATGCCAGCATCATGCTTCCTGTACAGCCTGCAGAACTGAACTATGAGCCAATTAAATCTCTTTTCTTTATAAATTACCCAGTCTCAGGTATTTCTTTATAGCAACATGAGAACAGACTAACACACCCTCCCTGGAAGGGAAGGGGGTATGCACAATGGAATGAGTACTCACTCTGTTAATTTCCGTGACAGCTGGTTGTTAAAAAGAGCCTGGCACCTCCCTCCCCTCTCTCTCGCCATGCGATCTTTGTACATTGGTTCCTTTCACCTTTCACCATGAGTGGAAGCAGGCCGAAGCCCTCACCAGAAGCAGATGCTGGTGCCATGCTTCTTGTATAGCCTGTAGAACTGTGGGCCAAATAAACCTCTTCATAAATTACCCAGCCTCTGGTATTTCTTTCTAGCAACACTAAATGGACTAAGACATAACATTCTGGAAAAGGCAAAACTGTAGATACAGTAAAAAGATCAGTGATCACCAGGGGTTCAGGGGAGAGTGGAAGGGTTGAATAAGTAAAGCACATGGCACTTTTAGGGAGTCAAACTATTCTGAATGATACAATAATGGTGGAGAGATGGTAATAGGGGTTCGTCAAAACTCATAGAACTTCATGGCACAAAGAGTGAATCTTAATATATGCAAATTTCAAAAAATCTTTAGAGGGTTTGGGGAATGCCTGGATGAAATGCAGAATGGGGCAAGACAATCTAACTGCATTACAAATGTATGAAACAGCCTCACAGAAGGGGGCTGGGGGAAATGTGCTAACCTAAGCAGCACTGGAAATGAGTCCATGAGGGGAAGGGCAAAAGAAGCTGTACACAAGCCCTGTCTCTAGTTGATAAAGTCATTTATCACATGGGTGTGAATTAACAGTTGTAACACTGCTATACATATAAAGAGAATCGAACAGTTAAATACATAGATGGCAGATGGTGGGAGCCAGGTTTCTCACTGTTATCATGAGAGGTTACAGATAAGTGGGGGGCAAAGGTGAGTGTAAGTGAGAATAATCCATGTGGTAATAGATTAGAGTTGGAGTCATCACTATGAACTCCTGTTTAGGTTTTGTCTTTTTTTTGAGACAGAGTCTCGCTCTGTCGCCTAGGCTGGAGTGCAGCGGAGTGATCTCAACTCACTGCAACCTCCACCTCCTGGTTCAAGCGATTCTCCTGCCCCAGCCTCCCGAGTAGCTGGGATTACAGGTGCCCACCACCACGCCCAGCTAATTTTTGTATTTTTAGTAGAGACAGGGTTTCACCGTGTTGGCCAGGCTGGTCTCGAACCCCTGATTTCAAGTGATCCACCTGCCTCTGCCTCTCAAAGTGCTGGGATTATGGGCATGAGCCACCGTGCCTGGCCACTCCTGTTTAGTTTAATATAGATACAGATGCTTATGAACAGAAATATTTAGGTAATGTATATGCATTGGGTAGTATACACACGCACATTTCCTTGCTCTGTCAGTTGAGGGAGGCTGAAAGAGGAATGACACCCCAGTAGCAAAGAACATACCTGCCACTTAGATCTTGATTTTTCTCCAAAAAAGGAACCAATGCTCTTTGAAGAAATGGCTGATTCTAAAACTGAAGCAGGAAATATACAGGATAAGCCTGGAGCATCTTGTAATTCCAGAACACAAAAAACTGCTGAACAAACAAACACAAAACCACAATGATGAGAGTACGTCAGAGGTCCAGGAGCCAACTGACAGATCTCCCAATAGCTAAAGCCGGAACAATTTGGGCAATATAATAAATATTGGATTATAACCCAAAATATAAAGTACATATCTATGAGTTCATACTGATAAAAAAATGATTGAATAAATAAGTTGCCAGGCGCGTGGCTCACACCTGTAATCCCAACACTTTGGGAGGCTAAGGCGGGAGGATCACCTGAGGTCAGGATTTCAAGACAAGCCTGGCCAATATGGTGAAACCCCATCTCTACTAAAAATACAAAAATTAGCCAGGCATGGTGGCAAGCACCTGTAATCCCAGCTACTCAGGAGACTGAGGCAGGAGAATTGCTTGAGCCCCGGAGGTGGAGGTTGCAGTGAGCCGGGATCACGCCTTTGCACTCCAGCCTGGGTGACAAGAGCGAAACTTCAGCTAAACAAACAAACAAACAAACAAAAAACACAAAGAAACCCATATATATGTATACACACACACACACACACACACACATATATATATATATGAATGGAAATAAATAAATAAATAAATAAGTGGAGGAGAAGAGACCATCGCCCAGGCAGCATTCCAAATAACGTAGAGATACTCTACTTAAGATATTCCACTCTTTAAGGGTGGGTTGTCCATAGCAACTTCCTTCCAAAGTGTACAATATGAAAAGGGAGGTGGGAAGAGTACCTTTTTTTTTTCTTTTTTTTGAGTTGGAGTCTTGCTGTGTTGCTCAGGCTGGAGTGCAGTGGCTCGATCTCGGCTCACTGCAACCTCTGCCTCCTGGGTTCAAGTGATTCTTCTGCTTCAGCCTCCCCAGTAGCTGGGATTACAGGTACCCAACAATAATTTTTTTATTTTTTTATTTTTAGTAGAGATGGGGTTTTGCCATGTTGGCCAGGCTGGTCTGGAACTCCTTACCTCAAATGATCCACCCATCTCAGCCTCCCAAATTTCTGGGATTACAGGCGTGAGCCACCGCGCCTGGCTGGGAAGAGTATCTTTATAGTGTAGAAACCTAACACTATCTCAGCTGGGTGATCAAGGTCAAAATCAACAGTGATGAGTCATACTGGTAGTACAGACCCTGGGTATGATGTAATGAAAATGACGCTTTACTTCTTTGGTCTTCCTCCAAAAAACCAAACCACAATTAAGACAAAAACATCTGACAAGTCCAAATTGAAGAACATTCTACAGAATAGCTGACTAGAAAAACTATCAACGTCATCAAAAACAAGGAAAATCTGAGAAACTTTTATAGCCAAGAGGTGCCTAAGAAGACCTGACTAGTAAATGGAATATGGTGTCCTGGATAAGGTCCTAGAACAGAAAAAGTGCATCAGTCAGAAACAACAGAACTCTGAAAGCAGATAGACTTTAGTTACTAATTATGTATCAATACTGATTCATTAATTGTAACAGGTGTACGATGCTCATGTAAGATGTTAAGAGGAGAGAAAACTGGTGCAGGATATATGAGCACTCACTGTACTAGCTTCTGAATTTTTCTGCAAATCTAAAACTATACTAAAAAAATTAAATTTATTTTAAAATATGGCAGTTCATGAATCACATCAAAATGGAAATTGTGCCAGGCACGGTGGCTCACCCCTGTAATCCCAGCACTTTGGGAGGCTGAGGTAGGCGGATCACTTGAGGTCAGGAGTTCAAGACCAGCCTGGCCAACATGGTGAAACCCTGTCTCTACTAAAAATACAAAAAATAGCCAGGTACGGCGGAATACACCTGTAATCCCAGCTACTTGGGAGATTGAGTTAGGATAATTGCTTGAATCCAGGCGGCGGAGGTTGCAATGAAGTGAGATCACACCTCTGCACTCCAGCCTGGCTGACAAAGAGAGACTCTGTCTCAAAAAAAAAAAAAAAAAAAGGAAATTGTAATCCTGTAAGAAAGGTGGTACTCAGTTCTTGATTGTCATGTGTCTATAGTAAAGTGCCAGAACTAAAGGGACACATAGGTGTTAGTTTGGGTCTGCCCAGATGCAGAGCCTGAGCGGGGACTTGGGTACAGTTTGTTCGAGAGGAGATCCAAAGATGCAGGCATGTGGTTGGGTGTGGTGGCTCACGCCTGTAACCCCAGCATTTTGAGAGGCTAAGGCAGGCGGATGACCTGAGGTCAGAAATTCTAGACGAGCCTGGCCAACATAGAGTGAAATTCCGTCTCTACTAAAAAGTACAAAAATTATCTGGGTGTGGTGGTGCACATCCGTAGTTTCAGCTACTTGGGAAGCTGAGGCAGGAGAATCCCTTGAACCCGGAAGGTGCAGGTTGCAGTGAGCCAAGTTTGTGCCACTGCACTCCAGCCTGAGTAACAGAGCAAGACTCCGTCTCTCAAAACAAAACAAAACAGAAAAAACAAAGATGAAGGCATGAGAGCTTTGAGAGACAGAGGCAGGGAAAGGGAAAAGCTGACAGAAGGGTGGGAATGTGAGGTCAGGGCTGGTGGCAGCGGAAACTCAATCCCTTTGAAACCTCTAAGAAGCATGTAGATGACCTCCCAGAGTTGTCCACCCACAGAGAGGATCTTGCTTTATCACCCAACCCTGGCCTCCACCACTTGAGGGTGCCCCAGGGGAGTGAACTGCCCTCCACTTCCGGGCTGTCCTTACGCAAAGGCTGAGCAACTGTCTGTGTGCCTTGGAGAAGGACTTCACAGATGACCCAGTGTGGATGCTGGTGGTGCAGCATGAGTCTGAACTTGCACAGAGTTTGGTTCTATTTTTTTTTTTTCCCAAGCCAAACTGTATGCAGCTTTATTAAAGATACTTTCCATAAACAATCATGGTATTTCAGGCAGGACATGGGCAGACAATCGTTAACAGTATACAACAACTTTCAAACTCTCTTCTTCAATGGACTACCAGAAATCAGAAAGCCACTATAAAACCCAATGAAGTCTTCATCTCATGCTCTGAATAGGGAAAGTTTGGAGTGAGGGTTGACATTTCACATTTAGCATGTTGTTTAACAACTTTTCACAAGCCGACCCTGACTTTCAGAAAGTGAAATGAAAATGGTAGAATTTATCTGAAGATCCACAATCTAGAAATGGAACCACTGCTCTTTTGACAGGTGCCATCTCAGTGGCATCACTGGAAAGTCCAGATTGCCTGACACACTGGTAACCAATGATTGAGGGTCAGGTCCCAGCAGATGTCTGGGTTTAAGGGAGTTAATTTTCTGCTGAAAGATGGAAAGGGAGAAGAGGACATAAAAACGAATTTGTTTTCCATACCACAAGGCTTTTGTGCCAAGGTGGTCATGTGTGTCAAAGTCAGGGAATCCCTCCTCCTGGGAGCCAAGAGGAAGTCTCTCAAAACTGGAAGGGAAAGGTGTTTTCCCCACATCGATCCAGCTTCGGAGACTTTCTATTAGTGACACATGCCCCGTCCTCCCAAAACAACAATGAAGTGTTCTGTGTTCTAACAACATAGCTTAAAAAAAAAAAGTAAAACAAAATTCTGCATTTTTATAAAACATGGTAAAAAATAGTATTTCAAACTGTACAGTCACCAGAAGTACATAGTTATCAAAAATGCACACACATGGGCTGGGCACGGTGGCTCACGCCTGTAATCCCAGCACTTTGGGAGGCCGAGGCGGGCGGATCACGAGGTCAGGAGATCGAGACCATCTTGGCTAACACGGTGAAACCCCGTCTCTACTAAAAATACAAAAAATTAGCCGGGCGCGGTGGCGGGTGCCTGTAGTTCCAGCTACTCAGGAGGCTGAGGCAGGAGAATGGTGTGAACCCGGGAGGCGGAGCTTGCAGTGAGCCGAGATTGCGCCACTGCACTCCAGCCTGGGCGACAGAGCGAGACTCCATCTCAAAAAAAAAAAAAAAAAAATGCACACACTTCACTTGGCCTCTCCAGCACCTTCAGCTTTCTGTGCCTGCTCTGTCTTGGCATCTCCACTTTCTGCAGGGTTATTCCCCTCCTTGGCAGCATCAGCTTTTCCCTTTTTCCCTTGGGTACCTTCTCTTTCTTCTTTGCAGAGGCCTTTTTAGGCTTGGGCTCTGGCTTTGGAGGAGCAGGTTTAGCAGACAACCTCGCAGATCTTCTCTGTGGTTCGTCCTTCACCTTGGGTTTGTCTCCTTTAGCATCCCCTTCAGCTTTTCTCTTGGGCATGGTGGTATCGGCAGCGACGGTGGCAGGACGTAGGCGCTGGGCGTGGGATGCAGCGGCCCGTGGGCTTGGTCGGTCGGGGGGGGTCGTTCTCGCCTCTTCTTCTTCACCCTGCTCCCTTGGTTCTATTTTATATGTTTAAAAGATCTTGCTTGGACAAAATGGAATGTAGATTTTTGTTACATATCCCTCTTGTGCATACATTTTTTAAAAGGTAAAATACAGGCATAAGAGAGATATTGCAGGCTCAGTTCCAGACTCAATATTGCAATAAAGCAAGTCACACAAAGTTTCAGTTTTCTCAGTATGTATGACAAATATGTTTACATTATATGATTACTGTAGACTATTAAGTGTGTGTAAAAAAAGTACATACCCTAATTAAAAAACGCGTTATTGATTAAAAAATGCTAACAAACATCTTGCCTTCAGCAAGTTGTAATATTTTTGCTGGTAGATGGTCTTGCCTCAATTTGTGTGTATGTGTGGTGTGGTGGGGGGGGGGCGGACAGAATCTTGCTCTGTCACCCAGGTTGTAGTTCAGTGGCACGATTTCAGCTCACTGCAACCTCAACTTCCCAGGCTCAAGCGATTCTCCCACCTTATCCTCCCAAGTAGCTGGGACTACAGGTGTGCACCACCATGACTGGCTATTTTTTTTTTTAATGTATTTTTTGTAGTCATGGGGTTTTGCCATTTTGGCCAGGCTGGTCTTGAACTCCTGGCCTCAGGCAATCTGACCACCTCGGCCTTTCAAAATGCTGGGATTACAGGCATGAGCCACTGCACCCAGCCCTTGCCTCACTGTTAATGGCTGCTGACTGATCAGGGTGGTGGTTGCTGAAAGTTGTGGTGGCTGGGGCAATTTCTTAAAACAGAGAACAGTGAAGTTTTCCTCATTGATTCCTTTCATGATAGATTTCTCTGTAGCATGAAAGGCTGTTTGATAGAATTTTATCCACAGTAGAACTTGTTCAAAATTGGAGTCAATCCTCTCAAACCCTGCTGCTGCTTATCAAGTACATTTATGGAATATTCAACAGTGGAATGTGTCATTTCAACAATGCTCACAGCATCTTCACCAGGAGTACATTCCATCTCTCAAGAAACCACTTTCTTGGCTCATCCATAAAAAGCAACTTCCTGTTTGTTAAAGTTTTATCACGAGATTGTAGCAATTCAGTCCCATCTTCAGGCTCCACTTCTAACTCTAGCTCTCTTACTGTTTCCACCACATCTGCAGTGACTTCCTCTTCTGAATTCTTGAACCCCCCCTCAAAGTCATCCAGGAGGATTGGTATCAACTTTTTTCAAACTCCTGTTGATGTTGGTGTTTTGACCTCCTCCCATCAATCACGAATGTCCTCATGGCATTTAGAATGATGAATCTGGCTAGGCATGGTGGCTCACGTCTGTAATCCCAGCACTTTGGGAGGCTGAGGCAGGCAGATCACTTGAGGTCAGGAGTTTGAGACCAGCTTGGCCAACATGGTGAAACCCCATCTCTACTAAAAATACAAAAACTAGCCGGGCATGGTGGTGTAAGCTTGTAATCCCAGCTACTCACAAGGCTGAGGCAGGAAAATTGGTTGAACCCTGGAGGTGGAGGTTGCAGTGAGCTGAGATCACACCACTGCACTCCAGCCTGGGTGACAAAGAGAGATTCTGTATCCATATATATATATATATATATATATATATACACACACACACACACACACACACACACACATATACACACACACACATATATATGTGTATATATATATATGTAGAATGACGAATCCTTTCCAGAAAGTTTTCAATTTACTTTGCCCAGACGCATCAGAGGAAACACTATCTATGGCAACTATAGCCTTATGAAATAAGTGTCTTAAATGATAAGACTTGAAACTCAGAATTGCTCCTTGACCCCTGTGCTGCAGAATGGATGTTGTGTTAGCAGGCATGAAACGGCATTCATCTCCTTGTGCATCTCCTTCAGAGCTCTTTGGTAACAAGTGCATTGTCAACAAGCAGTAATACTTAGAAAGGAATCTTTTTATCCTGAGCAATAGGCCTCCAAATATTTTGTAAACTATGCTGTAAACAGATATGCTATTATCTGGGCTTTGGTTTTCCATTTATAGAGCACAAGCAGAGTACATTTAACCTAATTCTTAAGGGCCCCAGGATTTCTGGAATGGTCAATGAGCATTGGTTTCAACTTAAAGTCAGTAGCTGCATTAGCTCCTAACAAGAGAATTTGTCTCCAAATAAAAGAGTATGTCCTTTGGAGTTCGAAGCAAGGCGTTGACCTCCCCTCTTTAGCTATGCAAGTCCTAGATAGTGTCTTCTTCCTACAGAAGGCTGTTTCATGTACACTGAAAATCTGTTGTGTAATGTGACCACCTTCATCAATGACCTTAGCTAGATCTTCTGGATAGCTCGCTGTAGCTTCCACATCAGCACTTGCTGCTTTACCTTGCACTTTTGTGTTATGGAGATGGCTTATTTATTTATTTATTCATTTATTTACTTAAGACAGAGTTTCACTCTGTGTCCCAGGCTGGAGTGCAGTGGTATGATCTCGGCTCACTGCAACCTCTGCTTCCTGGGTTCAAGTGATTCTCCTGCCTCAGCCTCCAGAGTAGCTGGGATTATAGGTGCCTGCCACCACACCCAGCTAATTTTGTATTATTAGTAGAGACGGGGTTTCTCCATGTTGGTCAGGCTGATCTCAAACTCCTGACCTCAAGTGATCCACTCACCTAGGCCTCCCAAAGTGCTGGGATTACAGGTGCGAGCCACCATGCCCAGCTGAGATGGCTTCTTTCCTTAAACTTCACGAACCAACTTCTGCTACCTTCAAACATTTCTTTTGCAGCTTTCTCACCTCTCAGACTTCAAAGAATTAAAGACAGTTACAGCCTTCCTGTGGATTAGGCTTTGATTTAAAGAAATGTTGTGGCTAGTTTGATTTTCTATCCAGACCACTAAAACTTTCTCCATATCAGCAATAAGACTATTTGCTTTCTTATCCATCATGTGTTCACTGGAGTAGCACTTTTAATTTCCTTCAATAACTTATCCTTTGCATTTACTAATTGGCTAACTGTTTGGTGCAAGAGGCCTAGCTTTGAGCCTATCTCATCTTTTGTCATGCCTTTCTCACAAAGCTTAATCATTTCTAAATTGTGATTTAAAGAGAGATGTCCAATGCTTCCTTTCACTTGAACACTTACAGGTCATTGTAGAGTTACCAATTAGCCTAATTTCAATATTGCTGTGTCTCAGGCAATAGGGAGGCTGAAGGAGAGGGAGAGAGATAGGGAAACAGCCCATCTGTGATGCAGCCAGAACACACAACATGTATCGAGTAAGTTTGTTTATCTTGTGTAGGTGTGGTTTGTGGCGCCCCAAACAATTGCAACAGTAACATCAAAGATCACTGATCAGATCATCCTAGCAGATATAATAATAATGAAAAAGTTGGTAATATTGCAAGAACTATCAAAATGTGACAGAGACATGAAGTGAGCACATGCTGTTGGAAAAATGGCACTGATAGGCTTGCCTGATGCAGGTTTGCTCCAACCCTTCAATTTGTAAAAAACAGTGTATGTAACGTGCAATAACATGAGGTCTTCCTGTAAGTTGGTAAAGGTATTCCTAAAAATGTCCTTCCATTCAGAGTCCAGCTCTAGTGTCTTTTCTGCTAGTTTTGATGCTGGTGCTTTCTTGATCCCACCAGAAGGTGGCATGCAGTGACAACTTTCTTTTTCTTTTTTTCTTTTTTCGAGACGGAGTCTCACTCTGTCGCCAGACTGGAGTGCTGTGGTGCAATCTCAGCTCACTGCAACCTCCGACTCCTGGTTCAAGCGATTCTCCTGCCTCAGCCTCCTGAGTAGCTGGGATTACAGGCATGCACTGCCATGCCTGGCTAATTTTTGTATTTTTAGTAGAGACAGAGTTTCACCATATTGGCCAGGATGGTCTCGATCTCCTGACCTCGTGATCCACCCGCCTTGGCCTCCCAAAGTGCTGGGATTACAGGCGTGAGCCACCGCGCCTGGCCTGTGACAACTTGATCACAGCTGCCACCTGCCACAGTAACCATAAGATGCACCCTGACCTCAGAGATATTAACAATGAGGGGAGGATGCTTAGAACCCATGAAATGTTGTAGTTTTATCCCACAATAGATGAAGGTGTGTTAGGTTATTTTAACCTGACCCTTCTAGCTTTTAATTTTGAAGGCAGATCTTTAACTCCCTGAATCTGTTTATTGACATTTAAAATACTGAATATACCAACTTCCTGAGAAGAAAAAGGCTGTTAATATCCCTGGAATATATATAAAATACAACTTTAAAAAAAAAATTAAAAACCAGTACTTTTCTTTGGTAAGTAACTCTCTCTGAGATGACAATCAGAAAAATTTAAAGAAACCTTGCAAAATACAGCTACATGTTTTACATGAAAATTATACTTAATAAAAAGTTGAATAATTAACAAATCAATCCTTTGTCTTTTAGCAAATGTTACAGAAAAGCATCACAAACTTGCAACTTTTTGTTCCATCTGAGATTTGAGATACCTAAATGAAACAATGTATTACGTGCCTGCACCCAGACACACCCACACACACACACACACACGCACACACACACACACACGCACACACACACACACAGAGTAACTGCAATAACTAGATCCATGTCGGGGTGGATCTATCATCCCCACATTATCTCTCTGGGCACCAAAGGCTTTCTGACTCTGATTTGGTTTCTCAATCTTATTGGGAACAAAAAAAGTGAGAAGTCCAGTACCCTTGGCAGTTATCTTTTCTTGTTTTTCTTTTTTTCTTTTTTTTTTTTTTTGAGATGGAGTCTCGCTCTGTCCCCCAGGCTGGAGTGCAGTGGTGCGATCTCGGCTCACTGCAAGCTCCGCCTTCCAGGTTCTTGCCATTCTCCTGCCTCAGCCTCCCGAGTAGCTGGGACTACAGGCGCCCCCCACCAAACCCGGCTAATTTTTTCTATTTTTGGTAGAGACAGGGTTTCACCCTGTTAGCCAGGATGGTCTCGATCTCCTGACCTCGTGATCCGCCAGCCTCGGCCTCCCAAAGTGCTGGGATTACAGGCGTGAGCCACCGCATTGGGCCGGCAGTTATCTTTCTTAAGTAGCAGTTCTATTTCTCAGTATAAATTAATGCTGCAGTTCCTAAACCATTTGCTGAAGTGCCTCTGAACCCAGTAGCAAGTTCGTGGGCACAGGATAAGTTCTCAAGGGAAGCGCTGCAATACTGAACATTTATTGAATACTTCAGGAACCACCAGCTCCCAACAGTTCGCAGTTCCAATATTAGCTTGCGCTACATTCCTTTGATCTTTCTGAAGTTGGGTTTTTAGCGGTTGCTGTGATAAAAGCAGGTAGAGCTCAAATCAATGTGGAGCAGGATATGAGGGAGAGGTATCTCCAATTTCAAGGTTGGAGGACTTATGCAGCATCCAACAGGTACTTACTCACATTAATAGGTAATTTTCCTTTCACTTTTCATATATATTTGGTCAAGCATCTAAAAGTTTAAGACATAAAACCTTAATAAATTGTTTGACAAAAATAAAAATAAAAATAAATTGTTTGGCGCTAACTGCTTAATAAAAGTCGTTACAGTCTCGCTGAGTGTATGCGGGGGATTGGTGCCAGGACCACCAGCAAATAACCAAATCCTCGTACTCAATCCTGCAGTCAGCCCTGCAGAACCTGCCTATACGAAAAGGTGTTTTTAGGCTGGGTGTGTTGGCTCACGCCTGTAATCCCAGCACTGTGGGGGGCCAAGGTGAGCAGATGACTCGAGGTCAAGAGTTCAAGATCAGCTTGGCCAACATAAGAAAATCCCATCTCTGCTAAAAATACAAATATTAGCCAGCCGTGGTGGTGCAGGCCTGTAGTCCCAGCTACTCAGGAGGCTGAGGCAGGAACATTGCTTGAAGACCCTGGGAGGTGGAGGTTGCAGTGAGCTGAGGTCATGTCACTGCACTCCAGCCTGGGCAACAGAACAAGACTCCATCTCAAAAATAAATAAATAAATAAATAAATAAATAAATAAATAAATAAATAAAAGGTTTTGTTTTGTTTTGTTTTTTGTCTTTTTGAGACAGAGTCTCGCTCTGTTGCCCAGGATGGAGTGCAGTGGTGTAATCTCGGCTCACTGCAACCTCCCTCTCCTGGGTTCAAGCAGGTTTCCTGCCTCAGCGTTGCAGGTAGCTGGGATTACAGGTGTGCACCACCACACTCGGCTATTTTTTGTATTTTTAATAGAAATGGGATTTCGCCATGTTGGCCAAGCTGGTCTCAAACTCCTGACCTCTGGTAATCCACCCATCTTAGCCTCCCAAAGTGCTGAGATTACAAGCATGAGTCAATGCACCTGGCCCTAAAAGGTCTTATAGGCAGGTTTAACATCCGGAGAATACTGTCTTTTCTTTTCTTTTCTTTTCTTTTCTTTTCTTTTTTGAGACAGAGTCTTGCTCTGTAGCCTAGGCTGGAGTGCAGTGGCGCAATCTTGGCTCACCGCAAGCTCTGTCTCCCGGGTTCACGCCATTCTCCTGCCTCAGCCTCCCAAGTAGCTGGGATTGCAGGCACCCGCCACCACGCCCAGCTAATTTTTTGTATTTTTTAGTAGAGATGGGGTTTCACCGTGTTAGCCAGGGTGGTCTTGATCTCCTGACCTCGTGATCTGCCCGCCTTGGCCTCCCAAAGTGTTGGAATTACAGGCGTGAGCCACCGCGCCCGGCCTAAATATTGTATTTTCAATTGGCATTTGGTTGAAGAAAAGTCACATGTAAGTGGATCCAGGCAGTTCAAATCCCTGTTGTTCAAGGGTCAACTGTATTTCTTTTGACTTAGGCGCACAATGAAAAAAATACTGAGCCATGAACCAATGGAAGTTTAGGAACCTCTGAATTAAAAATTTGGTATTCTGATTTATAATTAAATCTGAACCTATGTTAATTGCTACAGTTCTCGAGACTCAATTACCTCTGAATTAACAAAGGAGCTTGTTGAATATGTCAGGCTGAGGACTAGACCCTGAAACCCAGGGTGACTCCAAATTGCCCCGAAAGGACCCACCTTCCTGGAGCAGATGGCTTCATCTTTGTTTTTATCATCACCTACAGCAGAGCTTGGCAGCCTCTCATGGTGCCAAACGAGTGTGTTTAATCTTCCTATGCCTCCATTTTCTCATCTGTGAAAAGGATCCAACTCCTATGATTGTGCGGGGATTTAATGAGCTAAGATTTCTCAGTACTTAGCTGAGGTTTTGTTTACTTAGAAGAGTTTCATTGTTGTTGCTCTTGCAATAATAGTGACCATCGTCATCATCACTGTCGTCAGCAGCAGCGTCTTAGTATTTGAAAGCATTGAAGCTTTGACATCATGAAAGATTTGCTAATTTGGGATTAATTGTTTGGTCTAGTACTTGCAGTTACAAACAGGGCCTTACGTGACTCATAACTCTTAAGGTAGGTTTTTAGTACAATTTGGGGAGACTCTTAAATGACATCTTTTAATGCTTTTATTTAGAGAATTTCATATAGTTTTCCTCCCTTTTATGTTTCCACCATTACACCATCCTCCTTGTATAATCTATTTTTTCTAATCGTACTCTCGCATTTTTCTTAGGATGTTAAAAAACACCCATCTCTGCCTCTAGATCAACCTTTACCTTTTTGGTTTCTTAGCCAGAGGTGGGTCTTGCAGTATAAAGCAGAGGAGGGCTTTGTGTTGTCACAGTGGGACTTTTATCACTTTCCAAGACAACTCTCCTCCACCTGCATTACATTCTGGGTCCTTTGACTTTTTAAAATCTACAACCTCTACTTGCATCACACTCAACTGGGTTATCTCAGAGTATTCATAAGCTCGTGTAATGGACCCACCCTCTAAGTTACAGGCAGAGCATCAGCATGGAAAGAGGCGGTTGGAGCCATGTTAGCCCACGTGCTGAGCTCTGTTGCATCTGGGTTATTCTTTCTATCCTCGGGGATTCCAAGAGGTGAATTATTTTAGAATAATGTCCAGCCCATAGAGGCATGTGACCACATTCAAAGAGAGTGGATGAAGGTCACTGGAGTTCAAGGTACATTTTCCACTTTTGGTGGTGTTAGAATGAGTACGAGAAAAATAGAACCAGAGAGGCACAGGCCGTGAAGCCGAATGGAAGTCTCTGAACTTGAGGACTCCCTCCCACGCTCCTTGCTTCCCCTTCCCTAACTTGCCTCAGCAGATCCAGTGGCTTATATTCCACCGAACATAATCTGGACAGTGAGAAGTTTTGGGAGAATTAACTTTGTGTTAGTGGATATGTTTTTATGCTTCAATCGGCAAACAATACATGGGGAGGGAATCTCTTCAAAATGAATTCTGAGTCATACAGGATGGGCTTGAGATGATTTGTAAAGCTGTGGCTTCTATCAAATGGATGCAGTTTCCTCCCAGAACTTTCCCAGTGTTCTCCTGTATTTGTAACTTCTCATAGTTCTTACCCTAAAACTGGTAAGCACGTAATTTAAAGAAAGAAAGGGGCAAGGAAGGAAGGGAGGGATGGAAGGAAGGAAGGAAGAATTGGTGATGTTTGAAAGCCCTCTCTTGGCAATTATGTTTAAATTAATGTTTGTATCTTTTGTTCTGCAAGTAGAACAGTAGGTGGGTAAGAAGCGACATCATTTCTTTTTTTTTTTTTTTGAGACGGAGTCTTGCTCTGTTGCCCAGGCTGGAGTGCAGTGGCGCAATCTCGGCTCACTGCAAGCTCCGCCTGCTGGGTTCACGCCATTCTCCTGCCTCAGCCTCCTGAGTAGCTGGGACTACAGGCGCCCGCCACCAGGCCAGCTAATTTTTTGTATTTTTACTAGAGACGGGGTTTCACTGTGTTAGCCAGGATGGTCTCGATCTCCTGACCTCGTGATCCGCCCGTCTCGGCCTTCCAAAGTGCTGGGATTACAGGCATGAGCCACCGCGCCTGGCCAAAGCGACACCATTTTTATTCACTTTTATTTGTTTAAAAAAGATCAACTGGGCCTGGCATAATGGCTCATACCTGTAATCCCAGCACTTTGTGAGGCTGAGGCAGACAGATTTCTTAAGCTCAAGAGTTTGAGACCAACCTGGGCAACATGGTGAAACCCTGTCTCTACAAAAAAATACTAAAATTAGCCAGCATGGTGGTACATGCCTATAGTCCCTGCTACTCAGGAGGCTGAGGTGGGAAGATCACCTGAGCCTGGGGAGGTTGAGGCTGCAGTGAGCTGTGATCCCTCCACTGCACTTCAGCCTGGGCAATAGAGTGAAAGCCCATCTCAAAAACAAATAAATAAATAAATAAATAAATAAATAAATAAATAAAAATAAAAATAAAGATCAACCAGGCCAGGTGCGGTGGCTCACACCCGTAATCCCAGAACTTTGGGAGGCCGAGGCAGGTGGATCACGAGGTTGGGAGATCGAGATCATCCTGGCTAACATGGTGAAACCCCGTCTCTACCAAAAATACAAAACATTAGCCGGGCGTGGTGGCAGGCGCCTGTAATCCCAGCTACTTGGGAGGCTGAGGCAGGAGAATGGTGTGAACCTGGGAGGTAGAGCTTGCAGTGAGCCGAGTTCATGCTACTGCACTCCAGCCTGGGCGACAGAGCGAGACTCTGTCTCAAAAATAAATAAATAAATAAATAAATAAATAAATAAATATCAACCAAAGGGAAGGTTGTTTATTTATTTATTTTTTTGACGAAGTCTCCCTCCGTCACCAGGCTGGAGTGCAGTGGTGCAATCTTGGCTCACTGCAACCTCTACCTCCTGGATTCAAGCAATTCCCCTGCCTCAGCCTCTGGAGTAGCTGGGACTACAGGTGTCCACCACCATGCCCAGCTAATTTTCTGATTTTTAGTAGAGACGGGGTTTCACCATGTTATCCGGGATGGTCTCAATCTCTTGACCTCGTGATCTGCCCACCTTGTCCTCCCAAAGTGTTAGAATTACAGGCATGAGCCAGTGCACCCAGTGGGAAGGATTTTTAAGTATATAGAGTGGAGGAGACTTTTGTAGGTGATTTATACATGATCTAATGGCACTCCAAGCAGGATCTGACCCCATGGCTCCAGGAAAAACTTTTAAATGGTGGAAGTAGAGTTAGGAAAAAGAGTTTCTGCTAGAAGGCCACAAAGCATTATACTTTATTGATTAGGATGTGCTAGTGGGTGCATATAAATGTTTATGGAAGCAGACACATCCAGCCCCTAAGAGCTCCTGAAGGCTCTTGAAGGCCGCTATCATGCAGTGTCCTCTTTTGGAGACAGCAGGCCTGCTGAGTAAGCTCACAAAAACTTGGGAACTCAATGTGTACCCAAAGAAAATGACTGCTAAATGGGAGCTTGCCGCTGAAGAAGCAATCTCTGGCTGCATGCGTGGCTGCAAAGATGTAAATTAGCCCCCGCCTGGGGCCTCCAAGAAATCAGGTCAGGACCAGAAGTCATCAAAAGGCTGGTCTGAAAGACACATAATGAACTTGCCTTTTCCTAGGGAGATAGTACCTTTTTATTAGATTTTTTCTCAAGATATGCAAAATAGATGGGTTTTCCTGGAGCCCCCAATCACTTCCTATCAAGGCAAGGCAGGAAGAAACAAAGCATGCTGGGTGGTTACCAGAGGTTGTAGGTGGAGACAATGCATGAAGATTTGAGCAGAAGCAAAATACTTGCATTCGGCCCGGCTTGGTGGCTCATGCCTGTAATCCCAGCACGTTGGGAGGCTGAGGGCGGGCAGATCCCCTGGGGTCAGGAGTTTGAGACCAGCCTGGCCAACATGGTGAGACCCTCCCTCTACTAAAAAATACCCAAAAAAAAAAAAATTTAGCCCACTGTGGTAGCGGGCACCTGTAGTCCCAGCTACTCAGGAGGCTGAGGCGGAGAATTGCTTGAACCCAGGAGGCAGAGGTTGCAGTGCCAAGATTGCGCCACCGCCCTCCAGCCTGGAGGACAGAGCAATACCCTGTGGAAAAAAAAAAAAAAAAAAAGCATGCCTTCTGTGGCCTCAGTTGGAATGCTGCCTTTCCAACTTGGTAGCTGTGTGACTTTGGGCAAGTTACATAACTCTTCTGAGTTTCAGTGTCTTCACCTGTAAAATATAGGCAGTAATACTATGGACCTCACAGACCTGTTATAGAGATGAATTTTAATTATAACACAAACTAATATTTGCATTTTGCTTAGGACAGGGTCTTGTACACTGCAAGCTAAATAAGTGTTTATTACGTAAGCTCTTTTTTTTTTTTTTTTTTGAGACGGTCTTGCACTGTCGCCCAGGCTGGAGTACGACCTTGGCGCGCTGCAAGCTCCGCCTCCCAGGTTCACACCATTCTCCTGCCTCAGCCTCCCGAGTAGCTGGGACTACAGGCACCCGCCACCATGCCCAGCTAATTTTTTGTACTTTTAATAGAGATGGGGTTTCACCATGTTAGCCAGGATGGTCTCCGTCTCCTGACCTCGTGATCCACCCATCTCGGCCTCCCTAAGTGCTGGGATTACAGGCGTGAGCCACTGCGCCCGGTCTACGTAAACTCTTACATCAGACTTGGAGTTCCAGTTGCTTTTGCTACCCAGCAACCCATCACAAACCTAGTGGCATGAACAACCACCTTTTGGGACATGCTCCCAAATTCCATGGATCAAGACCCATGTGGCCAGGGCTTGCCTTTGCTCCACAATGTCTGGGGCCTCGACAAGATAGGCTCAAAACACTGGGGGAGGGCTGGGCAGGTTGGTTCACGCCTGTAATCCCAACACTTTGGGAGGCTGAGGTGGGTGGATTACCTGAGGCCAGGAGTTGGAGACCAGTGTGGCCAATATGGTGAATCCCCATCTCTACTAAGAATACAAAAAAAAATCTGCAGGACATAGTGGTGCATGCCTGTAATCCCAGCTTCTCAGGAGGCTAAAGCAGGAGAATCGCTTGAATCTGGGAGGTAGAGGTTGCAGTGAGCCGAGATCACGCCACAGCACTCCAGCCTGGATGACAGAGGGAGATCCTGTCTCAAAAAAAAAAAAAAAAAAAAAAAAGCAAAAAACCCCCAAAAAACAAAACCCAACATAGGAACAAAATACTGGGAGATACTCAGGTGGGTCATCCCGCCTATGTCTGGGGCCAGGCTGAGGTGGCTGGAAGATTGAGCTCAGCTGGGACTGTTGGCTGGAGCACCGGTGCACCCCTTGCGCATGGCTCTGGCTCTGCATGTCACAGGAGCCAGGTTCCAAGAGGAAGTGTCACAAGAGCAAGCAAATGAAGAGCTCAAGAAGGTATGTGGCCTTTTGTGACCTAGCCTGGGGCATCACAGAGCATCACACTCACTACATTCTAGAAGTTGAAGCTGGCGCAAGTTGGCTGAGACTCGGGGGGAGAGGACATAGAGCCCACTTCTCCATGACATTTGCTCGGACGGGGGGTCCCAACTGCCCCAATAGCTTTGGACATCCCATGTGCATTGCTTGAATGAGCAGGACCCCAGGGTTCTTCCAGAGGAGCAGAAGTCTCAGGTTGGTTTTGTTCACTCTGCTGGGTACACCTAACTGAAAGGACTCTAAGAACCCATGCCTCTTTCATAGGGACTGCAGCTCAGGACTTTGAAGTGACTTGCAAAGGCCACACCGCCAGGACCAGAGCCTGCTTCTCCATCCCTTCCTCCTGACACAGCCGCTGATAAATGCCATTACCTGAATTCCATGCTGAGTTGCTATTCTTATCCCACGGAGGCTGCCTGTGTGCCATTGTTTTAATTACAGGCTGTTATTTCATTTGAAAAGTCAGCGATAGGATTAAGGGTACTGTCATTTTAAAAGCCAGATTCCTGGCCTAAAACCGCTCAGTGAATCAGAGGACAAATGTTCCCATTGTGCTGGTTAAAAATAGGAGCAATGGAAAAAGTGACAGAATGCGATGAATACCATTAAAGTGTAATTACATTTACTGTAGATGTGAGCCTCAGGAAGAGTCTATCCCAGGCAGGGAAGCTTGGTCAGAGCCTGTGACATGAAAAACCCAAAGCCTCCGTGGACGGCCCATTTCAGGTTTTGAGTGTTTATACTGTATATTGTTACATATCGTTCTTGGGAGCCATCCACCTTATTAGGGGTACTTGAAAGAACTGTGTCTTTCCAAAGGAAAATAAGAACCACGTAGCTCACCTTGATTCTCAGAATGTAGCTTTCCTGTATTTCTCATGAGGAACATTATACAGTTTCTGTATTTTTTGCCTCAATAGTCAAATGTAGTAGCTGAGTTGGACATATCTGAAAGGCAGGGCTAATTTTTTTCTTTTAATGAAAACAGTTCGTGTTTTTCTAATTTTAAAACAACACATTCTTGCCATATAATTTTTTTTTAAATGTACAAAGAAAGTAAACGTTAGTCTAAATCCAGCCACCCACAGATAAAGCACTACTAACATTTTGGTGAATATCCTTTCAAACTACAATCTTTATGTGGATTTATAGATAGTGCTTTTTTGTTGCTGTTGTCAAAGCTCAGCAATATATTCTGAACCTACTTTTTATGATAATAAATGTAGAGTTACATTACTATGTCTAATGACTATCTGGTATTCTGTAGGATCAACCTATCAGAATTTATTAATCATAACATGATTAATCAAGTATAATTTTGGCTCACATCTAAAAATTATTCTTTTTCTCTAATGAATGACAAATTATTTCTAATATCTCTCTATATAAATACATGTGTATGTATATGTGTGTGTATATATGTATACATATGTATATACACACACACACCATGCTTTGATGAACATGTATCCAAATGCACTTGGCAAATTATTTTCTTAGAATATATTTCTAGAATATATATTTCTAGAAATGGACTTGCTGGGTAAAAGATATTTGCATCTACTTTTTTTTTTTTATGAGACAGAGTCTCACTCTGTTGCCCAGGTGGAGCGCAGTGGCACAATCTCGGCTCATGCAAACCCCCCCACCCCCCCAGGTTCATGTGATTCTCCTGGCTTAGCCTCCTGAGTAGCTGAGATTACAGGTGCCCACCACCACGCCCGGCTAATTTTTGTATTTTCATTTTTTTTTTTTTTTTGAGACGGAGTCTCACTCTGTCGCCCAGGCTGGAGTGCAGTGGTGCAATCTCGGCTCACTGCAAGCTCCGCCTCCCGGGTTCACGCCATTCTCCTGCCTCAGGCTCCTGAGCAGCTGGGACCACAGGCACCTGCCACCACGCCCAGCTAATTTTTTGTATTTTTAGTAGAGATAGGGTTTCACCGTGCTAACCAGGATGGTCTTGATCTCCTGACCTCATGATCCACCCGCCTTGGCCTCCCAAAGTGCTGGGATTACAGGCGTGAGCCACTGCACCCGGCCAAATTTTTGTATTTTTGGTAGGGACGGGTTTTACCATGTTGGCCAGGCTGGTCTTGAACTCCTGACCTCAGGTGATCCTCCCTTCTCAGCCTCCCAAAGTGTTGGGATTACAGGCGTGAGCCACCATGCTCAGCCTGCATTTGCTATTTTGATATCTATTACCAAATTTTTCTTTGGAAATGTGCCAGTTTACACTCCCACAAATACTTTTGTCAGCATTAGTTAGGTATTACATGTTTTTAAATCCTCATTAATTCAGCAAACAATTTTATTTTAATTGCCATATAGCTTGCTATGTGTATGTCTCTTGAAGAATTACCTGTTCTTTTTATTGAGGTCTTTATTTTTTATTGACTTGTAACTGTTCATTGCATCTTAAAAATAGTAGCACTTTGTTGTGTGCTTACTGTTGTTTTCCCTCAGTTTTTCTTGGTTTTGAACTAGTTTTTGTTTTGTTTTTGTTTTTTGCCATATAGAAGGGTTACAAAGTTAAATATTTCCATGTTTTCCATTATAGCTTCTGGTAGTAACTAGAATTTACCTAAGCCCAGAAGAATAAAAAGTCACCTGTGTTTTATTCTGGCTTTATACTGTTTTCATTTGTTCTGTTATAATTTTTGTATAAGAAATCCAGGAATCTATTTTGCTTCTGAAGTGGCTGTCCAATCAGGATTTACCTTTTACCACTTGGTTGGAGAGGTGGGGGAAGAAGAGACTGGAGGAAATAGAAGCTGAAGACAGGACTAGATGTGTCTCCCTCCCCAGCCTCCTTTCTCTGCAGAGGTGGAGGAATCACGGAAGCTATCGTGGCTTTAGGTGTTGACTTTTGTCAATGTTTGCTGAAGCCAGGAGTGAAATTGAGACAATATTCCGATTCTTGGAACCTGAGTTAGCGTTAAAGGGGATGACAAACAGGCTGTTGTTAGGAGGTAGTTCCATGTAATAGGAAGAGTTTCCACCTCCCTCAGAGGCTGCCTTTCTCGTTTCTCCAAATGATTTCGCGGTTGGCCTAAGTTTCCTTTACTTCTCCCTACGATGGTGTAACATTAGCTTGAATGCTGACGCTATGTGGTGGTGAGCGGCAGTGGGTGTATCTTGCCCATAAACCCTTGGAGGACAGTGGAGGACAGGGACTGACCAACTCACCCAAGGGTCCTCTGCATGCACATGGTCCCTGCACATGGCACATAGTTGGTGCTCAGAAGGCCTTTGCTGGAACAAAGGAAAACACAAGCACCCACAGCAGTGATGGCTGATTTTGTCGGGTCTGCAATGGAGATTAGTCACCACTAGGTGTCATGGTGAGTCAAGAAACATTTTGGCTCATGGTTACAAATTATGCGTTTACTGTATTCATCTTCGTGCATGCACACATGCAATGTTTTACAAAGCATCTGTTGAGTGTCTACGGCACAACACACACGTTCTGGTGCTGGAGATCCTGCCCTGGCTGAGCTTCTGGACCTGGTGGGGAGAAATCCACAATGAGTACTGAGACGACCGGCAAAAGCCCGGTGAAGGCACCTAGGAGTAGGGCCTGCTTACCCTGGAGGAGTCGGGAGCAGCTTCCACAGCAAGGAGGCTTCTAAGGTAAGTTTTGAAGAGTAAGGGTAGGTAAAACAAACCAACCAACCAACCCAGTTTATACTTTCTCCCAGGAAGTTCAGCACAGAATGGCAGCCTGAAGGCTGGCCCAGATTTTGTTCTTGTTGAGGACAGAGCTTTTACATTTTGTCCAGTGGCTTTGGCAGAGGTTTGTGTGTCTTTTGAAGAATTACCTATTCTTCATCCGTTTTTTAAAATTGAGGCATTCCTGCATATTAAAGACACTTAACACTTTGCTGTGTGTTTACTGTTATTTTTCCTTCGTTTATCTTTGTTTTGAACTTGTTTTTGTTTTATTTTATTTTCCTGAGTTTCTGACGTTTATTTCATTTGCGTTAAGTTTCCTTGACTTCTCCCTACAGTGCTACAATATTAATGCTAGTGCTGACTCTATGTTTTTTTTTTTTATTGTCTGGATATTTGTTGCAGTTTAACGTTCAGATTTCTTTTTCTTTTTATTTTTTTGAGATGAAGTTTTGCTCTTGTTGCCCAGGCTGGAGTTCAATGGCACGATCTCGGCTCACCACAACCTCTGCCTCCCAGGTTCAAGCGATTATCCTGCCTCAGCCTCCCGAGTAGCTGGGATTACAGGCATGCGCCACCACACCCAGCTAATTTTGTATTTTTAGTAGAGACAGGGTTTCTCCATGTTGCTCAAGCTGGTCTCGAACTCCTAACCTCAAGTGATCCACCCGCCTTGGCCTCCCAAAGTGCTGGGATTACAGGTGTGAGCCACCACGCCCAGCCTAAAGTTCAGATTTCTAAGTTCATACTATCAGTATGACTACAATAATTACCTTGTTTGTCCTGGCCACCGTTAGGAAACAGCGGAGGTGGGCTAAGAGCAGGTTTGAGGCAGGGATGCAGTTGGCCCGTTCAGGTAGAGACTGGAAGACAGCACTGGGTTGGACCAGAGTCCTAGTCAGGAGCTGAGACCAGATAAGCCCCAGTGGGAGTGAGACTTACCCGGGGGCCTGGTCTGTGCCCTGACTGATAGAATTCTCACACAGGTCCTTTGGGGCCCTGCTGATCAGGGCAAAGCTTTGGGAGGTAGGCTGTGGCTGGAGGTGGCAGCTATGGGGGTCCCAGTGTACATGGTGTCAGACTGGCCCATCTCACTGCCCTTGTGCCATTAGGACTGGCAGCCAGACCACCCTAAGCTTGACCCTTAGCTCCCGCCACCTGGCTTTGAGCACCAAGCTCTCAAGAGGCACATATTTACTGTTGCTTCTTAACCTCAGTAGTTATTGCAAAAATACTAAATTATTCCTGTGATTATTTTTGAATTTTCTATTAAAAAATACCCTCATTCATAGTTAATATCCAGGATTCATGGCCCAGTGGGTCTTGAGTGAATGGTAACAGTATGATTACCTATAAAAGGTTGAATTCTAGAGACACCCACAGGTGGCCCAGCCAGGCTCAGCTTCCGTCATCTTCTGAAAGATGTTTTTGTCCATCTTACTTCCGATGGCAGAGGAAGTTTCCCAAACAAACTTCTCTCAAGAAAGTCAGGAAGATAGGACAGAATTTCCTCTCATTTTGCTTGAGATAATGGGGCTTTGAGGTCACTAACTCTTGAAATCTTCTTCCACCCAGATTTTTTGTTCTTTGTCAGCATGAGTACCTGGGATCTTACATGTAGCCCCTGCATCATTTCAGAAATGATCTCCAGTGCCCAGGCTCTGATGCCCAACAGACCTGAAGTTACATCCCAACCTGAACAGGCGGCTTTTGCTCTCCAGGCCTTCATTGCCCCACAGTGGGAACAATAATAATATGCACCTTCTAGGTACCCAAAAGCACAAGAGACAGTGAACGGAAAGTGCTTGGAAGCCCCGTGCCCAGGTGGTGCTGGCCCCAGCTGAACTGCGGGGATAGATGTTGAGTGTCCAGGTTCTAGCATCATAGAACAGAATCCGGCCTGTTGGGAAATCCTGCCTACAAGTATACCTCCATTAATTAGTGTCTTCTGTGAACATTTTTATTAAAAAAAGAAGAAAAGCTTCTCAACCCAAGCCCAAGGGCATGTCCTGATTTGTTGAAAGTAGTTGTAAGACCATTTCATTATTCACTCTACTTTTTCATATGTTGGAAATGTTTTATAAGAATAAATACAATAATATCAGGCTGTGTGCGGTGGCTCATGCCTGTAATCCTAGCACTTTGGCAGGCTGGCCAACATCATGAAAGCCTGTCTCTACTAAAAATACAAAAAATTAACTGGCATGGTGGCGCGCACCTGTAATCCCAGCTACTCGGGAGGCTGAGGCACAAGAATTGCTTGAGCTGGGGAGGCGCAGGTTTCAGTGAGCTGAGATTGTGTCACTGCACTCCATCCAGGCTGGGAGACAGAGTGAGACCTTGTCTCAAAGAAAAAAAAAAAGAAATACAAAGATATCAGCTTAAAACAAAAGAACTCATTTGAAATTTGCCAGTCTTTTAAATTTTGTTTTCTTTTTTTAATACTATTTGTTTTTGAGAGTCTCACTATGTTGCCCAGGCTGTTCTCAAACTCCTAGGCTCAGGTTCCTCCCATCTCAGCCTGTGGAGTATCTGGGATTACAGGCACATCCCGCTGCACCCAGCTTCCTTTCCTTATAAGTTCAATGAAACCGAATTGTATGCTTTTGCTTTTTAAAAAGCTGTGCACAAAAATGTCATTTTATATATTAATAATTATTTCCCTAAATCTATTCTTTTGCGTATAGGTTTGGAGAACCTCTGGAATGATACTCCCAAAATATTATTTTTTAAGAAATTATTTTTGGGTGGTGGCCTATTGGGTAAATTTTTCCTGAACTTTCTATTTTGTATTCTTGTCATTATTTGGATAGTTTTACAGAAACAAAAGTTGTATTCTGTGAACACAGAGGGAGAAAGAGAAATAATAAAATTATTTCCCCTTCCACTGAGCTGTATGCAGCAAGAGTTTGGGGGCAGTGAGGTCCCGGGGTCGGTGGAAAGAGGGGACAGGGAGCCACAGGGCGGGTGCTGAGGTGGACACAGCCTTGGGGAGCACATTGCCTACTCAGTCCATGCCCCCATCACACCCTTTGCCTGCAACGCGCCTCCAGCTCTGGAACTCATCCTCCACTAACCCGGCACCCACAGGCCAAGCTGTCACGCAAGGAAGCGGCCACGCGAGGGCGTGATCTACCAGGGATCCGTGCCTGGGTCTGTGCATCCTCCCTTCTGCAGCCAGAAGAAACCCCTTTGAAGAAGCGGGTGGATGACAAGCTTGCAATACACCGGGGAGGGGAGCAGCATCCCCAGAGGCTTTTCCATGCACCCTCTTTCTGAGCAGCTCTGGATACCCTGGGTCAGCTCCCACACAAATTGCTCATAACTCATTAGTCACCCTTAAAATTAATCTCTCCAACAGTGACATCCTGTACTCAGGCGGTGTCTTAACCCCCTGAAAATGCCTTCGTGGCAATGTCCCTGTGGCATAAGCATGCCCCATTTTGCAAGGGAGGGAATTAAATTTCAGAGAAGTTAAGCGATCCAGGGAATTTCAGTAGCAGAAATAAGTCTAGAACGGAGATTACCCAACTTGACTCAAATGGCAAAACGTTTGTCATGGGGAATTTAATTCTTTAAACCTTTTCGTTGCTTTATCTCCTTGCTTGGAATATTCACCATCCATGTGCCCACTAAATCCTGACTGCTCTGAGACCACGTTCTTCATGCCAGTCTTATCTCCCGTGCCTCCTGGGCTTAGGAATCTGATGAGCCTGAGTGTGGATCTGGGTCCTGCCCCCTGACTGTGTGGGGTTACCCGGATTCCCTGAACTTCGGTCTCCCCTCATGGAAAATGGGGATGGTATGCCTTCCTACATGAAGGCGATCTCAATATAGTTACCAGCTGGCGACTATACAGGCAGTTGTCAGTCAGCCTGTGGGACACATGGGTGGCTGGATCAGTCTGGCAGGAGCAGGTGGAGAGAATTACCAGGTGATATGCTGACCCCACGAGGACCAAGGACCGCACTGCTCAAGCCTTCACCTGCCACTTGGCATTAAAGCCTCTTTACCCTTGTCTCCCCAACCGGACAATACATTCCTAGGTGGGAGGGCCCCTGCCTTTCACTGCTGCTGTCTTGGAGCTAGGCAATGTAATTTCATGTATCAGATGACGGCTGTCAAGCACTAAGTTTTGTTTGTTCCTTCTGCTGTCTCCTAAGTTCACAAATAAACAACAGCCCTGAGAATCCTCATGGCGGCTTTGGAACCTCGAGCATCATAAAGTATATTCGGGAGTCCGGAGGGCCTTGGCTCCCTTGTGCTGGCAGGGCAGAATGAAGCTGGGTGCATTGTGTGTGCCCCACCAGCACAAGCGCTAGCATTTGTCTCAATGCCGGGGATTCCTGGAGCACCCGCTGTTCTCTAGACGCCCCCTTTACCATGGCAACATCTCTGGGCCGTCGCGTGTGTGGAGGACTTTTTTTGACCATGACAGCTAATTCTGAGTCTTGTTACCTCCATGCGTGGAGGAAGGCACAGGCCCCGCTGTATGGAGGGCAGCCCCCTCTGCCCCAAGGTGGGGAGCCCAGGCTGAAAGTTCACACTGCCGAGGTGGGAGTCTTGTTTAGAAGGTAAGAAAAGTGGCCAGGCCCGGTGGCTCATGCCTGCAATCCCAGAACTTTGGGACGCCAAGGCAGATGGATCACCTGAGATCAGGAGTTCGAGACCAGTCTGGCCAATATGGTGAAACCCTGTCTCTATTAAAAATACAAAAATTAGCTGGGTGTGGTGGCTCACACCTGTAATCCCAACTACCTGGGAGGCTGAGGCAGGAGAATCGCTTAAACCTGGGAGGTGGAGGTTGCAGTGAGCCGAGATCGTGCCACTGCACTCCAGCCTGAGTGACAGAGTGAGATCCTGTCTCAAAAAAAAAAAAAAAAAAAAAAAAAAAAGCAGAAGAAGAGAAGAAGAAAAAGAAAAAAGAAAAGCCCGTGGGCTTTGGACACAGGGCCTGGGGGATGCCCGTTTCATCTCCACAGCAGCTCCTAGAAGACGGAAACACTTGATGAGGCAGGGAAGGTGGCCGAGGCGTGGGATCTGCCCATTCTTCAGGTATTTAGATGGCACCGAGCCACCCCTCTGGGCCTGTGCCCTCATGAGGGCTGTGCTGGGAGGGAGGCTGGGGCTGGAAGCCGGGGTTCCCCACCTGGCAATGGGAGAGGGTCTGGCTGAAGCCAAGACCCATTGAGGCTGTAGGGTCCTGTGCACCAGATGGTTGGGAAAGGGGTGAGGCTGGTTGGGGAGGAGGCCTTCACCCCACAGCCAGGAAGCTCTGTGGGGGAGGACACAGATGTAGATGTAAGAGCCTGTGAATGCTGTGGCCCGGGCTCCCCTGGACTCTGAATATCCGCCTCCTGCAGGCCCAGGGGACCAGGACAATCTTCCCGCCTGCACAGGTTGAGGACAGAGGCTCAGAAAGGTGCAGTGGCTTGCCCAAGGTTGCACCGGGTTACCAGTGCTGGAAACCAAGTCTCCTCACCACCTTCCCAGCCACTCCCCTTTCTACCATAGCTTGGTGCCCACTGCTCCCTACCCTGCCCCTTTTCCCGCCCTCCTCATGCCCCATGGCCTCTGTAGGTACTGTACTGGAAGCCCAGCACTTTCTAGCCTGGGGCCAGATGGCTGCAAGGCAGGCAGTGGGTGTGGGGGCTGAGGCCTGTGGTGCTGGGCCCGCCAGCCCTGGGGGAAATCCTGGGACAGCCTTCCTGCAGGAAGCCTACTGCTTCTCCTGGTGGTCTTAGAATCAAACTTTCTATAGAGGGGCTTGGGAAGCCATTTTGTGCAAACTCCCTCTCAACACATAGTAAAAAGCCATACGTGGCCGGGCATGGTGGCTCATGCCTCTAATCCCAGCACTTTGGGAGGATCACCTGAGGTCAGGAGTTCGAGACCAGCCTGACCAACATGATGAAACCCCATCTCTACTAAAAATACAAAAATTAGCTGGGCATGGTGGCAGGTGCCTGTAATCCCAGCTATTTAAGAGGTTAAGGCAGGATAATTGCTTGAACCCGGGAGGTGGAGTTTGCAGTGAGCCGAGATCTCACCAATGCACTCCAGCCTGGGCAACAAGAGTGAAACTTCGTCTCAAAAAAAAAAAAAAAAAGTTGCACATGATCAGAGCCCAGAAGATCCATTCTGAGCACTTCCAGCAACAAGGGGACCAGGTAAGCGCACCCAAACCAGAGCCTTTGCTTGTGAGAAACTCCTCAGGTGGAACCTATCCCTCAATCACTCCCCACCCCTTCCCACCCTTCTGCCTCTCTGTGCCTTCCCAGGAGGGGCCACATCCTCCTGATGGCCCAGGAGTCTGAGTCCTGTCCTGGGGTCCTTGGCTCCTCGCCAGCCCCACACCTCCAAACCCACTCCATCCTCAGTTCTTCCCAGTTTAATGCTGGTTCTTTCTTTCTTTCTCTCTTTCTTTCTTCCTTTCTTTCTCTCTTTCTTTTCTTTCTTTTTCTTTCTTTCCTTCCTTCCTTCCCCTTTCTTCCTTCTTCCTTCCTTTCTTCCCCTTTCTTCCTTCTTCCTTCTTCCTTCCTTTCTCTCTTCCTTCCTTGCTTCCTTTCTTCCCCTTCCTCCCTCCCTCCTTTCCTCTTTCCCTCCTTCTCCCTTCCTTCCTTTCTTCCCGTTCCTCCCTCCCTCCTTTCCTCCTTCCTTCCTTCCTTCCCCTTCATCTCTCTCTTTCCCTTTGTTTCTTTCTTTGTTTCTTTCTTTCTTTCTTTGTTTCTTTCTTTCTTTCCTTCTTTCTTTCTTTCTTTCATCTCTCTCTCCCCTCCCTCCCTCCCATCCTTCCTTCCTTCCTTCCTTCCTTCCTTCCTTCCTTCCTTCCTTCCTTCCTTTTGATGGAGTCTCACTCTGTTGCCCAGGCTGGAGTGTGGAGGTGCAATCTCAGCTCACTGCAACCTCTGCCTCCCAGGTTCAAGCGATTCTCCTGCCTCAGCCTCCCGAGTAGATGGGACTACAGGCACGAACCATCACATCCAGCTAATTTTTGTATTTTTAGTAGAGACGAGGTTTTGCCATGTTGGCCAGGCTGTTCTCAAACTCCTAACCTCAGGTGATCTGCCCACCCCTGTCTCCCAAAGTGCTGGGATTACAGGCGTGAGCCACTGAGCCTGGCCTACTGCTGGTTTTCTAATTGCCTTCCTGCTTCCAGTTTTGTCCCCTTGCAATAGATTCTTAGCAGGCCACACAGTGATGGCTCTAAAGTACAAGCCCAATTACATCAAGCTCATGCTCCTTTTGGCCTTGGGCCCCAGGGCCTGTTCTCTGGAAAGTTCCTGCCCCTGCACTTAGCACTAATGGCCTGCACTGGTTGCGTGCCTCACAGGGCTTGGTCCTGGGCTGCGTGCTGCTCTGTCCCACCCCAGCAGGGAGGCCCTGGAGGGCAGGAGTCCTTCTCGTCGTGTGCAGAGTAGGTGCTCAACAATGTTACCCAGAGGAGGGCGGGATGAGCATGAGGACTAGGGGCGAGTTCGTCCATGCAATCCCAGCCTGGTCCCGGGTGCCTCGGCACATGTGAGGCCGGGGGCTCCTATGGTGTTCCACAGGCTTCTCTGGCCATTTGATGTGGGGTCTGTGCCTCTTCCCCTCAATGTGCCCTCAGTGGAGCAGGCTGTCCTGCCACTGTCTCAGGTACACATTGTGTACTTCGGGCACGTGAGAGGGAGTGAAGAGGGGACAAAGAACTTCCACGCTCTGGCTTTCTAGTCCCCGAGGATTTCCCATCATCCGGAGAGTCCGGGTCCTCACGGCCTCAGATGGCTTTCAGGAGCCCCTGGCAACTTTTGCCTTTATGGGCCCTTCTTCTATAAAACATGATTAAAAATTCCACTTTATGACAGAGTTGGTATAAAGATGAATATAATCATCTTTATTAATAAAATACAATTTATTATTTTGTATTCATTATCGTGATGTTCATTTTTTATTCTTAATTGAAGCAAATTAAAATGAAAACATTTCTGTGAGCCCCTCATAGCACCGTAGTCCCCAGGCTCTGTGCCTCCAGAGGTCTTGGGAGTGGCATCTTCTGAGCATCTTCAGAGCTGCCCCTTCATGGAGGGGATCACTCTTCCCTGGAAGTGGAAGGGCGGGCAGAAGACCTCCTATGGCTCAGAGCACAGAGTCAGAGGAAGCAAAGGCAGGCTTTGCAGGATGTGTGTGGGTACGTAATGGCAACCTGAAAGCACAGAGACACGCAGGTATCCTGAGACCTCCCCCACACCTCCCCAGGAACCTGTGCATGGTATGTTCATGTTTCTATCCTCTGCCTGGAGAGTGATCACTCCATCTCTCTCTCTCTGTCCTTCAGGCAGTCACCCATGCCGGGGCAGCAAACACTGCCCTGCGTCTTCTGCTGATGCTCTCAAAAGCAGCGTGTGACAAGCCATGACTCACTTATCAGCACCAGTCATGGAGATCCAGTCACAATTATGGAAAGGAGCTAAGGGTGACAGCTGCTTTAAATACCCTCTGGAATAAAGCAGGGTGCGGGGTTGGGGGACAAGATTATATCGAAGGGTTAGTTCTTAGAGAAGACACTGCTTTTTGAAACGGACATTTGGAATGAAATAAAAGCAGGTGTCAACTTTGTGTACTCCAGAGTTACAGCCATAATCATGCAGTGTTCTGGCTTTTCTCCCTGGGCAGGGGAGGAGCCTGCCATCACCTACCCATCACATCTCTTCTGAGCACAAATGATGCGTGCAGGGCATGGGGCCATGTCCCTGGTGGAGCTGGACAGCCTGGAAGTCAGAATCCTGGTGAGCTCCTTGCTTTGTCAATGGTTAAGCTGTGACACTCTGGCACCCTCACCGCCCCCAACCCCCACCCCATTTCAGATGCAGACTAACATTGGTATAAAGAGAACTTCCCAGGCCCAGTGCAGTGTCTCACGCCTGTAATTCCAGCACTTTGGGAGGCCGAGGCGGGTGGGTCATTTGAAGTCAGGAGTTCGAGATCAGCCTGGCCAACATGGTGAAACCCCATCTCTACTAAGAATACAAAAAAAAAAAAATTAGTTGGGTGTGGTGACACATGCCTGTAGTCCCAGCTACTCGGGAGGCTGAGGCAAGAGAACTGCTTGAACCCAGGAGGTGGAGGTTACAGTGAGCCAAGATCACGCCACTGCACTCCAGCCTGGGCAACAGAGTAAGACTTGATCTCTCTCTCTCTTTCTCTCTCTCTGTCACACACACACACACACACACACACACACACATATACACACAAGGGAGAACTTCCTGAGAGATAAAAGAAGAAAGAAATTACTGGGGAAAATCCCAAACTGTATCATCTTTTGGTTTCCATGAATATCTGTGAGACCCAAACTGGCAGCGTTTTACCCGTGAGTTTGGCAAATCCAAAAGATTGGCTCTCCACCAAGAATGATGGAACCCAATTCTGCATCCATGTACATTTTTGAAACATTTCCTAGGAGTGAGAATAGTTTCTATTGTTTTCTGCTATCTGAGGCCCCCTTAGGGTGGAATCTTCTCTGTGGAAACCGCACACTAAGGTGACTGTCACAAGGTCCTACTCACCATGCCCAAGCCCGGGGTGCAGAGCATCCCATCCCCGCATCAGGTTGCCCTTCTGTAATAGTCACATGAAAACTCATATGGTCCTTAAGTGGCTTCGACGCATCACACAAGTTCTTGTTGAAACCAGGGCTTGTTTCAGAAGATGATCCTGTTGCCCTTCCATGCAGCCTAGCGGAGAAGCTGCTCAGATCCTCACATTGCCCTGGAACAAAAGCAGCTTCTCATAGACCGAGCTGAGAATCTGATGGGCCTGGCTTGGTGCCTGGTCCTGCCTCTGAGGGTGGTCAACCTTGGCAAGTTCTTCTAGACAAATGTGGATGACCACATCCCTGCATGGTCATTTATGAGGGTCTTTCAGACCACAGAGCCAACGGAGACCAAGTCCAGTTGGGAGGGAATTGAGCTTGACTGTTGACACTGCCCCAGCCAAAAGCTCAGGACCTGGTCAGAAATGAAGAGACTCAAGGCAAAAAATTCACAGACTTTCTGAGAACCTCATTCCAAAGTTGGCACATTGACAAGCTGTGGATGAGGCTTTTTTCCTTTTGTTTGCATTAATATAGGTGTTTGAAAGATGAGATCTCAAGTTGCATTATAAATTTCACTCTGATTCTTTGCAAACTTTGAAATGCATCTCACTGTAGCTGAGCTGGGTCCAGCCATCAGATCAAAGGGGTGCTTGTTCCTGTTGAAGTTTTTTTTTTTTTTTTGAGATGGAGTCTCACTCTGTCACCCAGGCTGGAGTACAGTGGCGTGGTCTCGGCTCACTGCAACCTCCGCCTCCCGGGTTCATGCCATTCTCCTGCCTCAGCCTCCTGAGTAGCTGGGACTACAGGTGCCCGCCACCCCGCCCGGCTATTTTTTTTTTTTTTTGTAATTTTAGTAGAGATGAGTTTTCACCGTGTTAGCCAGGATGGTCTCGATCTCCTGACCTCGTGGTCCGCCAGCCTTGGCCTCCCAAAGTGCTGGGATTACAGGCATGAGCCATAGTGCCCGGCCGCCTGTTGAAGTTTTATTGGCCTAAGACAGAATCTAATTTTTTCCAATTAGTCATCTGTATCCATGTTCTCTGATGCCCAAGGACAAGTTAACCTGACCACAGTCATCTGCCAGCATTTTCAAGGAGAGACCAGGCCATTGAAGGCAGTTTATTATGAATATTGCCACTGGGCTTACTTGGATAAAATCATTTTCTTTTTCCCTTCCTTCCTTCCCCTTCCTTCCTTCCTTCCTTCCTTCTTTCCTTCCTTCCTTCCTTTCTTTTCTTTCTGAATCTGCTAAAATGTTAACTGTTTATTTAGGGTGTTGAGATTATAGCTGCTATATGTTTATTTATTTGGCATCTCTTAGCTTACTTTTCTTTCTCTTTTTTTTTGCTCTTGTTTCCTAGGCTGGAGTGCAATGGCATGATCTTGGCTCACTGAAACCTCCGTCTTGCAGGTTCAAGTGATTCTCATGCCTCAGCCTCCTGAGTAGCTGGGATTACAGGCTCCTTCCACCACACCCATCTAAGTTTTTGTATTTTTAGTGGAGGCGGGGGTTTCACCATGTTGCCCAGGCTGGTCTTGAACTCCTGACCTGAGGTGATCCACCTGCCTTGGCCTCCCAAAGTGCTGGGATTACAGGCATGAGCCACTGTGCCTGACCTTCTTTTTTTTTTATTTTAATTTTTCCATAAGTTGTTGGGATACAGATGGTATTTGGCTAGATGAGTAAGTTCTTTAGTGGTGATTTGTGAGATTTTGGTGCACCCATCACCGGAGCAGTATACATTGCACCCTACTTGTAGTCTTTTATCTCTCGCTCCCCCACACTCTTCCCCACAAGTCTCTAAAGTCCATTCCATCATTCTTATGCCTTTGTGTCCTCATAGCTTAGCTCCCATATATCAATGAGAAGATACAATGTTTGGTTTTCTATTCCTGAGTTACTTCACTTAGAATAATAGTTTCCAATCTCATCCAGGTCACCGCAAATGTCATTAATTCATTCCTTTTTATGGATGTGTAGTATTCCATCATATATATATATATACCACAGTTTCTTTATCCACTCGTTGATCGATGGACATTTGATTTGTTCCATATTTTTGCAATTGTAAATTGTGCTGCTATAAACATGCATGTGCAAGTATCTTTTTCATAGAATGACTTCTTTTCCTCTGGGTAGATACCCAGTAGTGGGATTGCTGGATCAAATGGTAGCTCTACTTTTAGTTCTTTAAGGAATCTCCACACTGTTTTCCATAGTGGCTGTACTAGTTTACATTCCCACCAGCAGTATAGAAGTGTTCCCTGACCACTGCATCCATGTCAACATCTGCTGTTTTTTGATTTTTTGATTATGGCCATTCTTGCAGGAGGAGGTGGTATCGCATTGTGGGTTTGATTTGCATTTCCCTGGTCATTAGTGATGTTGAGCATTTTTTCATATGTTTTTTGGCCATTTGTATATCGTCTTTTGAGAATTGTCTATTCATGTCCTTAGCCCGCTTTTTGATGGGATTGTTGCCTCCAGAATCCAAAGCATGATAAGTCACTCACTTGATTCTATAATTTTCAAGGTTAGGCCACATGTCCACTGGAGGCTGGGTCATCAGCTCCACCTGAATCAGATGAGTTGAGGAAGGGAAAGAGAGCGCATCAGTGAAAATCCAGGTACCATTGTGAAAAGAAGGAAGAGCCGATGCTGGTCAGGCAACACGAGCAGGTGCCCATGGAGGGTGGTGAGAGCCAGGTTGGGGTTGCTCCCTGTGCCGTACTCCTAACCTCAGCCTGCAGAGCCTCCCAGGTGGACACTGTGATGCCAGAGTAGGAAGACTCAAGCCTTGTTCACTCACTCATTCATTCAACAGCCATTCATTGAGAACTAACGCTGGACAAGGTCCTGGGCTAAACACTGCCCAGGATGCAAAAGATGTAAGATGTGTTCCTGGTTCTTAAAGATCTCAGCTTTCTGGGTGGCTCATACTCACGTTATGTGTGATTGTTGAAAAAATGATGCCTTCTTTCTTGCTGGAGTTTCCTCATTTCCTCCTTCTAGCAAAGAGACATAAAGAAACCTGCGCAATTTTCCAGGAGGTATCTGACGTTCACTGAGATAATAGACTGTTCTTGTGACTGGCATGGAAAGTCCGTTTCAATGACAGAGTTCACTGTGGCCATGATAAGTGGGATTGGGAGCAGGGTGGCAGCCCACAGAGCCACCCACGTGCTCATCAGGTCTCACGGTCTTCTCTGTATCCAGGGAGGCCTCTGCCCCATTGCAGCTGAAGAACCAGCCATGGCCATGGGGTCTGCCCAAACGATGGCTGGGAGCTTGCTAGGCCACAATTGGGGTTTCCCTGACTTTGTCAGTTTTTATTTCCCATCATGCCAACTATGTTTCAAATTTCACAAAAAGAAGAAAAAAAATCAATGTTTTTTTTTCTTGCAAAGAACTTATATTTTCAACTTGAAGATGGAAAAATCAAAGTCAGAGTCCACAAGTTTCTGAGGAGCTCTTGACCTACTTTTGGGGAAACCAGTTCTTGTTGGAACCACAAACCAGGGCACGGCTTTCAATGGCTTCATGCAATGTGCTGTCAGAAGCATATGGGAAGCTGGGCACTGGGGGGCCCCATCAGAAAACCCATGCATGAGCGATGATGACCTGATGCTTGGCTGGGTTTTATCCCCACAAAGTGTCCAGATTGACACTGTAGATCTCATGTGGAACCTGCCAGGTCACCTTCCCTTTAGCCCTGTCCCCGTGCCTCCTGCTGACCTGCACCTGCAGTGCAGCCTGTGGCTCTCTCTGGCCTGAGTCAGGGAACACTTGAGGAACTCCTAGCTTAGAGGCTGGGGACTCAGTGTCCCATGCATCCTGCCCTTCCCTGTGGCTCAGTCAAGCAACTGGGCTCCTCCCTTTCTCCCACCAAGTTCTCATATTGCTGCCAACTCCCCCATCCGTACCTCCTGCCCCAGGTCCCAGGACCCAGACCCACTTCTACACCTCTGCATCGGGGCCTTGCCCATGGCCCTGACACCACACTGACTCTCCGACACCTCTCAGACACCTGTGGGGCATGCTGCGATTCTCACAGCTCCTTCCTGAGCTCCAAGGCCAGTGCTAGCATGGACTCCTTCTTGCATATTACACCATTCCTACGAGTCATAAACCCCAAAGCTTCTCTCCTGGAGGGAAAAATTAATTTTCACATTTTATGATTTCCTTTGATAGAACTTAGTGTTCATGTCACACACACACACACACACACACACACACACACACACACACACACACATATAATCTCTCTCTCTCTGTCTCTCACACACAGGAAACAAACTGCCCAGAAAGGCTCATACTCAGGACTCACAGTCCCAAAGGCCACCCTGTCTCCGCCATAGCTACCTGCCTGTGGGGGACTTTGTCTCACTTCATACTCAGAGAGGGTTACTTTGCTGCCCTGAGTCAGAGCACTTTCCTGATGTTGAGAATCAACATGCAATTAGGAAGAATGAGCACGGCCGTCCTCCTGCCTCCTCAGGTTCGGTCCCCGAGCTGTCTGTCTCTAGCTCAGTTCCATGGCTGGAGAGTAGGAGTTCCTTGTCAGTGTTCCCAGCCAGGGGAGCTAGAAATAGTTCAGGCAATTCTTATTCTTGTCCAAAGCAAGGATCAATGCAGCTGACCACAGTGGCCCTGTGTGGGCGCCACATGTCTGTGAATGTTGACTGACAGCAGAGGCAACTATCCCTGCATAGGCTGTCATGCAACTAAGCTGGAGAGATGCCTTGCACTTATGAAAACAAAAAGCTTCTGGCAGCTCCATCGTTCTGCAGTCCATGTGCTGTTGCTCCGGGGCAGGCTTCTCCCAGCTGCCCTTTGCCTATGGCATTCCTCCTCTTTCCAGTAACCAGGCACAGGGGAGGGGCGCATCATAGGGTGACAGCTGTGGAGGCTGTGTGCTCTACAGTGACCACAGACTCCCAGATGTTCTGGAAATGCACTAATCAAAGTGTCAATGGAATAGCAGAAAAACTCAGAAAAGAAGACACAAAGAAACACCACCATCAAATTAGAAAGGGTTGGTGTGTCTATCTTCTACACAGGTATTTCTGGATATGGAAAAGCCAACCAGCGTGGTCATAGTCATGGTCATTTCCATTCCTGTTCTTCTTCTTCTTCTTCTTTTTTTTTTTTTGAGACAGGGTCTCACTGTTGCCCAGGCTGGAGTGCAATTGGTGTGATCTAGGCTCACTGCAACCTCTGCCTCCCAGGTTCAAGCGATTCTCCTGCCTCAGCCTCCTGAGTAGCTGGCATTACAGGCACCTGCCACCATGCCCAGCTAATTTTTGTATTTTTGGTAGAGATGGGGTTTCACCATGTTGCCCAGCTGGTCTCAAACTCCTGGCCTTGGCCTCTTAAAGTGCTGGGATTACAGACGTGAGCCACCGTGTCCAGCCATTCTTGTCCTTTTGACGCAAGATTCTAATCACATCTTCTTGAGAACTCTCCGAACAATATACACTGTTTTATTCATGATAAAGAATTCTTATAACCAGCAATACCATCTATGATTTCGTATGTGATATGGTTTGGCTCTGTTTCCCTACTCAAATCTCATATTGAAGTGTAAGCCACAGTGTTGGAAGTGGGACCTGGTGGGAAGTGATTGGATCATGGGGGTGGAATTCTCATGAATGGTTTTGCACCATCCCATTGATGCTGTCTTTGCGATAGTGAGGGAGTTCTTGCAAGATCTGGTCATTTAAAAGTGTGTAGCACCTCTCCCACCCCTCTTGCTCATGCTCCAGCCATGTGACACACCTACTCCCCCTTCACCTTCCGCTGTGATTGGAAGCTTCCTGAGGCCTCCCAGAAGCTAAGCAGATGTTAGCACCATGCTTCCTGTATAGCCTACAGAGCCATGAGCCAATTAAATCTCTTTTCTTTATCAATAACCCAGCCTCAGGTGTTTCTTCATAGCAATGTAAGAACGGGCTAACACAGGGTGCTTTCCATTTTGTATGGCCAGTCAATTCCAGATTACCTGGACGATGGCCCTGCACGATGGGCTGGATTATAGAAAACTCCACAGCATGCAAACCTTATTGCTACATAGCTTTGAAATATTTCATGTAATTTTTTACACAAGCATTTGCTTCCTAATTACATGATGATGTTTTATTATTTTCTGCATCAGTGCTATTAGCGACCACATATACAGTGTGGACTCGATGTCCTTTGTGTTCACTCACTCACTCATCGAATGCTCTCAACACCTCCTGTGAGGTCGGGTTTTAGTGAGGATAACAATAACTACTTTAAGAAAGTGACTCAACAGTGCAGTGGCTCTAAGCAGATTGAAGATTACTTTTCTTTTATGTGGTGATCTCATTGTCCCAAGTTGGAAGGCGACAGGGTTAGGCTGATGACCATTGTGTATAGGTGGCTAGCAAAGCCACTCTGGTCACTGCTGCTCAAGCCATCAGAAACAGAGAACAAGGGTGTTGAGGTAGCATGCCAGCTCTTTTGAGGCCCAGCCTGGTCATGGCACAAGTCACTTGCATTCATGTTCCATGGGAGAGGACATAGCCACATGGCCATGCTTCAGGGGGTGCTGGGAAACCTGGCATAACCAGCCAGCGCCTGCCAGGCCAGAACTCTGCTGTTACAGAGAGGGGATAGCTGCTTGCATCCTCCACCACTGAGAGTTGCTATCTGTCTTAGCTTAGGTAGCTTAAAAAATCAGAAATTTGGCTGGGCTCGGTGGCTCACGCCTGTAATCCCAGCACTCTGGGAGGCTGAGGTGGGCAGATCATGAGGTCAGGAGTTCAAGACAAACCTGGCCAACATGACGAAACCCCATCTCTGCTAAAAATACAAAAATTAGCTGGGCGTGGTGGTGGGTGCCTGTAATCCCAGCTACTTGTGGGGCTGAGGCAGGAGAATTGCTTGAACCCGGGAGATGGAGGTTGCAGGGAGCTGAGATCGTGCCATTGCACTCCAGCCTGGGCAATAAGAGTAAGACTTCGTCTCAAAAAAAAAAAAAATCAGAACTTTATTGCTCACAGTTCTGGAGGTGGGAAGTCCAAGATCAAGGTGGCAGCAGATTCAGTGTCTCATGAGGGCCCACTTCCTGGTTCAGAGATAGTGCCTCCTAGCCATATCCTCACAAGATAGATAAGGCAGGGGCCTCTCTGGAGTCTCTTTCATAAGGACACTGATCCCATTCATGAAGACTCTGTCCTCGTGACTTATCACTTCCCAAAAACCACACCTCCTAACACCATCACACTGGGGATTAGGTTTCAATATAGGAATTTGGGGAGGATGGAAACATTCAGATCATACCATTATCTTATTGACATTTTATAGGTGAAGAAACTCAAGCACAGATCAATTAAAAAATTCCTCTGAGAGCACAGATAATCGGAGTGGAGATAGGATTCTTGCTCAGGCTACCTGGCTTTAAGTCCGTGCCTTTGATCATTATGCTACGTTAGATTTATAACACAATATTAACTTTAACATATAATTAATACACATCTTCACATTTGACTGCCTGCTGTATCTTTCTGCCCCAAAGCCTCAAACTCATTCATTTGTCAAGAAATTTCCTTGAGATATTCGACAGCGGGCTGGAGAATTAGGTGCCACCCATATTCTTAAGTCCGGGGTGAAAGCCAGGACTCAGATGTGGTCAGACCGCTGAGTAGCTGGCAGGGAGTGGATGGGCAGGGCCTCCTGCTAGACTGGCCAGTGGGTATGATCTGCTCCTCAAGGGCCAGTTGGGGGATCTGTGGCTCAAGGCTTTGTATGGAACATTGCCTCCTTTTCCCCCAACTCCAGGCACTCGTACTCCTTCCTGCTGCTTTGAGAGACCCCAGGGCTACAGCAAGAACTTGTGGTGCATGCAGAAGAGCCAGACAGCAGCCCAAATATCATAGTTCACACATCCTTCTGCAATGGCAAGGGGCTGGGAGGCATCTGCTCTGGTCGGAAGAATTTTAACAGACTTTTTGCATCTTAAAGAGCTGATTGCTACCGTCATCAACTTCATCTCATTGTGGCCTCGTTTTATATTTTTCCTTCATCCCTTTGTACCCCGTCATTAGTATGGGATTAAGAGACAGAGCAATTGGGAAGTCAGAAAAACAAAACAGCAAGTTCCACTTTAGGGCAATTTGCTGTTATAAAGGCCTTTCCCCTTGTGCTACCTGGAGGTAGCCAGATCTTCTTGGGCCCATGGTCAGAAGGGGCACGGAGGCCTGCAGAGATCTGCAGGCTGCTGTAGATCATTAGGAGGTAGGAGCAGGTCTCCCCATCCAGGCTCTGACACATTCACCCAGAACACACTGCCACAAAGCCTCTGAACGGACAGCAGCTTTCTCCTTAATTAGATGGTTTTCCTGGCTAGGGGTTGGCAGGGCCAGCATAGCGGCTAGCCTGGGTTAATTTAAGTGAGTATCCCGATCCAGTGATCTATAACTTTCAGAAGGGTGAAAACCAGTGTTCCCCAGAACCAAGCATTTCCATATTCAAGCACCTAGGCAGTCTCGCTTACACTTTGGGGGACTCCAGGCACCCTGAAACCCTTCCTTGGGCTCCCTACATAAGGATCTGAACTTTTCAATCCCTTTGCTTTATTTGTTAATCACCCTAATGAAAATAGATCAACACAATTTTGTATCATTAAAGAGTAAATAAATTATAGTAAATCCACAGAAAACTACACAAAAGTTATAAAGAAAGAGATGGCTATTGTACAACAAAATAAAAAAATCTAAATTACAGCTAAGTTTGAAAAATAAAATAAAAATTAATTCATTTAACTAACAAATGTGCATGCGTATGCGTTTGCGTGTGTGTGTGTGTGTGTGTGTGTGTGTGTGTAAAGACAGCATTAGAGAGAGACAATATGAGTCTGCTACCCACTGGGGACACAGCAACGAATAAAACAGAATCTCTTCCCTGGGAGTCAGTGCTGCTGGAGCCATGCCAGGAAACAGGGCCAAGGATGGGATTGGTGATCCATGCAGGACCACTGGGTTTTATTCTGAGAAGACAGGGAGCTGTTGGAGGGCTTGGAGCAGGGCAGGGGCATGACATCCCTGCTTTGATTTTTAAAATTTCAGTCTGTCTATTCCAAAAAGCATTGCTTCTGGGTGGTTTGAAGCAGGGAGAGCCGTCCAGTGGCCACTGCAGTGCTTCGGGGGAAGTGGAGTTGTGTTTGAACCATTGTAGTAGGGGTGGGGTGGTGAGAGGCCAGCAGGCTCTGGGTGGACTTTGAGGACGGAGCCCCCAGGATTTGCTGGTGTTTCAGATGGCGGCAACAAAAGAGAGGAACCAAAGAGGATTCCCAGTATTTGGCCAGTAAATGGTGCTGACTTTACTAAGCAGAACTGGGAGAGGAGCAGGCTTGGCAGAGGCAAAGTCAAGGGCTCTGCTTTGAACCAGTTTGCATGGCTAATTCAGACTGAGGTGTCAGGTGGGCGGTTGGAGGTCCAGCTTCAGGCTGGAGGAACATATTTGAGAGTCATCTTCTTTTTTAAAAAATAATTTCAGCTTTTATTTTAGATTCAGGGAGTATGTGTGAAGGTTTGCTAAAAGGGTTTATTGCATGATGCTGAGGCTTGGGGTACAAATGATCCCATCACTCAGGTGGTGAGCATAGTACCCAAGAGGTGGTTTTCAGCCCTTCCCCACCTCCCATCTCTAGGAGTCCACGGTGTCTACTGTTCCTGTCTGTATGTCCATGTGTACTCAATGCTTAGCTCCCTCTTACAACTGAGAAGAGAGCCGTGTTCTTCTAAACATTATGTAGAGCTGTGGGGCTAGAGGAATCAATGAGGGGAGAGCCGTGATTATCCCCTCCTTTAGAAGTCACTCATATGAGGAGGACCCAGCTTGGCAGGCAGAGGAGGACCATGGGGTGAGGCAGGAGAGCCTGAAGAGGCGGAGGTAGAAGCTGGAACCCAAGGGCAGAGAGAGCTTTGGGGAAGAGGGAGTGATCCTTGCTAATAACTGCTGCAGATACCACTCATGGAGGCAGTAGATATCCACATAGGTGACAGAGACAGACAGACTCAGCAGCAGACATGAGATGCATGGAGAGTTCTGGAGGACCATACACCCAAAGGGCTACGGATTGGGATTGGACAGCGAGGGGTAAAGGAAGCATGCTCTTTGCACTCCTGTATCAGGGGTCTGTGCATTTCTTGGGGAATTAAAAAAGAACAATATGTTAAAGGGGGAATTATCTGCAGTGCAGAGAAGGTCTGTGCCTACTTGGGCTCATGCCTTTTACATCCTCCTACAGGGGGTGCTCAGGGTGACCCACCTCTCCTTCTCCTTCCACCCTGTAGAAATGGCTTCCTTCCATCCACAGGCACCTGCCTCTCCCTCCTCCCCGACCTGGGGCCCGCTCCATGTTCCAATCCTTTTAGCACATCCTTACTTCCCTGGAAGACGTGTTCTTCCTCCAAATCCATGAACACAGGCAGGAGAAAGCAATTCCAGAATTGGTTGCAGTTCTCTGTGCAGGTAGAAATAATATGCGATGCTGTGACATTTGCAACCGACTGCCGTGTTGATTTGGTTTTGTCGTGATTGATGTTTTATCAACGAGCTCTTCCCTGAGCTATTTCAGGCTCTGTTTTGTGTAGATGATTGAAGACATTCTGAAAATTTCTTTATTTCTGAACAATCCATTCAATCCATACTTTCCTAACCCTCTGAGGGAAAACAAATGCAACACTACACACACACACACACACACACACACGTGCACAAACACACACTTTTTCAATCTCTACCAAGCTGAGAGTCTCCCGGTAAATGAGCCAATTTGTTTTCATTTAAATATGAAAATAGGATAAGGAGAAGTATACCTCATGAACATGCATGAGAGAGTACAGAGCCGTAAGCTGGGGAAAAATAAAGATAAATTTGTCACATCTCTCATGATGAATGATGTGTGTGCAATTAAACAGCCAGCCTGGCGGCTGTGAGCACCTTGGTGTGTTATATTTTTATCTGCAGGGCCGTTACTCTCATGTTTCCTGTCACAGAATCTAAACATCACAGATCTGCAGAGGACAGGCGAGGATGCTGAGTGATGCCAAGCAGTTCTGAAAGTAGGTCAGTGGGTCACCATGCGGACCTGAACAGAAAGGACATGTACCTGACCCCTGAGAGGCCAAGGCTCCCACAGCCAGGGCAGTGGCTGGTGGAAACCCTGGATGAGGAAGCTGGAGCCAAGGCAGCTGCATCCCAGGGGGCAGGATTGCCCTGGTACACACCTGAGGAAAGCCAGGCTTTAAAGTGGGGCTGCAGGAAGAGTGAAAGATGGGGCTGGAAGGGTCCCTCTGGAGTTATGCAGCTGCAGACACCTTTGGCATGGAACAAGAGAAGAGTGTATGTGTGTTTGGGTGCCCACATTTGGAGGAAAGACATAGGGTCTATGCACATTGTGTGGAGCTTACTAAAGGACAAGCAGGTGAAACACTGCTTAATGCAGTCTTTCAGAGTACGGAGGGAGCTGGGAGGCTTATTCAGCTCAACCTCTTGCTCAGAGCAGGAATCCCTGCCCCGAATCCCCAACCAAGAGCCTGAATGCCCAGCTCCACCAAATTCAAGGTGTGAAGGGTGCCTCGGGGTGTGCAGGTGGGTCCCTTCCCATCTATCGTGCTGGCGCTTCGAAGCAGGCCGGGGCCTGCAGGTTCTGTCCACCCTCAGAGTGGATTCGGCTCAGCTGCTGGATGGAGCTGTACCCCTTTCCATTCCCACGTTTCCTGCACGAGTCTTCCCAGCCTGGCATCGCGCCTGCACAGCCTTCCCACATCGAGGCTGTGGGAACCTGCTCAAGACCCCTTAGGTGGTGCCAACATCTATTCCTCACCCCTCAGTGGCCACCTGTGGGCCCTGCTCTGGCCTTTGGAGGTGCACGCAGGCACCCACCAGCTCTGAGGCCGCCAGCCACATGCCAGGCCCTCAGTCTTCTCACTGCCTGGCTCCACCAGCCATCTCTCCTGTAGCATGGTCTCTGGCACTGTCCCTATCCCAGCCACTTCAGGTGCCTCCTTTTAATTCCTCAACTGTGCCATGTGCAGCAGGAGGATTTTTTACATTTTATTTTAAATGAACCAAGAACATTTTAAGGAAGAACGGGGTTTGGATTGAAACAAGGTAAGCAGTTTTGGTGATGTTTCCAGGACAGGTTGAGGAAGACTCACAGTGTCCCAGGAGTTACAGAGTGGGGCACTTGGAGGAGTGTTGTCTCCTGGGCTCAGTCCCCAACAGAGAGGGGAGGGTGGCTGGCAACACTTGGCTCCGGTAGCTGTTCAGGGTGGGGAGGCCCTGCCTTACCTGAGTCTGAGCTGTCGCCCTAACTCTACTTTGATGCTGCCGGGATGACTTTTTGATCAGCAGAGGAGTCTCTAGACCTGGCGACTTTGGCTAAAGGGAAAAAGGGAGCTGCTGTCCACCAGAAGTCTCCTTGCAAACCTGTGGAAGATGATCCGGGCCTCCAACCCAGTGCCTTGGGAGAAAAGTACACTCCCTGGGATGGTGAATTTCCACCTGGGGCAGGAGGGGACCCAGGCCCACCTCCTGCATGCTCCTGACTCAGAGAGGAGAGCCCTAAGGGTCACAGCTGGCTTGGCTCTGAGCCCGCTCGACTCCACCCCCTGCACTGAAGCCTCTTCTGGGCATGCAGGGACACCCCCAAATTTGCCTGCAGGGCATGCGCTCTGGGCAGGTCTCTGGCCCACAGCAGTAGCCTCTGATTCCTTCCTTCCTTCTTTCCCTCCCTCCCTCCCTCCCTCCCTCCTTCCCTCCCTTCCTTCCTTCCCTTCTTCCTTCTTTGCTTCCTTCCTTCCTTCTTTCCTTCCTTCCTTCCTTTTTTTTCTTTTCTTTCTTTTGCTTTCTTTTTTGGAACAAGATCTCTCCCTGTCACCCAGGCTGGAGTGCAGTGGTGCAATCCTGGCTCACTGTGGCCTCGAGCTCCTGGGCTCAAGTGATCCTCCCCAATCAGCCTCCAGAGTAGCTGACTCCTCCTGTCTTGACTTCTGTGTTTCTTTGGCAGATGTCTTGCAGATTTGCTGGGTAATTATCCTGATTCTTATTCTCAGCCCCTTTCTAGATTTCAGGTTGCAAAACATAAGTTGCAATTTCCTCATGACTGTTTTCCCTGCAGTTTCTGCCCATGGCCCTGGGGATGGGAGGGCTTCATGGAGGCCTCAGATTCCCCTCTCCACCGCCAACCAGGCTTCCTGTAGAAATGACATTAGTCAACAAAGCAAACAAATGGCATGCCTTTCTACTCCATTGTTACTCCTTCTGAAAAGTAACTCGCTATTACTATACATGGACAAGATGTCCTAGAACTTCCAATAGACAATTCTAAGAATTTTCACCTCATATTTTAAGGTGTGATTTATTTTCTATCCCCATGTAGCTCTCTGCGCAAAGCACACTGAATAGCTGTTGGGCACTAGCACTAAACACACCAGGTTCTGCCAAGTTTCAGGGTCACAGAGAAGTTTTTATCTGAGAAGCAGCTTGGACCACAGGACAAATGAGTCTGTGGAAGGCACATTTCTGTGTCACAGCACCCCACAAAGCTGACTCAAAGCAAGCAGGAAAATGATACTTTGAGCTACAAGATTCAATTGCTCTGCCTCCCAGACACCCCCTGGTGCAGGAAATGGGGATCCTTCCTTGAGATAAGAAACAGCAACCGAAATAACATTGTTCTCACACCAACAATGGTGAGCAATAAGCAAGTTCCATGCAATTGTGCACGAAGCGGGGAGTGTGATAATGATGGCTCCTCAACATCTCCCTCTCCTGGGACCACATCTGTCATGGGGTCTAGGGGAGAAAAACATCCCAGAGAAGAGCTCCTTCTGCAGCTTTGCAAACAGCCAAGTGCAATGCTGAACCAGCGACGAGATGAACACAGGGAGGTGAATGGAGGGAGGTGAACAGAGGCCCTCAGCGTGCTCAGCCTGTACTGCATGTGTCCCTGGCCAGTGCAGAAGCTGGTCACGCTGTGAATGAAACCTGCCCCGGGCATGGGTGAAAGGCACTGCAAAGACTAGCAGGCATCTGTTCGTGGCTCGCTGTCTGCAGCCTCCTGAGGGAGGCCCGGATTTTCTCTTCTGCACTGCCCAACGATCCCTCTGCATGCGTGTCTATCACCCCCGTTGGACTGAGAGCAGCTCAAGAAGAGGCTCCATGCCTTATTCATCTTTTTTATCCTACCTGCTCAAATGATAGCAGCCAGTATTTATGAAGCACTTACTATATGCCAGGCTGTGTGCTAAGTAGGTCACACGCATTGCCTTTTATTCCCTACACCAGACTTGAGTGGTTGATACTATTTTCCTAATGTTAAAGATGAGGAATTAGCCCAAGTTTAGCTGCTGGTGAGTAGAGAAGCCAGGACTTGAATTACACAGGCTGACTTGGCCAGGAGGCTCTTTTCTTACTTTTTTTTTTTTTTTTTTTTTTTTTTTTGAGACAGAGTCTGGCTCTGTCACCCAGGCTGGAGGAGGGCAGTGGTGTGATCTCAGCTCACTGCAATCTCCGCCTCCCGGGTTCAAGTGATTCTCCTGCCTCAGCCTCCCAAGTAGCTGGGATTACAGGTGACCACAACCATGCCTGGCTAATTTTTGTATTTTTAGTAGAGGCAGAGTTTCACCATGTTGGCTGGGCTGGTCTTGAATTTCTGACCTCAAGTGATCCGCCTGCCTCGGCCTCCCAAACTGCTGGGATTACAGGCATGAGCCTCCCCACCTGGCCCACCAGCAGGCTTGTAACCATTGTAGCCCACAGTTCTTTCTATGAACCTTCTGTACAGAGCTGAGTGGCACCCCTGGGTGGTGGTTGCCAGCTAGGAAGTCAACTCTCCCAAGGTCTTAAGATGCCATATCAGTACACACTAACAGCTCATTCCAAAGCCAGTCTTCTGCTATAGAATTGGCACAAAGACCTTCCCTGTGCCATTGTCAGATACCTGAGAACAGGCACCATGATTCATCTTTGTTTCTCCTAGAAACCCCTGTTTAGTGCCTTGTAGATAGAAAATGCTCAACATTCGGTTAACTGAATTGAATGCATTCACTTTTCATCTAGAGTTATAGATTAGCACAATATAGGGCCCTTTAAGACTAAACAGCATTGATCATTTATCACATTGTAGTCACAATGAGCTTAACGATAAGCTGAATGATGAACACGAGAAAGAAGCACACGCCCTGCAGAAGTTGGATTGCGAGCCTGTGTCACACCCAGTGATTTTTCGAGGACACATGGGAAGTGGCTCTCTGGTGGTTGCCATGAGAACCATCACCCGGGACTCCTGTTTTAAGAATGCAGTGTTTGCAGTTGTGTGTGTGATGTGTATGTGTGTGACAACGGCTGTGCATGTGTGGGCAGCATATGCCAATGGTCTTCTCAGGGAAGATTGTCCTTGGGAAAGCTCAGTAGCAGACAACCAAACCCTCCCAGGTATCCATTGATGAAGACCCTGATCATCATTCATGCCTACTCCATCAGGTGACATCATCAATCCCAGATGGGAATTCTCAGGCTTCATTGAGAATCTCTGATGTGAGGAGCTCTGTGCTAGGTGTTGTGTGAGAAACCAGAAGCCAAAGCAGATGTCTTGGACCTTGAGAGAATATGAGTCCTCTTGAGAACTCCGATCCCCTATACACTTTGCCCAGCTTCCCCAGTGGTAACATTTTGCTTTTTTTGTTTTGTTTTTTGAGATGGAGTCTCGCTCTGTCACCCAGGCTGTTGTGCAGTGGCATGATCTCGGTTCACTGCAACCTTCGACTCCCAGGTTCAAGCAATTCTCTTGCCTCAGCCTCCTGAGTAGCTGGAATTACAGGCATGTGGCACCATGTCCAGCTAATTTTTGTATTTTTAGTAGAGACAGGGAGATGGGATTTCACCATGTTGGCCAGGCTGGTCTTGAATGCCTGACATCAAGTGATCTGCCTATCTCGGCCTTCCAAAGTGCTGCGGTTACATGCGTGAGCCACCGTGCCCTGCCCCCAGTGGTAACATTTTGTAAAACTGTGTATAACATCATAACCATGTCATCAACATTGATACAATTCACTGATTTATTCAAATATCCCAAGTTTCCCTTGTACTGGTGCATGTGTGTTTGTGTGTATATTAGGTTCTATATAATTTTATCACCTAAGTGGATGCATATCTCCACCATAGTCAAGATACTAAATCCCTTTAACATCCTCAGAACCCCTCATGTAACTCTTAACTCTCCTTAACCCCTATCCTTAACCTCTGGCAGCCACTAATTTGTCCATCATTTTAAATATTTTTTCATTTCAAAAATGTTACAGAGAAAAAAATCACACAGTATAGAAGCTTTTGAGATTGGCTTTTTTTTTTCCACTCAGCACAAATTGCTGGAGATTCACTAAGTTGTGTGTATTAAGAGTTTGTTCTTATTATGAGTAGTGTTCCATGGCATGCATGCACAACAGTTTGTTTAACCGTAAACCTATTGAAGGACATCTGTGCAAATTCCTGGACTAGAACAAATAAAGCTGCCATGGACATTCATGTATAACATGTACAGGTTTTTGTGTGGATGTTAAGTTTTCATTTCCCTGGGATAAAAAAGAGAGTTCAGTTGCTGAGTCATACAGTAGTTGCATGTTGCATGTTGACTTTAGTTTTTTTAGAGACAGTGTCTTGCTCTGTCACCTAGGCTGGAGTACAGTGGTCCAAACACAGCGCACTGCAGCATTGAACTCATGGACTCAAGTGATCCTCCTGCCTCGTCCTCCTGAGTAGCTAGGACTTCAGGCATACACCACCATGCCCATCTAATTTTTAATATTTTTTTTTTTCAGAGACGGGGTCTTGTTATGTTGCCCAGGCTGGTCTTTAACTCCTGGCCTCAAGTGATCCTGCTACGTCAGCTTCCCAAAGTGTTGAGATTATAGGCATGAATCACCAAGCCTGGCCTGCAGGTTTAGTTTTATAAGAGACTTCCAAATTGTTTTCCAGAGTGCCATTTTACATTCTCACCAACAGTGTATGAGCGATCCAGATTATCCTCATCCTTGCCAGCTTTTTGTATTGTTGCTATTTTTTATTTTAGTCATTGTGACAAGTGTGTAGTGATATCTCATTGTGTTTTTTTCTTTTTTGGGGGGGGTCGCGGGTGGGGCAGTCTCACCCTGTTGCCCAGGCTGGAGTGCAGTGACACAATCTTGGCTCACTGCAACCTCTGACTCCTGGGTTCTCATGCCTCAGCCACCCGGGTAGCTGGGATTACAGGCACATGCCACCATGCTGAGCTAATTTTTGTATTTTAGTCGAGACGAGATTTCACCATGTTGGCCAGGCTGGTCTTGAACTCCTGACCTCAAGTGATCCGCCCACCTTGGCCTTCCAAAGTGCTGGGATTACAGACATGAGCCACTGCTCCAGGCTTCATTGTGATTTTAATTTGAAATTCTTTAACGGCTAACAGTGTTGAATATCTTTCCACGTGCTTATTTGCCATCTGTATATCTTCTTTGGTGAAATGTCTGTGTATATCTTTTGCCCATTTTTAAATGGGATTGTTTGGTATTTACTGTTGAGTTTTGAGCATTCTTTTTATATTCTAGATACTAGTCCTTTGTTGAATATATGGTTTGCAAATATTTTCTCCCAGTCTATAGCTTGTCTTTTCATCCTCTTAACATGAGCTTTCACAGAGCAAAAGTTTTTAGCTTTGGTGAGGTCCAATTCGTCAATTTTTTCCTTTTATAGATCATGCTTTTGGTGTCAAGTCTAAGAACTTTTTGCATAGTCCTACTTTTTAAAGACTTTCGCCCATATGTTTTTCTAACAGTTTTATAGTTTTACATTTTACATTTAAGTCTATGATCCAAATTGAGTTAATTTTGTATAAAGTGTGAAGTTTAGGTCGTAATTCACTTGTTTGGCCTACAAGAGTCCCATTGCTCCAGCATTATCTATTGAAAAGGCAATTCATCCTTTATTGAATTGCCTTTGTACCTTGTTAAAAATCAGATGGGCATGTATTTGTGTGGGTTTGTTTTTGAGTTTATTATTCCATTGATCTATGGTCCATCCCTCTGTAATACAATGCTATCTTGATTACTATAGTTACATAGAGGTCTTAATAATGGGCAGAATGAGTCCTCTCACTTTATTTTTATTTGTCAGAATCGTTTTAACTATTCTAGAGCCTGTACTTTACCATACATACTTTAGACTAAGTTTGTCAATATCTACAGAAAACTTTCCTGGGATTTAGGTAGCAATTGCTTTAAACCTATAGATCAATTTAGGGAAAATTGACATATTTATTATGTTGAGTTTTCCAATCTGAGAACACAGTAAGTATGCCTCTCCATTTATTTAGGCTTTTTAAAATTTCTTTCATCAACATTTTATAATTTCCAATATAAACATCTTGTACATGTTTTGTTAAAAGGACACCTAACTATTCATCTTCTTAGGAGTGACTGTAAATAGTATTGTATTTTTTATTGCAGTTCTTACATTTTTATAGTTAGTATATAGAAATGGAATTCATTTTTGTTAATCTTGTATCCTGTGACATTGCTGAACTCACTTATTAGTTCTAAACATTTTTTCATAGATTCCTGGGGATATTCTGTAGAGACAATCATATCTCCTATGAATATAGTTTTAGTGCTCTGTTTTCTATGTGTATGTATTTTATGTCTTGTCTTTACTGAGACTTCATTGGTTATAACTTCCAGTACTATGTTGAATAAGGGTGGTAAGAATGGGCATTGTCTTGTTCTTGATCTTAGGAGGAAAGCATTCAGTCTTTCCCCATTAAGTAGGATTTTGTGGATTTTTTTTTGTAGGTACCCTTTATCAGTTGAGAAAATTCCCTTCCATTCCTAACTTGCTGAAATTTTTATTATGAATAAAATTAGAGTTTTGTCAATTGCTATTTTTGTGTCAATTGATATGATATGATATTTCTACTTTAGCTTATTGATGTGATGCCTAACTTTCAATTATTTTTTGAATGTCAAAATAGCCTTGCATATCTGATAGAAATCACACTTGTTTATGGTATATAATTCTTTTTATACATTATTGGATGAAGTTTGTGGATATCTTGTTGAGAATTCAACATCTAACTTCCTGTGACTTGTCGGTTTGTAATCTTCTTTGTACTGTCTTTTCCTGGTGTTTGTATTAGGGTAATACTGACCACGTAAAATGAGTTTTTAAATGTTCTCTCCTGTTTTACTTACTGGAGGAGATCGTGTAAAATTGGTGTCAATTCTTCTTTAAATGTTTGGTAGAATTCTCCAGTGAAACCATGTGAGCCTAGAGATTTCTATCTTAAGAGCTTTTCATTTACTAATTTAATTTTCTTCATGGTTATAGGGTTATTCTGACTGTCAATTTCATCTTGGTTGACTTGGTAGTTTGTTGTTTCAAGGAATTAGTCCACTTCTTTTAAGTTGTCAAATATGTGAGTTTAATGTTAGTCATAGTGGTCCCTTGTTTGAAATGGTTGCAGAATCTATAGTGATATATCTCATTTCATTCCCGACATTGGTGATTTGTGTCTCCTCTCATTATATTTTTGTCAGTCTTGTTAGAGGTTTATCAATTTTATTGATTGATTCTAAAGAACCAGTTTCTGTTGTCAATTTTCTCTATTATTTTCTTTTCCTATTCTCAATTTCATTGATTTCCACTCATATTTATTTTCTTTCTTTTGCTTGTATTGGTTTTATTTTGCTCTTTTCTTTCTAGTTTCTTGAAGTAGGAACTTAGATTATTAATTTCAGATATTCTTCTTGTGTAATATAACATTATTGCCAAAAATTTCCTCACAGTACTGCTTTAACTGCATTCCACAAATTTTCATAGGTTGTATTTTCATTTCATTCAGTTCTGCGTATCTTTAAAATTTTCCTTGTAGGCTTTCTTTCAACCCACAGATTATTTATAAGTATGTTGTTCAATTACTCCTTGCTTGTTATTTTCCTGTTGTTTTTCTATTATTGATTTCTTGTTTGATTCCATTATGACTGGGTATCACACTACATGATTTCAATTCTTTAAAATTATTTGAGGGGCTGGGCACAGTGGCTCACGTCTGGAACTCCAATGATAGGAATCTTGGATCTTCTCTTATTGTCTCAAAGGTCTCTGAGTCTCTGGTCTTTTTTTCAGTCAATTTTCTCATTGTTTTTCAGATTGAGTGAATTCCATTTTTTTTGTCTTCAAGTTCACGTATATCCTCTCTCATCTTCAGTCTACTATTGAGTTCATACAGTAAGTTTAAAAATCTCTGTTATTGTATTTTTCCAGGTCTTCATTTTCATCCGGTACTTTTTTATAACTTCTATCTTTTCTCAGATTTTTAATTTTCATTTTAAGAGAATTTATAACTTGAAGCATTTTATGATGCTACTTTAAAATCCTTGTCAGATAATCTCAACATCTGATTCATCTTGGTGTTGGTGTCAGCTGCCTGTCTTTGCTCCTTTGAGTCGAGATTTTTTATTTTGGTTCTTGGCATAAATGGTGAGTTTTTAATTATATCTTGGATATCTTGTCTGTTATGTCAGGAGAGTCTGGGTCCTATATAAATATTTCATATTAGCAGTCAGGTACCCTATTTAGGTTTAGCACATGCATCTCGCCTTACCTTATGGACTCTGGTTCTAATGTTAGTTTGATTTCCAGAGCCTTTGGTCTGCTAGGTTTCTCTGGTGCTTCTGGATATCCCATTGGTCCCTGATGATGCTGCCTGAGTGGGTAGAAGGGCTTTCCCTTGTCATGGAAATTCAGTTTCTTTCAGTGGGTGGTGTCCCCCGACCTGCACTCCCCCTATTCCTTTCCTTGGTATTTCTGGGTAGGGAAGGCAATTCTCTTAAAAAGCAAGAAAGTGGTGAGGAGAGAAGATGATCTAGGAGCAAGCCTTAGGAACCTCAACATTTAAACATTGTAGTGGAGGAGCTGCTGGCAATAGAAAAGGAGGGACAGGATAACAGAAGTGCTGGGAGTGAGTATTTCAGAAGCAAGAGAAGAGAGTATTTCAAGAAGGAGAGCATGGACAGCCATGCCAAAGGCTGTTGAAAAGTCACGTAGGATGAACACTGAAAAGTTTCCGCTGGATCGGGCTACATAGCGGTCATCCGTTAGAGCAATTTTGACGGAGAAGTAAGGGTAGAGGCCAGAGTGAAACAGTTTGAAAGTTTAGATGCCCCCTCTAGTTAAGGCTACCCCCGGTTTCTTCCAGCATGGAAAGTGAGAGGGGAATGATGCCTAGAAATCAACGGCATCTCTGCATGAACTAAGGAGGATCTAATGCAACTATAGGAGAGGAGCAGGAGGAAGCTGCTACCGTTTGCACTAAAATCAACAGACGTGAGCTTCCCTGGACCCCAGAGTCACCGGCACCATCCTCCCAGGCTCTGCCCCGTTCTACTGTCCAATTCTCAGGGTCCACCACTGCTCACTGCTGCCCACACAGATCCAGCATCCCTGCAGCCCTCCCCTCTCTGCCAAGGGGTTACCATGCCATCACGGATTATTTCATTCTCTGGCTCTTCCCCAGCACTGTCAAGGTTCCCATTTCACCAACCAATGAATGCAAATGTTTAAAGAATATAACAGCTACTTTTAGAAGGGAATCATCTCTAGAATGATTTTAAAAGTCACTGCCTGTTATAGGAACATTCGTTGAGAGAAAAAGAAATCACCAATTTAGTCTCCCTGGACTGGACAGCAATTCTGAGACGCTGGCTATCTAAATCATTTCCCCCAAAACGCACTGAGAAAACACAAAGAAGGAAAAGTAGTGATTGTTTTTACATGTTTAGTTGGTGAGTTTTATCACAGCACATTAATTTTAGCTAGGTTAACACAGATAGAGTAGAATTCTATCTACGCAATTGGAATTCTATCTACGCAATAGCTTTATAGCCATTGCAGCTACCTTGCAGGCAGTGTGCAAATACCCTTCTCAAGGACCTTTGAAAAGTGAGGTGAAACAGAAGGTGTTGAGATTATTTGCAAATGTGGGTTCTATTCTCAAACTGGCACCAATAAGATGGGTTACTATAAATATTTGACGTAATTATCTGGATCTTGTTTATCGTTTGAAAAAGTGCCTTAAATCATCCCTAAGGTGTGTTTTAGCTCTAATATTATAAGAGTTTCCAAACACTTTTACTATTTAAAATGATTAAAGATTCATGGGTTGTAACCACTTGCTGTTACCTTTTTTTGTTGTTTTTTAATTTGAGAGAGCGTCTCACTCTTTTGCCCAGGCTGGAGTGCTGTAGTACAATCTCGGCTCACTGCAACCTCCACCTCCCAGGTTCAAACGATTCTCCTGCCTCAGCCTTCTAAGTAGCTGGGATTACAGGCTTGTGCCTGCCACCATGATCGGCTAATTTTTTTTTCTTTTGTTGTTGTTGTTGTTTGTATTTTTAGTAGAGACAGAGTTTTGCCACGATGGCCAGGTTGGTCTCGAACTCCTGACCTCAGGTGATCTGCACGCCTCGGCCTCCTAAAGTGCTGGGATTACAGGTGTGAGCCACCATGCCCAGCTTAGCTGTTAACCTTTTCTAAAGCTTACTTTTTGATCAGAGCCCCACCCATAATTGTTAAATGCTTTCCATCGGGAATTGTGTTGTGTGGAAGTTTCCAGAAAAGCAGGGACACTGCCTTCTCAGTCAACTGGCACAGAAATGGCCTACTACAGTTATGCTCCAGTAGGAGCACCTGGCTGTCAGATGAAGGAGGTGCAAGACAATGCAGGCTACTTTCCAGGGAAGCCTAACCCAGGCGAGGAACAACTAGCAGAGCTGAATGCTAGTCTGGCTTCCTCTCTCACCCCCTGCCTCTCTTTTCCTTCCTTTCTTTGTGAAAGGGAGCAAAACAACACTGAGTGAGATAATGCCTGTAAACCTGTAAACCCTGGGCAATATCGTGATAGCCCTGATGGAGAAGCCCAGCGTAGTGACCCCCTGGGGGCAAGAGCAGCCAGCACAGCAGCCCCAGCCCATGGAGCATATTCCCACGGGGCAGCCTGGGAACCAGGACCCGCCTCATGCCCAGACTCCCGTGGGTGGGCCCACTCCTCACTGCCTTCCCCCTTCTGTCAACTGCCAGCTAGAGGCCTTTTCCCTCGCGGAGCCTAGGATGCATCCAGCCCACTTCAAGCCAGTCGCTTTGACACTGCACATTTTATTCCCCTTAAATATATTCATGGCAGCAACAAAGCTTTCAGCACAGAGCAGATGCAGGGTCAGAGCAGAGTGAGCTGGAACGTATTTTTTTCTAGAGCCCGGACTTTCTGAGGCTCTCCTGGACATCATCTGCCCCGCAGCCTTGCTCCAAACCTGGGTGGCACATAGGGCCCAGGGGCCCGGTGGTTAGACACACAGTTTTCTCTCTCATTCTTTCTGTTTCTTTACAGAGATTTCTCAGGATTCTCTTGTTCCTGTTCTACTGAGGATCCTCGAGGTGACCTATATTGTATAGAACCTGGATTGAGAGGCTGCTCACCCCACTGGGCACAATTATCATTTCAAAATGGAATTCCAAGGTCACGTGGTTAGCGTATGAAAGGCTCAGACACGGGCATTCATTGGTAAGTCAGCTGTGGCAGCAGCCGTCTCTGCACAAAACATTTCCCCCTTGAAAAATCTCACGCAAGTTCAAAATAGCTTTACACAATACTTGTGCTTCTCCCAGAGATGTTTTTTCTTTTTTTTTTTAATCCTTGACCTACTTTTTCTGTATGTGCAATACACCTAATGAGTAATAACGACTTCAGAGAGGGTAGCACCAGGGGAAACAAAACTGAATGAATGCCTTGAGAGAATGACTCGGGAGCCCTCAGACTCAACGGACTTTCTTCTCAGGGCAGAAACGAGGGCGTTCGTCTGAACTGTAGGTTTGCTGAAGATTCCTATGGCTGGACGATGCCCCGGCGAAATAGTCAGGATATGACAGAGGTGGCTAGCAGTGGGAGCCAGACAGAGGGACTGACACACACGTGCACACACTTGCACACACTCACACTCTCACGCACACACGTGTTCACAAACCCACCCTATCCCCACCCAAGCTAGACGGTGCTGTAAAGAGAATGCTTTGGGGTCTGGAACGTTCGCTGCCATCTAAAAATGCTCTTCTAAAACAGACTCTGTCAATGACGGGATCCGCACAGAAAGGGAACACGCTTCTCCGCCTCTGGAGTCATAAACCCAAACCCCAGAAGGCTCGGGGGAGGAGAGAAGTGGCCACAGACTTCACTCACACATCGCTCTCCAGTCTGTGCACAGCAAAAACAGCTGCTGCCTCAGCCCCTGAGTGTACGTCAGTCCCTTTGAATGGGAAATCAGAAAAGGTGTCCTTCTAAGCCGGAGATGGGATTCTTGAGAATTACATGAATAAGCGTCTCTTCTCTCGAAACCATCGGCCACTTTTCTTCAGCAAGATTTTTCCCCTAAGCAGGCCTCTGTGATGGAGGAAACACGCAGAGCTGCACTTGCTGAGTCTCTGTCAGGAGCAGGCACTGGGCTGGGGTGATTTCGAACCTCGCAGACGAGTTCAAATCCCACCTCCAGCAGTTGTGGGCTATGAAGTCTTGGGCAAGTCACCTTCTTGAGCCTTAATTTCCATGCCTGTTAAAAGATGATCATAACATCTGACTTCAGTATGGTGAGGGTTAATGATAACTGATATGAAGCCACTTCACACAGAGAATGCTCTCAATAAACGGTAGCTATGGTGATAAGCAAGGCATGGTCCCTGCATTGAGGAAGATGCAATTCGGTGGCCTTGAGGTCAACTCCAAGCCTGCTGGGATTGAGCTGGACCCTGAGGCTTCCTCAGCCCATGACTAGGACCAGGAAGCAAAGCTGTGTGTAGCAGGTGTGGCGGAATGATTGCATTTCAGCTCCAATTTCTCATACCCAATATTTCAGCAGGCAACTTGCTTGACTTTACCCTGCCCCCCTGGCTTTTGTTTGTCTGGAACCCTAAGCTTCTCAAAGGAGAGAGAGAGAGAGAGCGCACCTAGTTCTGGAAAAGAATAGGATAGAGGCTCTCATGAGGATAGACCCTCAGAGGAGAAACACTGTGTGTCCTTCGGGGTCTTGACCCCAGCCCTTGTGGCTGCCAGCATCATCTGAGGGCCCTGGTCCCCTGTGGCCTGGAAGCAGCAGAGTCCCCCCTGTAAAGGACCCCGTGCATGGGGAAAGGACCCCGTGCATGGGGATGAGCTCCTCAGAGGCAACTCCAGGACCTGAAGGCCTGTGGTCTCACCCCTATTTCCTGCCACTTCAAAAGCTGCCTGGTTCTTGTGCCACCCTGGGGGATGGAGGTTGGGGGGTTTGAATAGGGATGGAAAGTAAATATTAGGCCTCTAAGTCAGATTCAACTTGCTTATTCCCACACCTGTGCTCACCTCTGGGAGACACCAGGTTCTCTTCCTGACTGAGGGAGCTGAGTCCTCTGAGGGCTCCTGCCTCCCCCAGAGGGCTGTGAGGCATATGCGGACCTGGGCTCCCAAAGCTGGGCCAAGGAAAACGACCTCTTTCCATGCTTCAACGTCCTGGAAGCTCAGGGAAGTCAGGGCCTGTCTCCTGGCTCAGCAAACACAGCAGGTCTCATTCAAACAGAGCGAGACTACCCCTGCCGGCTGCCTGCCCACAGTGCTCCTGTGGTCGGTCCAAGGCTGCACTGACTCTAGCTTTGTCCTCTCCCCACTGCTGTGCCCATCCCTGACCCTCCTGGGCCAGCTTCAGGTCCCCAGAGCACACCCCTGCTGACCCCTGCTTCGGTGTTGGTACCACTGCAGAGCCAGCAGGCAGGAGGAGCCAACCGGTAGGGGAAATAGCAGGGCAAAGGAGGGAAGACGAGCTGGAACATTTGCCCTGGGGTCAGAGGTCTCCACGCAGACAAGTGCAGCTGGACTAGTTTGCTAGGGCTGCCATGACAGGGTGCCAGGCAGGGCAGCTTAAACAACATTTATTTCTCCCACAATTCTGGAGGCTGGAAGTTCAACAGCAAGGTGTCAGCAGGACTGGTTTCTTCTGAGGCCCCTCTCCTTGGCTCGTAGATGGCCATCTTCATGTTCTAATAGGGAGACCAGCCATACTATATTAGGGCCCACCCTTGTGACCCCATTTTACCTTAACCACCTCTTTCAGGACCCAATCTCCAAATACCGTCACCATCTGTGGGTACTGGGGGTTAGGACTTCACCATGTGAATTTGCTGGGGGACAACATTCAGCCCATAACAGGATCACTGACTGAAACCCTAAGGGGCTGCATGATTTTATTTTCCTCATAGAGAAAAAATCCAGGCCTTCTAGAAAGCTTGACCTTGTTTCTTTCCTTCTTGTTTTGTTCTGTTGTGTAATTAGGGAAAATACTAGAAAAAAAGGAAGGAGTCATATATATATATATATATATATATATATGTATATATACACACACACACATACACACACGCATGTGTTATCATTTTCATTCAATAAAAATATATTTTATTTATTTATTTATTTTATTTATTTATTTTTTGAGAGAGGTTCTGGCTCTGTCACCCAGGCTGGAGTGCAGTGGTGTGATCCTGGCTCACTGCATTCTCAGTCTCCTGAGCAGCTGGAACCACAGGCATGTACCACCACACCCAGCTCTTTTTTTTTTTTTTTTGCGGGTGGTGGGAGGAGAGAGAAGCTCTCACTGTTGCCTAGGCTGGTCTTGAACTCCTGTGCTCAAGTGGTACTCCTGCCACGGCTTCCCAAAGTGCTGGGATTACAGGCATGAACCACCGTGCCTGGTCTCAATGTGTTTTTAGTTGACTTAGAAGAGACCAAATAGCCCCAACCAGGCTGTTTTCCAACTACAAATGAGGATAGGCTCCTGCTAACTGACTCTCCTAGAGGTATCTTTTTTTTTTTTTTTTGGCCCACAGATCAGTGTCTTAACCCCACCCCCTCTGAGATCACCATTCCTTTCATAGGTTTAGCATTAGACCACCCACCACCCCTGCTCCCTTCCTCTCCTCTGTCCCTTCAGGAGGGGAGACCCCATCCCTCCCTGGGAGTTGGCCCATGTAAGGATAGCTGATCGCACCCCCAAGTGGGGTTAGACCATCACTTTGCTACCTCTTATCTCAGCATCAGATCAGCGCTTTCATCAGAATAGGGCCCTACTGTGTGCTCCATTTCCCAAACCCTCTCAGATACATTTGATCTTTGCACGTTTGATCTTTGTGTCTGCGGGAGGAGGAAGGAAGTGAACTTTTACTGAGCTTGCTCCACATTTTAGGCTTATTGTTAGTGGTTTTTGCATCTGTGGTTTCTTTAATCATCATGTCAACCTATGGCATGATTGTGTATCAGAAAAAAAAAAGTTATTATTCTGTGTAACCCTCAACTCAACCCCACCCCACTGATGTGCTGCAGAGGGTAGGGTGCAGTACCAGAGACGTCTGAATATTAATCTATAGAACACATTGATCTACAAGTCACGTTGATCTACAGAACAAAGGGCATGGAGAGCTCAGGAAGAAGAAAATATTTGAGAGTGTGGTGGGGGATGGTGGGGAGTGGAGAGAGAGCCGGTATCCTGTGGAATACAACTTTGAAGAGAGTTTTAGAAAGCCTTGCTGGGGATGTCTGGTGCATTCCGCTCCCTGCTTTGTTATAAAAGAGGATTTCTGACTTGCCTATTTGTGTTTCCTTGGGGGGTATCAGAGTTCAGGCATTGGGCTTGTTACACTCAGGTACAGTTGCTATGAGCACCATTTTATAAATGAGGAAACTGAGGCTCAGAGAGATGAAGTCATTGTTGGTCAGTGAAAGACCCACAGATTAACTTCCAGTTTGTCTAACTGCAGTCACCTGACTGGTTCTTCCTTTCCACAGCGCAGACAAAATCAGCTCACTGAGGCCACGGTATTGCAATAGAGAAAGAGTTTAAATGACGTGAGGCTGACCCACGTGGGAGAACTGGAGTTATTACTCAAATTAGTCTCTCCAAAAGCTTGGATATTAGGGTGTTTTGGATAATTTGGTGGGCAGGGGGCTAGGGAATGGCTGCTGCTGATTGGTTGGGGATGAAATCACAAGGGTGTGGAAAATGGTCCTCGTGCACTGAGTCTGCCTCTACATGGGAGCCACAAGACCTGTTGAGCCATGAGTCATGAGTCCTGGTGGGGTCAGTCTGAAAGATATCTCAAAAACCAATCTTCAGTTCTACAATAGCGATGTTATTTATAGGAGCAATTGGAAAAGTCACAAATCTTGTGACCTCTGGCCACATGACCCCTGAGCAGTAAGGGATTCTAGAAACTATGCCTGTCTTGTCAGAATTCAGGCCCCTCTCTCTCATAATCTTAACCTTGTGACCTTTCATTAGTTTTACAAAGGTGGTTTAGTTTGGGGAAGGGCTATTATCACCTTTGCTTTAAATGTAAACTATAAACTCAATTCCTCCCAAAGTTAGCTTGTCCTATGCCCAGGAATGACCAAGGACAGCTTGGAGATCAGAAGCAAGATGAAGTCAACTATATCAGATTTCCTACTGTCATAAATTTTGCAAAGGCCACAAAGGCCGTTTTGCAATGTAGTACATGGTCGACACTTCATTAATATTTATTTGAGCCCATTTACTTTTTCACATTTTGGCCAGTTAGGAAACAGAGGCATTACTGAGTATTTGGCATTCCCCAGGCCAACCAGCCTTCTGAAGTCCTTAGAGGTGAGAGGACCACCTCCTACTCTTGGCACTAACTGTGCTGTGCTTTGCACACAGAGTTTCATCAATTCCTGGCATCTCCATCCAACTCCCTCTTCTTAACTTGGTCTGGACTTTCTTAAGTCTCAGGAAGGATGTCATCCATTGATTTTACACTGTAGAATGCACACACAGTTACTCTGTGATTTTTCACATTTTCAAGTATTTCCCACTTGCTTTTTATCAACAATGATGTAATAAGACACACTTCTGTAAGTTCTGTTTCCAGGGAGAAGAATGGAAGCTTTGATTTCCTCTCTCAGCTTGACCAGAAAAAAACAGGTCCTAAAAGCCGGCATTCTTTAACTCCAGTGCTAATAATTCCCACTCCTTATTGTGTTTTTAAACCAAAGGGTCAGGTGAAAAAGTAAAGCAAAAATTGCCCCAGAAATCCAAAGAGGGTGGATCTCACATTCAGAGGCCTGCGGGGAACAAAGCCCTGCAGGGATAGACGGTGAGGCCTCCCGCACTGAAGGATGCCAGCTGGAGTCAATGCGGCTGAGTGCTGCACTTACCTCCCAGGGAACAGTGCTCTCCTGACCTTGAGCTCCTCCTTCCTCCCACAGGGGATGCCTGACGGAAGAGGGAGAAAGAAAACTGCTCAAGCAGGGCTCAGATTCTGTCACCTTCTAGCAGAGCTGGCTTAGGAAACAGCGAATTGTGAGCTATAATTTCAGGGATGCTTGGAAGACGCCCTCCCTCAAGCTAAATTATTTCTAGAATTTCCACCATCAACGTTTATTTCTTGGGTAGATGGATTATCTCCCATCAACGTGCAAATGTACCTTGAAAGTTATCACTTGTGCACAGGGAGAACTAATGGGTAGATGGAAGATTCTGGAACTAGACCTGTGTTCTTATCCTGGCTCTTCCATCTCCTACCTGAATGACCTTGTACCAGTACCTGACCTCTCTGAGCATGGGTGTGCTCATGTGACCCTGCCTCATAGAGGTAATGGACTTAAAACCACTTAGGCATAATGCATGCTGGATAAATACTGGCTGCATCCCATCCAATTTAATATGTTGTGTTATCATTTTCATTCAATTCCATGTAGTTTTAAATTTCCTTTGAGAACATTGTAATTCAGAGCCTAAACTCTGAGAGTTAGACTGTCAGGATTTAAATGCCACCACCTCTGCCACTTGCTAGCTGCAAGACCTTGGGCAAGTGAATTAATGGTTCTGTGCCTCAGTTTTCTTTTATGTAAAATGGAATCAAAATTATACCTCCCTCATAAGATTGTGGAGACCAATGACTTGATATAGATAAAGCACTTGGAACAGTGTGTGGCACTTACTACATGAGTATATATTATCTTTAAGCCATCAGTCATTGCCTCTTTCATGCGAATTACCTCATGAGCACATTTCCATTTTGATAGTTAAGCTAAGTGTTTTAAAGAAAACTACATTTTTTTTTTTAGCGTAAATGTTAAGTGGATAAATATTCCCTTGTTTCTTTTGGATTCTTTCCCCTTAGATGTCTTTGGTATATACATTCTCCTTCTCTTCCAATTCCCCAACCCCAAAACCAAAAAACTCCACTGTTGTTTACCTGTTAAAATGACTTACCCTATTAAGTTATAGAACCCAGCAGACATTCCCAAGACAAGATCAAGGTAGCTGGAAGACTACCTCAGAGACAAGCCAGCTACATGATATGTCCTGTACATCTTTAACTTAGCAGTGCCTAGAGGGTCAGAGCAGCAAATACTGCCCTCACTGGCCAGATGATGCTGAAGTGTCTAGGGGACTTGGGATCACTTCCATGTGTTCTTACCACTGTCCCCAAAGATGTGTCTGACTTGCGAAAAATGAAAAAAGCAGCCTGGCTACAAGCTTAGGGGGTCAGATTTGACCTAGTGTTATTTTTTTTCAAACAGTGCCCCTTGGCTCTCTGGGGTTCATGGGAGGAACTCTAAGGATTCTTGAAAATAAAGCCTAATTATTGAAAATAAAGTTCTATGACAGAACTCAGTGTCTCATTTCATTTTACCAGACCCTCCCCCAGCAACCAATCTATAAAATAGAGAAAATTTGTTATTGGCAGAGTCATACCCCCTCTTTTTCATCCCCCTGATGTGGGCAGGACAAGTCTTGGGGTGCCTGCTACTCCCATAGTCCTCTTCCCATGAGTTCCTCCCACTGTGGGCTGCCATGTTGGAACCATGATCATGTGACCACATGGCCACAGCTGATTGGACAGTGGATAGACAGCATGGCCAGTGCCTATTCTGCAGAATCACTCCTTGGGCAGTATGAATATGAAAGAGAGAGAGGCAACTGAGTGGTTGGTCATGGGAAAAGAAACTGAACCTCCATCAGAGAGAAGTAATACTCAGAAACTACGAGTTGGAGAATCTGTGAATAGGTAGAGGCTGTAACTAGCAGAGGTCAGGAGGTAGAGGAAAGAGAAAGAGTAGGTTGCAAGCAGTCATAGTTACAGGGACAGGAGGCAGGGATATTCTGGGCAGAAGCAGGCGGGTCCCCAGTGAGGGTCCAACCCTCAAGCCTGGAACCACAGCCCAAAGTGAGAACATGCATTCCTGTTTTCCTGCTCAAATGTTGCATTTTCCAAAACCACCCATGGCCTGCCCTGTCTCCCATCTTCTGTCCATAAAAACCCTAGGCTGCACTGTCAGAGAGGAGAAGAGGAGAAGTGCAGGACGTCAGAGACTACAGTTGGACATCAGGAAGAAGCAGTTTGACTTCAGAGGGATGGCTTGATGGCATTGCTTCGGACAGGAGTCTAGCTGGGGATGGCTGGACTCCAGGGGAAGATCACCTTCCTGCTCCATCCCCTTTCCAGCTCCCCTTCCTGCTGAGAGCCACTTTCATTGGCAATAAAATCTTTTGCATTCATCACCCTTTAATTCATTTGTACGATCCGATCTTTCCTGGACAGTGAACAAAAGCTCAGGTACCACAGGTACAGATGCAGAAGACTGTCACACTGACCCTCTCACTGGCAGAAAGCAGCCATCTCACGTGAAAAGGCAGAGGGCTCACTGAGCTGTTAACACTTAAACTGTCCATGGACAGCAAAGCTAAAAGAGCGCTGACTGTAACACTCCTTCTGGGGCTTCGGGAGTCATGGGTATTCCCTGCTAGATGCTGCCGCAAGGCCTACATGGAGTTTTGCTTCTGCTGGTGCCCAAAAGCAATCACCCTGGCTCCCACACCCACTCACCTGCATGCTACCTCCCATGAGGGGTTGAGTACAATGGGTTCAAGTGAGTGGAGTTTACCCCCATTGGCACCAAAGCAGCTGGCTAGCTCCAGTGCCCACACTCCGGTTCCCACCCATGAAGGGGTCAGGGAAAATTTCCTGCTTCAATAGGGACAATGGAAGACAGACCCTTAAGAGCTGAGTAAAGGTAAAGGCTAAGGGCATCAGAGGGCTCCTGCTGCTGAGGTGGTGATCACCCTAAGACCACCCTTCCTGGACTACTTCCCTATTTCCATGAGGCCTGGCTGTAAAAATATTTCTGCGGTCCCTTTGAAGCTTGTGCCTGTCATCTATATTCCATCCCTTACTCCAGAGCTGCCCTTATAATAAACACAGCTTACTTAAGCAACCACAGTACAGCTCAGTTTCTTAAAACCTAAGACTAACGTACCTATCGTATGAACCTCTGGGTACTTCTACTCCCCTACTCTTACCTAAGTGCCATACACAACCCAGCTGCCAGTTAGCCCCAGTTGGGCCACTTGTGGTTCAACAAAGGACCCATCTTTCAAGACCCTGTGAAATAAATCAGAAATTATCACCTTTCAGGTGCTGAAATTGGCAGGTGTTGGAAAGGTGGGTGATGTGTGGTATTTGGGGCTAGAAGACATAGCCAGTGACCTTCCACCACACTGCATTGAAAAGCTCTCTATTCCACCTCCTTAAAGCCCAGCCCTGCACAGCTCCCAACCTGGTAGATTAGGGCTGGAAAAGTAACCTAACAAGAGTTTGTCCCATGGTGGTAGAAAGAGAAAATAAAAATCTCCACTAACTGGCTCTTCTCCCATCTCTCTCCCTCTTCTTGTCCCTCCCTATTCCCTGAGTCACAATGATATTGAAATTAGGCTAGTTAATAACCCTACAATGGCCTCTAAATGTTTGAGTGAAAGAAAGGGTCGCATGTCTCTCACTTTAAATTAAAAGCTAGAAATTTTTAAGTTTAATGAGGAAGGCATATTGAAAGCCAAGACTGGCTGAAAGCTATGCCTCTTGCACCAAACAGTCAGTTGAGAGTGCAAAAGATAAGTTCTTGAAGAAAATGAAAAGTACTACTCCAAAGAACACATGAAGATTAAAAAAGAAAAGTGAAACCTTATTATTAGCATTATTGCTGATATGGAGAAAGCATGAATGCTCTGGATAAAGGATCAAACCAGCCACAACATTCCCTTAAGATGAAGCCTAATCCAGGGCAAGGCCCTAACTCTCTTCAGTTCTATGAAGGCTGAGAGAGATGAGGAAGCTGCAGGAGAAAAGTTGAAAGCTAGCAGAGGTCGGTTCATGAGGTTTAAGGAAATAAGCTTTCTCTCTAACAGAAAAGTACAGAAACAGCAAGTGCTGATGTAAAAGCTGTAGCAAGTTATCCAGAAGATCAAACTGAGATATTGATGAAGGTGTTTACACTCAACAACAGATTTTCGATGTAGATGAAATGGCCTTCTGTTGGAATAAGACATTATCTACGTCTTTCAGAGCTAGAGAGAAGTCAATGCCTGGCTTCAAAGCTTCAAAGGACAGGATGACTCTCTTGTTAGAAGCTAATGCAGCTGGTGACTTTAAGTTGAAGTCAATGCACATTTACCATTCCAAAAATGCTAGGGGCCTTAAGAATTATGTTAACTCTTAGCCTTTACTTTCTGCTATAAAAAAGAAAAAGAAAAAAAAGAAAAGAATTATGTGAACTCTACTCAATGTTTTATAAGTGGAATAACAAAGCCTGGCTGACAGCATATCTGTTTACAGCATGGTTTACTGAATTTTTTGAGTCCACTGTTAAGACTTACTGCTCAGAAAAAGAGATTCTTTTCACATTACAGCTTATTGACAATAGAACTGGTTCCCCAAGAGCTCCAATGGACATGTCAAAGGAGATTAAAGTTGTTTTCATGTCTGCTAACACAACATCCATTTTGCAACTCATAAGATCAAGGAGTAATTTCGACTTCAAAATCTTATTTAATAAATTCATTTCATAAGGCTATAGTTGCCATAAATAATGATTCCTCTGATGGATCTGGGCAAAGTAAATTGAAAATTTGGAAAACATTCATCACTCTAGATACCATTAAGAACATTTGTGATTCATGAGAGGAGGTGAAAATATCAACATTGGCCAGGCACGGTAGATCCTAACACTTTGGGAGACTGAGGTGAGAGGATTGCTTGAGCCCAGGAGTTTGAGACCAGCCTGGGCAACAGAGAGAGACCTTGTCATCTCAAAAAACAAACAAACAAACAAACAAACCCACAATATTAATAAGAGTTTGAAACAATAGATGACTTTGAGGGGTTCAAGACTTCAGTGGAGGAAATAACTGCAGATATGGTAGGAACAGCAAGAGAACACTAGAGAACTAGAATTAGAAGTGGAGTCTGAAGATGTGACTGAATTGCTGCAACCTCTTGATAAAACTTGAATGAGTGAGTAGTAGCTTCTTATTGAACAAAGAAAGTGCTTTCTTGAGATAGAATCTACTCAACAAAGTATTCAGAATATTCCCAAATTAATTACTAAGGCAGCAGCAGAGTTTGAGAGTATTGAGCCCAATTTTGAAAAAAAGTTATTCTGTGGATACAATGCTCTCAAACAGCATCACATGCTACAGAGAAATTTTTTGTAACAGGAAGAGCCAATTGATACAGCAAAGTTCATTGTTGTTTTATGTTAAGAAATTGCCACAGTGGCCCACAAATTCATCAGCCACCACCCTGATCAATCAGCAGCCATCAACATTGAGGGAAGACCCTCCACAAGCCAAAAGATTATGACTGGCTGAAGGCTCAGATGATCATTAGCATTTTTTAGCAATAAAGTATATTTTAAAGTTAAGGAATTTAGACTGGTTTTCTAGACATAATGCTATTGCATACTCAATAAACCACAGTATAGTGTAAACATAACTTTCATATGTTTAATGTAACTGGGAAACAGAAACTTGTGTGACTCACTTGATTGTGGTGGTCTGGATCTGAACCCTCGGTATCTCCCAGGTATGCTTGTACTTTCTCCACGGTTTTGTCCTTCAGCCTTCTTGTGGGAAATGGGAGAAATCACAGCTAATGGACACCGAGCTGATGCTTACCAAGCTATTACCATGTCCCGGGCATTGTCCTGAGTGTTTATCACATCCTGATCCTCACAGGAACCCTATGAGATTGGCCCATATTGGCCCCATTTAGAGATGGGACAATTGAGGCACAGAAAGATAACTTTTCGAAGATGGCACAGCTAGGAAGCCACAGAACTGAGATGTGAACCTGCAGGGGCCAACTTTAAAGGCCTGGATTCATCTTCAGGAGTTAACTATAGGATAAAAGCCCTCATCGTCCAACTGTGTGGGTCCAGGGAGCTCAGGGCCCTTCAGAGACAGAGAAGGTGGGCATTTTGTTTTCAAAGTTGTTGAAGTTTCCTCCCAAACATACTATCTAGTGTCTGCCTGATATTCCATCATGTAAACATACCATCACTTCAAACCATTTTCCTGATGTGAAACATTTATGCTGTTCCCAAGTCTTTGGTATTTTGGACAGGAATACCTTTGTACCTACTTCATGGTCTGGTGATCCCTCTCACTCCTTCCTTTTAAACTCTCTACAGCCTCTCTGGGCAACCTGTTGTGGTGGACCATGCCTCTTCATCCTCCTCCGTATTGTCCACCACCTGTGAACAGAACACACAGCAGAGATTCAGCAGTGGCCTCTACCTGTCAGAGCAGGGTTGCCAGGCAAAGTAGAGGAGGCCCAATTATATTTGAAGTTCAGCTAAGTAAGCAATAATTTTTAGTATAAGTATGTCCCCAGTATTTCAGGGGACATACTTATACTAAAGATTGTTTTCTTGTTTATCTACAATCCACATTTAACTGGGCATCCTGTGTTTTTCTGGCAACCCCGTCTCAGAGGGCTTGCTTCTTCCTGCAACAGCAGTTTTAACCAGCTGAGCACTTTATTTCGTTTTTGCCATGGAAGAATTGATTTTCTTTTCCTCTGCTCAGGGTGGGGCAGTGTGGTGCTGGTGCATTTTAAGAATTGAAAATGCTTCAGCGCTTGCAACTTTCCCAAGCTGGTCTTCCCAGCCTCAGAATTGTTACTGTTACTTTTCTGCTTGGTTTAGGCTCTGAGTCCAGATTTGCCACGTTCTATCCCTTAGGCATTGAGAACTTATGAACTTACCTTTGCTTGCATCGGGGTTGTGTTCAGGGACCTCTCCTGGGTTAACTGGCATCCGGGGTCAGAGTGAGGTGGATGAGGAGAAATGCATCAGCCCTCGGCCCCTGGATACTCCGCCAGTGGCTTCACACCTGGGAGTCACAGACCCTGCTGAGTGAAGGTCAGCCACACTGAACAGTCCTTCTGAGAATGGGCTTTTTAACCAGCAGAGAGAGTGGTCACCAATAGAACACCAGGCCTTGACGATTGGAGGACTTAGCACAAAAGAAGGTGGGAGGGAGGACAGAGGACAGGGAAGCCTGCTTGGTGTCCTGTGGTGGTCCAGCAGAAGGACAGAAGTGTCCAGAGCGCTCCCAAACGGAGGCAAGCTGCATCTGCTCCAGGAAGGCTTTCTTGATAGAAAAAGAGGGGGCAGCATCCTCTCATTTATCCCCCGCCTCTCCCAGAGGGCATGCCTGGGCCAAGGCTCACCTGGCTTCATGTGTGATCTGTGTCTGTATTCACCCTACATCAGCTCAGTTCAACACATCTTTCTGAGCACCTGCTATGTGCTAAGCACAGTAGAAAGCTCACATTACAAAGAAAGATGCAGTCCCTTTCTTCACGGAAACCACTTTCTCTTGTGGGAGGGAGATCCACAAAGAGAACATTTCAGTCTGTGAGCTGGGTGCTATGAGCATGCTACGGGCAGGGCCCCACGCAAGCCCAGACTGCATGTTCAGGGACCTGCACCAGGGCCCTCCTACCTGCCTGTGGTGAGATCTCCCCTCGCACAGACACCAGGAAGCAGTCATACCTGTCATTTCAAATCATGTATCTTAGTTTGGGTTGCTATAACAGAATACCACAGTGGCTTATAAACAACAGAAATTTATTTCTCACAGTTCTGGAGGCTGGATGTCCAAGATCAGGGTGGCAGATGGTTGGGTTCTGGTGGGGGCCCTCTTCTGGGTTGCAGACTGACAGCTTCTCTCTCTCTCTGTCTGGTTTTTTTTTTTTTTTTTTTTTTTTTGAGAGGGAGTTTTGCTCTTGTTGCCCTGGCTGCAGTGCAATGGTGCGATCTCGGCTCACCGCAACCTTCGCCTCCCAGGTTTGAGCAATTCTCCTGCCTCAGCCTCCTGAGTAGCTGGGATTACAGAGATGCGCCACGACGCCCGGCTAATTTTGTATTTTTAGTAGAGACAGAGTTTCACCATGTTGGTCAGGCTGATCTCGAACTCCCGACCTCAGGTGATCCACCCACCTTGGCCTCCCAAAGTGCTGGGATTACAGGGGTGAGCCACCGTGCCTGGCCCCCCCTTTTTTTTTTATATTTGAGAGGGAGTCTTGCTCTGTCGCCCAGGCTGGAGTGCAGTGGCACCAGCTCAGCTCACTGCAACCTCTGCCTCCTGGGTTCAAGCGATTCTCCTGCCTCAGCCTCCAGAGTAGCTGGGATTACAGGCACATGCCACCATGCCTGGCTAATTTTTGTATTTTTAGTAGAGACGAGGTTTCACCATGTTGGCCAGGCTGGTCTTGAACTCCCGACCTCAGGTGATCTGCCCATCTCGGCCTCTCAAAGTGCTGGGATTACAGGTGTGAGCCACCGCATCCAGCCACAGCTTCTTTGTGCCTTTACATGATGCAAAGAGAGCAAGAGAGTGCTCTGCAGTCTCTTTGCTAAGGGCACTAATCCTATTCATGAGGGCTCCATCCTCATGACCTAATTGCCTCCCAAAGCCCCACCTCCGAACACCATCACCTTGGGGGTGAGGATTTCCACACAGGAATTTGCGGGGGAGGGCACACACATTCAGACCGTAACACCATGAGATTGAGGAAACAAATACTTTTTAGTGCTCACATCTTCAGGAAATAACTTGGCACAGCCTACTCAGGGACACCTTTTGCCCACAGAAATCCAGCAAAGGAAATTGTTCAAAAGCTCATTACACACAAGCACCTACTGCATCCCTGGGCACCCTTTCCTCATCCATCTCTTCTTCTCTCTACCTGCAAACTGTCTGTCTGGGCTAGTTTGGGCTAATTACTGAGCAATAAAATGTCTGATTTTTATATAGTGGCTCTGTTCAGAGCTGCCAAAAACATTAAAAGTAGGGCCAGGGTAGGAGAGAAAAACATATTTTTTCATAATTTTACCTAGAAGATTCATTTGAGAGGGAGAAATAGGCTCACTGCCCTAACGAGAGAGTTGGATAAAAACAAATTCCTCATTAATTTTAAATATGTCAACTGGAGAAGGAGATTAAAGTGAGGACGACTGATGAATGGTGCTTCTGGGAACAGACGAAAGCACACCGAGGAAAGGGGATGGGGTCCCCAGTAGGCCCTCAACAGAAACAGAGCTACCCTCACTAGCTCTGCAGGGACAGCAGCTCTGGAGGGTGCCCCTTGGAATAGGGGCACCATGCACTGGACACCCCCTCCCACGGCAGGGGCTGGCACTGCCCACTCAGCTGGCAAGACTATAGAGTGATGAGGACTTGGCTCTGATGAAGCTGGAGCTGGAGATGAAATACTGCGGGCTCTTGGCATCCTCCTAAGTGGCCTGGCAAGGTGTAGATAACAATAAGGGAGCATCCCCACTCAGTGTTTACTTTCAGCTGTCTCTAGTAGGCAAGTTGCAAATGTTCGCCTTTATTAACGCACGTGTTTTCTCATTACTCTGTGAAGCAGATGGGTCTATGGTGTCTTCAGGAAAGAAATGCTGGCTGGTTTCTTAGAGCAGCTTCGAATTCCAGCCCCTGGTACCGTGCTCAGATTGCTGTGCAACTTAGAGGGGGCCCGTTGGCTCCTGCCAAAGTGGCAAGAGTTGAGTGTTGAGGGAGTGGTTGGTAGGACAGGTGGCCAACATCAAAGGAAAGCTGAGCTACTATTCAGAGCTGCTGTCTATCCAGGCTCTTTGTGGGATGCCCTCCGATTTACCTGTGGGTTCTCGTGGGAGCCCATGCAGGTGTGTTTTCTGTGTGCTCAGCCTCCCTTGTAGAACCAGTCCTCCCTACTCTTGGTCCAGATAATTCAGGTCAAGGGTGGGCACGTGACCAGGATCAGGCCACTTACAATTGTATGTATTTCTGGGTATGTGACTCAAGCCAGAAAAGTCAGAATCAATTTAGGACCTTTCTGGAGATATTGGAAGAGGGACTCTTTTTATGGTTTGCTAAGTTGGTGGAATGTAAAATATCTTTGCCATTGTTTGGGGAAAGCCTGCCTAGAAATAGAAACAATGTGAAAGAAAGCAGGGCTAAAATTGAGAGGTGGAATCCCAGTTACATGGTTTTAGTACTTGGGTCAAGCTGTGCCTGAAACCCATAAACTTTCCGTTACCTGAGCCAATGCCACCTTTTTGCCTTAATCCAGCTTGGGTTTAGTTTCTATAGTTTACAACCAAAAGACCTCCGTTTCATACTCTAGGTATATAAACTGGGACATGTTCTATTTCTGAGACTCAGTTTTCTCACAGGTAAAATAGAGATAATATGCTCCATCTACAGCTATTGAAGACAGCCAGTCACAGGACCAAGAATATGATCTTTCCTTGGCCATATTAACCATTTTGGTCCTAGGTTTCTCTTGCAAAATGGGCTAACAAGACTGCTTGACCTCCCAGGAATGGAAGCAGTTGGGATAATGGATGTGGAAAGGAATCTGTACACTTATATGCAATTTTTTTTTCTGGGGGTAACCACATTAAAAAAAAACTTTTTATTTTTGAGATGATTGTGGATCCACATGCAGTGATAAGAAGCAACACGGACGGGCACCATGGTTCACGCCTGTAATCCCAGCACTTCGGAGGCCAAGGCAGGTGGATCATGAGGTCAGGAGCTGGAGACCACCCTAGCCAACATGGTGAAACTCCGTTTCTACTAAAAATACAAAAATTAGCCAGATGTGGTGGCACGCACCTGTAATCCCAGCTACTCAGGAGGCCGAGGCAGGAGAATCATTTGAACCCGGGAGGGGAAGGTTGCAGTGAGCCGAAATCACGCCACTGCACTCCAGCCTGGGTGAGCGAGCGAGACTCTATCTCGAAAAAAAAAGAAAAAAAAAAAAAAGAAGCAACACACCCTTCACCCGGTTTCCCCAGTAGTAACATCTTGCATTACTATAGTATAATAGCAGAATTAGGAAACTGGCATTGATGCAGTACATTGACCTTCGAATTTCACCACTTTTACATGCATGCAGCTGTGTGTGTGTGTGTGTGTGTGTGTGTGTGTGTGTGTATACTTAGTTCTATGCAATGTGAGTTCGTATGACCACCACCACAGTCAGAATATAGAATACAAGGATCCCTTATGTTATCCTGTTTTAGCCATGGTCTCCTCCTCCCCTCTCATCTTGCCAAACCCCTGACAGCCGCAAATCTGTTCTCCAGCTCTGCAATTTTATTATTTCAAAAATATTGTATACACAGAATCGTATGATAGGTAGCTTTTTTAGATTGGCTCTTTTCACTCAGCATAACTCCACTGAGATCCATCCGACTTGCTGCATGTATCAGTAGCTTCTCCCTTTTATTGATGAATGGTGTTTCATGGTATGGACATAGCACAGTGTAATAGATTATTAAAAGGCATTTTGATTGTCTCCAGCTTTTCTGGCTATAACAAATTAAGTTGCTATGAACATTGTGTATAAATTTTTGTAAAAACACAAGATTTTGAAATGAAAATTTCTCTGGGATAAAGGCCCAAGGGTGTAATTGCTAGATAAGTCCACTTTTAGTTTTAAAAGAAACTGATAACCAGGCATAGTGGCTCATGCCTGTAATCCCAGCACTTTGGGAGGCTGAGACGGGCAGATCGCTTGAGCCCGGGAGTTCAAGACCATCCTGGGCAACATGGCAAAATCCTGTCCCGACCCAAACAAAATACAAAAATTAGCTGGGCATGTTAACACACACCTGTAGTCCCAGCTACGTGGGGGGCTGAGGCAGAAGGATTGCTTGAGCCCAGGAGGTTGAGGTTGCAGTGAGCCATGATGGTGCCACTGCATTCCAGTCTGGGGGACAGAGTGAGAATCTGTCTCAAAAACACCAAACTAAAACGAAACAAAAACCGAAAAACTGACAAACTATTTTTCAGAATGGCTGTACTATTTTTCATTTCCACCAGCAGTGTATAAGTGGTCTGATTTTTCTGCATCCTCAGCAGCATTTGGTGTTATCACTATATTTTATTTTAGCCATTCTGGTAGGTGTGTGATGCTATCTCGTTGTACTTTTAATTGGTATTTTTCTAATGGCAAATGATGTTGAATATCTTTTCACAGGCTTGTTTCCCATCTGCACATCCTCTTCAGTGAAATGTCTGTTACACGTTTTTTTCCCATTTTTTAATTGGATTGTTGAGTTTTGAGAATTGTTATGTATTCTAGATACAAGTCCTTTGTCTAATATGTGATTTTCAAATAATTTTTCCCAATCTGTAGCTTGTCTTTTTGTCCTCTTAACATACGCTTTTACAAGAAAAGCTTTTAATTTTGATAAGATTCAATTTATCAATTTCTTCTCTTTTTCTGAGACAGGGTCTCATTCTGTTGTCCAGGCTGCAGTGGCACGATCATGACTCACTGCAGCTTTGACCTCCCAGGCTCAAGCAATCCTGCCACCTCACCCTCCTGAGTAGATGGGACTATAAGCACATGCCACCATGACTAGCTAATTTTTAAAAAATATATTTTTAGTAGAGAAGAGGTCTCTCTATGTTGCCCAGGCTGGTTTCAAACTGCTAAGCTCAAGCGATCCTCCTGCCTCAGCCTCCCAAAGTGCAGGGATTACAGGCATGAGCCACTACAGCTGGCGTCTCCCTAAGTATTTAGGTCTTCTTTGGTTTCTTTCATCAGCACTTTGTAATTTCAGCATAAGGATGCTGTGTATGTTTTGTTTGATTTGTTTGATAACTATTTCCCTTTCTTTGGGCAATTATTAATTGTGTTGCATTTTTAATTTTGGTTTCTACTTGTTCATTGTCAGTATATAGGAATGCAACTGATGTTTGTGTATTGATCTCGTATCCTGTGATCTTACTGAACTCAATTATTAGTCCTATGAGGTTTTTGTTTTGTTTTGTTTTGCAGATTCCTTGGGATTTCAATCATATTGTCTGCAAATAAAGACACTTCTATCTTCTCCTTTTTTACTCTAAATGACTTTTATTTCTTTTTTTCCCTTATTGCAATGACTAAAACTTCCAGTACATTGTTGAATAAGAGTGGTGAGAGCAGTCATCCTTATCTTGTTCCCATCTTAGAAGGAGAGCATTCAATCTTTCACCATTGAGTATAATGTTAGCTTTAGGTTTTTGCAGATGATCTTTATGAGATCAAGCAAGTTCCCCTTTATTCCTAATGTACTGAGTGCCTTTAATCATTGATGGGTGTTGAAGTTGTCAAATGTTTTTCTATGTCAATGGATATGATCATATTTTTCTTCTTTGGCCTGTTGATATGGTGAATCACATTGAGCTAGCTGTACATATGTGGAATAAATGCCATGTGGTCACAGGATTTATACATTGTTAGATTCAATTGGCTAAAATTTTGTTCAGAATTTTTGCCCATATTTTAATTGGAATTTCTTTTACTGCTGAGTTTTGTGAGATTCATATATTCTAGATACAAGTTCTCTGTTAGATATATAGGTTGCAAATATTTTCTCCCAGTCTATAGCATGTATTTTCATCCTCCTTACAGGTCTTTTGCAGAGCAGAAGTTTTAAATTTAGGTAAGGTCAAATATATCAATCTGCTATGAACTGAATTGTGTCCTTCAAAAATTCCTATGTTGAAGCTCTAACTCCCAATGAGACTCAGTGTGACTCTGTTTCGGCCTGAGAGAAGGTGATAAAAGTTAAATGAGGTCATAAGGGTAGGGCCTTAATTCCATAGGGTTGGTGCTCTTACAAGAAGAAGAGAGACAGGGGAAAGAGGAGCAACAAAGAAAGCTTTGAAAGAGCAGCCATTGACTTTGAGGAAGCTCAGGAAAGGATGGTGTCCAGGAAGTGGGAGAAGAAACTTTTTCAATATGGAGAGAGATCCTGATACTTCAGAAGCCCCTGATAATTCAAATCTTTTTATACAGAAACAACGAGCTATGCCTTGGGATCAAAATCCAGAACAATCGAATGGAAATTGCAGTGAAGATGAACAAAAGGGAAAGCAGAAATGGAGAGAAGGAGGAGGAGAACCAGGCGGAAAGAGAAAGTGAGAAAAAGAAGAGGAAAATGAAAAGGAGCTGGAAGATGAACAGGAAAAAAAAGAGGAAAACGGAAATGAGAAACAGAAACAGTATCCCAAGAAAAGATTAGTCAGGAAATACCTGATGGACAATCTCTGGGCAAAGTTTAAGTTAAACAGGTGCCCCACAATACAAGAGAGTCTATCACTCTCATTTGAATTTGGCATGACACATAAACAGATAAATCAAAGGTTTTGTAAAAAGAGGAAGAAATATAACAAATAAATGTCCAAGAGAAAGAGTAAGAAAACACATATGAGATGGGGTCTCTCTGTATTGCCAAGGCTGGTCTCGAACTCCTGCCCTCAAGCGATCTTCCCACCTTGGCTTCCAGAAATGCTGTGAATCCAAGCATGAGCCATCGCACCTGGCTAAGACATTTTATATGACACCATTCTCACCAATAAATGGAGTTCTGAAAGGATAAACAAGAAAATATTAACAATCATTAATTCCGTGGAGTAGAACTAAATGAGGGGCATGCAAAGGAGGTTTTATACATTTTATTTTGACCCTATTGTAGATTTAAAGTTTTTATAATGGATGTTAAAATTGATTTTATTTAAGAAAAAAATCAATAAAAAAAAAATACAGACTAGAGCTCTCTCTCTCACACACAAGGACACTGTGAGAAAGCAGCTGTCTACCAGCCAGGAAGGCAGCCCTCACCAGAAGCTGAACCTTATCAGACCTTGATCTTGGACTTCCAGCCTACAGAACTGTGAGAAAATACGTTGCTGTTGCTTAAGCCGCCTAGTCTATGGTATTTTGTTATGGCAGCCTAAGCAGGCTAATATATCATCTTTCCTTTTGTGGGTCATGATTTTGGTGTCAAATCTAAGGACTCTTTGCCTAGTCTGCATTTTAATTCAAGTGTGTTTTCAAGTCATAAGGAAATCAACCTGTAATTATGGAATTTCAGGCTAGTAGCAAGGACATTCGGCATCAGAAAAGGACCTCTTTGAACCGTTCGTTATCCTACACCCGGCTCAGTCTCCTGAGCTGGCTCCTTGTGAGTAACCTCAAGAAGTAAGATCTGTGTAGAGATCACGAGGAGAGGCGTGTGATGCTCGCCTGTCGGTACAAAAGCTCAAAAGAAGAGTAAGCGGGTCCAATAAATTGCAACTGTTCCTACGGGAAATTATTGTCTTCCAAGTTTAAGATTCCTTTCCACATCCATTATCCCAACTGAGCTCTAATCCTCTGAGGTGAAGCAACTTTGATAGCCCTTTTCACAGAGGAGTGGACTGGGGCTTCCACAGGATCACATGGAAACCGGAAGTGATTTTCAGCTAAGAACTATCCTCAGGGATTGGCTGCTGCTTTTTAGGAGTAATAAAAAGAAACTTCTCTGCTGGGCGCGGTGGCTCACGCCTGTGATCCCAGCACTTTGGGAGGCCGAGGCGGGCGGATCACGAGGTCAGGAGATGAGACTATCCTGGCTAACACGGTGAAACCCCATCTCTACTAAAAATACAAAAAATTAGCCGGGCGTGGTGGCGGGCGCCTGTAGTCCCAGCTACTTGGGAGGCTGAGGCGGGAGAATGGCGTGAACGCGGGAGGCGGAGCTCGCAGTGAGCCGAGATCGTGCCACTGCACTCCAGCCTGGGCGACAAAGCGAGACTCCATCTCAAAAAAAAAAAAAAAGAAAAGAAAAGAAAAGAAAGAAAGAAACCTCTCCAGCTAGCTAGAGGCCCAAAGGGCTCTTTAGTGGACATATATTGAGATACCTCCTGAGTCCCAAAGTGGGAGATCTCCTGGGCCTCACAGGCGTGGGACCCTGTCCTTACACGTCTCTCTCTGCTTTTCTCTACACCTTTGCTCCATTCACTAGGCCTCTCACACGGATGCATCCTGGTTTCCCTAGAGTAGAGCTCCTGCAACACAGTGCCCAGTTCCTTGGAAAGGGAGCGTGATTGGCCCAGCCTGAGCCATGATTAGGTGAGGAAGGACATTGTCTAAGTACAGTTTAAGTCACTTGAGGCCTTCCTGCATGGGAGTGGAACTGGATGAGCTGTGTCGACCTGAGCTGTTTGGAAAGAGATTGAACTGAACTGAACAAAATTGAATAATCCTGCAATACTGGTACTTCTATCCCTCATCTTACAGATGTAGAAACAGAAGCTCATGGAGTTAACTAAATTGCCCATCTAGGTCCAAATTAGTTCAGCAGGAAGTTCCTCATCAGAACAAATTAATAAAGTCAGGCTGTTCTCTTCATAGCCAGGATGACCCTAAGCTGGTCCTAAAGTTGGTCCCTGATTGATTTCAGGGAAGAATTTCTTATATGGAATTGAATGTGTTAAGGATAATGGCTTAAGTTCAGCCTATGGCATTTGGGTCAGTGGATTTCCAATGACACTCATGCAAAGAGCTTCTGAGTTTTGGTAGAAAGAAAGAGCATAAAATGTTAGGGAGCGTTTTTCAGGAATATTTTGGAGTACAAATGATCAAAACTAAACTCAAACTGCTTTAAGGAAATATACTGAGAAGTCCCAGAGTGCAGGTAGCTTCAGGCGTGATGGAAAGTAGAGATTCAAACAATGCTATCAAAGCTGTCACTCCACCTCTCAGCTCTTTCGTCTACACTGTCTTCACTATCCAGCAGGCTCACGCCACAGGGTAGCAAAGGCAGCCACTGGTGGCTCTAGGCTTACACTGTCCTCAGGGCTACTGCACCCCATGAAACAGAAAGCGCGTCTATTCCCAAAGCTTAAACAGAAGCCCCAAGGTGTGATCTGATTGGCCCAGCTTGGGTCTGTGCCCATCCTGACCCGATCATTGCACTGGACAGGGGAAGCAGAGATAACCTAATGATCAGGCTGAGGACGCCAAACTACATGAATGGTTTCCTCATAAGGACAGGAACCTGTATATTTCTATTCCTAAATTGTATAAAAAGAGCCTGGGAGGAGATTGCAGAAAAAACAGAGTAGGGCAGTGGTCACTGTGTGCTTTTTTTTGCCGTATGAGTTACCCAGAGGTAACTTTGGGTGGCGTGTCATGGTGCCTTATTCACAGTCTCTGCCCAGCTCCTGCCAGGCTGCGGGTTCTTCATCACTTCCTATTGCTGTGTATGATGGTGCCATGATGGGAAGGCAGGCCCTCCATTTACCCTGGCCTTCAGGAGTTGGCTAGCTCAAGTGGCCAAGGTTGAGAAAAGATGCAAAGGAATTAAACCCTAAGATCCTTCTTTAAAAACAGCAATCAATGAAATCACTCCAGGTGAAGGTTCTAGAACCTAGATCAGTGGTTTGCCTGGCTTTCGGATTGTAAGGACCCTAACGTTCACTGCTCTTGCCTCCAAACTGGAGAACCAGCAAAGGGCTGACAATTTTTTTAATGTCATATAAGGGCGTTAAAGGAAAAAAAACCCTGAACCCCATCAGCTACCATTACTCTCATGACCATCTCCTTTCCTAAAGTTAGCAGGACATCATCTCATCAAGGGCAGCCCTTTAAATGAAATCCATGTACATTTTGAAAAACAAAGCACATTGCTCCTTCTCGGTGCTCATTCCAGGGGGGACCTGTGAGAGCAGCACCCAGGCCAGCGTGGAAGTCCGTCCCTGTCCATCTTGTCACCATCACCCGGTGACCTCAGATGTCCTAGAAGCGATGCCTCAGCCCCAGTGGGGCAGGGCCACCCCGTTTCAGCACCTGCTTCACCCAGAGCTTTCCTCTGGGAATGTTTCCCAGATTTTCCATCTCCTTCAGGCTGCCTCTGTGAATCCTACAATAGCAGCCCAATTTCCCCCGCCTGCCCTCACCCCGAAGCCGGGAAAGAGGCTAACCTGACATACATAACAATATGCTAAGGAGCAAGGAGACACAGAAGGGCAGGGCTTGGTGAAGAAGGTTCTGCGGGGGTCTAAGGAGCCTGGCTGGGTGGCTTTGCTGTGGGTGCTCTATTAGTGGCGCCATGTCAGGGCGCGCCACCTACGGCACCACGCAGGGCGCCCCATCTGTGCTACTCCTGGAGCTCTCCATTCCCCCTCCCATCTTCCATGTGCGGGGTGGCCCTGTTTCTTTTTCTCTATCCATCCGCACACGATCCAACAGGGGGCCGGCAGTACCCTCAAAGCAGAGTTGAGGGTAGAGGGTCACACAAGGCTGAGCGCTCCCAGGGAGAAGCTAGGAAGACACCTTCAGGGTGAAAACCCCCAAACAAGGGTGCTGCACAGATTGTCTCCCTCCACGCAACACCTGTCAGCAGTGACAGTGAGGAGAGGAGCGGGGGCTGCCTGAGATGTGGCCGGGGAGGGGGCGGCCTCTTTGTTTTGTTGACCCCATTCAGAAAGAACGTGCGCCAAGAGGGAGGCCTCCACGGCCTTGCTTCCCTGCTGCCCAGCCCGGGTGGTTCCTTTAGTGGGTCAACTTGGCCAGGCCACAGCACCCAGACATTTGGTTCACCACCATTGAGATGTTGCAGTGAAGGTATATTTTAGATGAGATTAACATTAAAATCTGTAGATGTTGAGTAAGGCAGATGATTCTCCATAATGTGGGTGGGCCTCATCTAATCAGTTGAAGGCCTTGGGAAAAAGACTAACGTTCCCCAAGAAAGAGGAAATTCTGTCTCCAGACTGCCTCCAAGTCGAGCTGCAATGCCAGCTCTTCCCTGAGTCTCCAGCTGCTGCCCTGCCTGGCAGATGTGGGATTTGCCCCACAATCACATAAGCCAATTCTTTAGATTAAAACCTCTGTGTGTTTCTCTCTCTCTCTCTCTGTGTCCTAGTTTACACACACACACACACTCACACCCTGCTGGTCCTGTTTTACTGGGAGTCCCTTTCCAGACCACCTAAATCACAATCCCCATAGGTAGAGCCAGGTATTTAGCATGCTGGTAAAGCACATCAGGTGGCTCTAATGCGAAACTAGGGTTAGGAAGATTGGGGCTAACACTGTGGTTCTCACCTGCTTGGGCTAATGCAGAATTCTATGCAGAATCACCTGGAAGTGAATTGCTAAAGATGGCTGATCCCCACCCACCTCCAGGCTTTCTGAGTTGATAGGTCCAGAGTGGGGCCTGAAAATGTGTATTTCTGACATGTTTCCAGGTGATGCTGATAGTGCTGGTCTGGGGACCACACTTTGAGAACCACTCAGCTAAAGGATTATGTTGATAACGAGGGTTTACTTGTTATGTCAGGAGATGACAGCCACATCCTCTGCCTGGTAGCCAGTGGTCATAGCAGTAACAGCAGTACCAAATGGCAATCAACACCCAACAATCACTGAGTTCTGTGCCTGGCACACAAGTGTGACTCTTACAAGTTCAGTCTCATTTTATTTTGATGACCACCCTCTGAGGTGGTTTTAAGATTTCCATGTCATACATGAGGAAACCAGGACGGAGAACTAGGGAAGTTGCCCAGCTCACTAAGTGGGCTAATCAGGCCTGTCTGACTCCGAAATCCACAAACTCAACCATCTTACAAATAAGAGACCAAGGCTCAGATGCTCTGTGGTTACTCAGGGTCACCCAGCACCTAAAAGTGGAGTTGGGACCTGGCTCATTAGCCAGTCATCCTTCCATTCTGCATCATTTCCCATCTCACATGAACTAATAGGTCAAGGTTGGGCATAGATGTGGTTAATTACAGATGGTGATAGAGTCGTGTGCCACATAACAAGGTTTTGGTCAACGATGGGCTGCATACACAACAGTGATTCCGTAAGATAATGGAGATGGAAAATTCCTATAGGCTAGTCACATCATAGCCACCATAACACACCAGTGCAATATGCGTTTGCAGGGATGCTGGGTAAACAAACCCACTGTGTGGCCAGTTGTATAAAAGTCTAGCACATACACTTACACACAGTATATAATACTTGATAAAGATAATAAATGACTATTACTGATTTATGTATTGGCTATATTACACTATTTATCATTATTTTAGAGGGTACCTCTACTTATGAAAAAAAATGTTACTATAAAAGAGCCTCGGGAAAGTCCATTAGGAGGTTTTCCAGAAGGCACTGCTATCATAGGAGATGACAGTTCCATGCGTGCCCCTGAAGACGTTTCAGTGGGACAAGATGTGGAGGTGATACTGAGGACCCTGACCCTGTGTAGGCCTAGGTTAATGGATGTGTTTGTGTCCTAGCTTTTAGCAAAATAACTTAAAAGGTATAAAGAAAAAAGTTTTCAAAATAGAAAAATGTTTATAGAATAAGGATAGAAAACATTTTTGTACAGCTGTACAATGTGTTTGTGGGGTTTTTGTTTTGTTTTGTTTTTGTTTTTTGAGACAGAGTCTCGCTCTGTTGCCCAGGCTGGAGTGCAGTGGCATGATCTCCACTAACTGCAAGCTCCACCTCCTGGGTTCATGCCATTCTCCTGCCTCAGCCTCCCAAGTAGCTGGGACTACAGGCACCCGCCACCATGCCCGGCTAATTTTTTGTATTTTTAGTAGAGATGGGGTTGCACCGTGTTAGCCAGGATGGTCTCGATCTCCTGACCTCGTGATCCGCCCGCCTCGGCCTCCCAAAGTGCTGGGATTACAGGCGTGAGCCACCGCACCTGGCCATGTTTGTGTTTTAAGCTAAATGTTACTATAAAAGAGTCAAGAAGTTAAAAAAAATTAAAAATTTTATAAAGTAAAAAAGTTACAGTAAGCTAAGTTTAATTTATAATTCGAGAAAAATATTTTTAAATGTAGTGTAGCCTCTGTGTACAGTATTTATAAAGTCTATGGTAGTGTACACTGATGTCCTAGGGCTTCATATTCACTCACCACTCACTCACTGAGTCACCCAGAGCAACTTCCAGTCCTGCAAGCTCCATTTACGGTAAGTGCCCTATACAGGTGGACCATTTTTTATCTTCATTTTTTTTTTTTTGAGATGGAGTCTTGCTCTGTCACCCAGGCTGGAGTTCAGTGCTCACTGCAACCTCTGCCTCCTGGATTCAAGAGATTTTCCTGCCTCAGCCTCCCACGTAGCTGGAATTACAAGCATGCGCCACCATGCTCAGCTAATATTTTTGTATTTTTAGTAGAGATGGGGTTTCACCATGTTGGCCAGGCTGGTCTCGAACTCCTGACCTCAAGTGATCCGCTTGCCTCAGGCTCCCAAAGTGCTGGGATTACAGTGTGAGCCACCGTGCCTGGCCATTTTTTATCTTTTATACCATATTTTTGCTGTACTTTTTCTATGTTTAGCTATGTTTAAATACACAAATACTTACCATAGTGTTACAATTGCCTACGGTATTCAGCCCAGTAATATGCTGTGCAGGTTTGTAACCTAGGAGCAATAGACCATGCACATAGCCTAGGTGTGTTGTTGGCTGTCCAATCTAGGATTGTGCAAGTGTATGCTATGATGTTCACACAACGACGAAATCACCTAGCAATGCATTTCTTAGAACATATTCCCATCATTCAACAATGCAAGACTGTATCTAGTTCCTCATAATTAAAAAAAAAAAAATCAAAACTCAAGAAACATCAACGGCCTCTCCTGCCCATCCCCCTCCACTGTCTTGGTAAAGCAACAACCTACAGTAGCAACCCGAGGAGACGCCTTGAGCATGGTCCAGAGTGATGATGGCTGCCCAGAAGCCAGAGTCACCGCCTTGTGCACCCACCAAGGCGCACAGGCTGAGCGGCCAGAGCTTGAGTTCCTTTGTGGATTCAGATGCCAACTTGTGAGGATTCAGAGGGCCCACTCGACCCAGTTGCTGTTCTAACTCTGGACCACCTAGTGATCAGGACAGGCTGGCCTCTGTCTCTGGAAGTTTACCTTCTGGCAGAGGAGGAAGAAATAATGAAATAGTTGCAGGTGAAGATTTTGAAGGCTTTAATGGAGAAAATTACAAAGGTCAACGTCATGGTGATTGGCTTCAGAGTATAATTTAAATTGGGAGGTCAGGGAAGGTCTCTCTGAAGAGCTAAGAGCTGAGCTGAAATCTGAACCATGGGATGGAATCAGCCCTTTAAAGAACTGGAGAAGGAGCCCTGCAGCAGAGGGAACACCTGAGCAAACCCTTGAGGCAGGAGCACACTGTGTTTCCCAGCAGAGCTCTGGAAGCCGATGTGGCCGGTGCAAGTAGTTTGGGAAGAGGAGGGAGAATGGTCAATCCCAGATAAGAGGGCCTCATGGACACTGAGTCTGAATTGCATACTCGGGGTGACAGGAAGCAGTGAGCAGACACAGCTGGGAGTGATGAGGTTGGGGGACAGGATAGGCGTGCACTGTGGGGCCAAAGCCGAGCTTGCGCAGCAATGGATAGGTAACACAAGGGTTGCAGACCTGGGTCGGCGCAGGCCCCCCTGCAGAAGCACACCTGTCTCTTTGCAGACATGGGGCCAAGTCCCTCTCGCTTTTTTGTTCACAAACAGCATCTCCACATCTCCTAGGGAAGTGTCACTTCCTTTTTTGCAGTTTGTCACTCAGCGATTCTCTGATTTATGAACTTCCTAGCTCTGCATCCTGCCAAGGTGTAGATTTCAGCGGAAGCTTCTAATGAGGAAAGGAGGGGAATTGAGTCTGGTGACCTGTGCATCCAAGAGTACTCTCACCCAACACAACTCATCACTGATGAAGGAGCAGGCCCTCTCTGCCCATGCTCTGTGGTCCAGACACACCCCTGCTCCAGAGACAGAGACCAGCGGTTTACGACAGAGTCCAATTAATGTCGTGCCTCCACTTTTCCAAACTGAGGAGTGAGTTGGGAAAATTAGTTAATCTCTTTGAGTCTCAGCCTCCTCAATCACAGGATGGGTTGTTGAGAGGAGCAATTCAGTTAGTGCATGTGAGGAGGGGCGCAGAAGGAGCCCTTGGCAGAATTGTTATCCTTATGCCTTTTTGCTCAGCAGGGCAAGCTACAAGTTACGTATCAATTGTAGCCTTGGTTCTAAGAATTGTTATCCTTATGCCTTTTTGCTCAGCAGGGCAAGCTGCAAGTTACATATCAATTGTAGGCTTAGTTCTAATAGTATCTTCTATTATTTCTCCTTTCCCCAACTATCACTGACAGAAACATTTAATAAAGTAATTATCAGTAGTGTAATAAAAACTAACAGTTATCAAGCAGTGACTTCATCTTTCACTCTGTAAACTCTTTACACATTGAATGTCCACATTATATGATTGAACGTCCACAACAACCCTATTAATCCCATTTTATAGATGAGGACTCTGAATCCTGAAGACAGCAACTTGTCCAAGGTCCAGTGGTTAATGGGTGGCTTCTGTCTTAGGTCACCAGTTCTGTAACTTTGAGGACAATACTTCTTGGAGCCCTATGCTCTTTCTCCAAATTTTACAATGCTGTTGTATGCAATAATTAACTTCATGCATGCTCCAGCTGCAGGGAAGTATAAGATATTCCTAACCCTCACCTTGCAGAGCAGTTCAGGTTTCATTCCTTAAATACCCCTTTGCCTTGATCAATTCAGTGGCGATTAGGACACTTACATAAATCATAAACCCAACAGTTTCTGTCAGTGGGAGAGGCTGGAATCAGTGCTCTGTGAAGATAGGGTTCAGGGCTCTGCGGCTGGTTTACCTAAAACCCTCAAGCCTGGTTTTTCTCCCTGGGGCTCCTGAAGGCAACAGCTCTTCACCTTTTGGAGGATTAAGTGACCTTGTGGATCTTCTCCCCATAACAGTGCACAGACATGTGCAATTTCAGGGCTTACCGTGACCCTACAGCCTCAGTAATGCCCAAGTTGAGATGCCTTGTATTAGTCAGCGTTCCCCAGACAAACAGAAAGCCATGGTGCAATTCAGCTCATGCCCAAGGGTCTGAGAACCAGGGGAACCGATGGTGAGATTCCCAGTCTGAGAACAAGAGAAGATGAAATGAGATGTCCAAGATCAAGCAATGAGGCAGGGGGAAAAGGGGCCAATTCCTCCTTCCTCTGCTTTTTTGTTCTATTCAGGCCCTCAACAGATTGGATGATGCCCACCGACATTGAGGAGGGCAATCTGCTTTCTCAGTCCCTCAGTTCTAATGCCAGTCTCCCCAGAAACACCCTCACAGACACACCCGGAAGTAATGTTTAATCCATGCACCCCATGGTCAGTCAAGTGGACTTGTAAAATGAGCCACCAGAGGGCTTTCTAGGGAAGCACAGGGACATCGGCCCCTCTGCCCAGGGCTTAGGGAAGAGGGCTGCCCCAGGCCCCTGGAGGTAATGATCTATCCTTCGGTCGCTTTCCTAAGCAGAGGTGTTATTCAGTCTTTGCCAGAAGAACACTTTTCTTCCCTTTCAGCACAGTCATGATGCAGCCTCAATAGAGGCTTGCACCTCAGCAGCCTTCTGTCCTTTCTAGCTCCCCACGGGCTCTGGCCACACAGAGTATGTGCCCTCCCATATGCCCAGAATGAATTCCCCACCTCTCCACCCTCCTCCTGCATTGCACTATGAGGCAATGTCAGGGCCTGGCAACAGCTTTTTCTAGCACCCTGTCCCACAAACCCTCTGCCTGGTGTCCAAATACAACCCGGCAATGCTGTGTAAGGCTCAAACTCAGCCTTCTCGCCTGCACCTTTCTTCTCCTCCCTGACCCTGAGGATATCCTCTTTGGTACTCTGTGGGACTGTGTGTCTCGAAATCTCCATCGAGGAGCCAAGAACAACGGCAAACTCCGCAGGGTATGGGGATATAGGTCAAAGCAGGGCAGAACCTCAGAGTTTCTTTGAAGTCTTCTGGTTTCTATTTAGAAGTGATGCAATGTTTTGCATCTCATTCCGTGATATATACAAGTTTACTTAAACTATTTTTTTTTTTTTTTTGAGACAGAGTCTCACTCTTTGGCCCTGCTGGAGTGCAGTGGCACCATCTCGGCTCACTGCAACCTCCGCCTCCCAGGTTCAAGTGATTCTCCAGCCTCAGCCTCACGAGTAGCTGGGATTACAGGTGTGCCCCACCATGTCTGGCTAATTTTTGTATTTTTAGTAGAGACAGCGTTTTTGGCCAAGCTAGTCTCGAACTCCTGACCTCAGGTGATCTGCCTGCCTTGGCCTCCCAAAGTGGTGGGATTACAGGAGTGGGCCACTGGGCCTGGCCTCACTTAAACATTTTAAAAGTTTTCTATTGATTGCTCTCAGGTAGAATCAACGCTCTTGTGCCATGTCTTGCCTATAGCTTTGTCTGTTCCCACCCAGCACACTGACTCCCGCAGAGAACCACAATCCAGTTAGCAAGACCTGCTGCTTAGGGGTTATCATTCATTTGTTCATTTCTTCTGCACGTATTGGGCCTGCCATGTGGAGGATGGCACAGATGTTAAGCTCACGAGTTCAGAGTAAGGGCTAACTTGCATTCAAGTCTCTGCTCACTTACTAGCTGTGTGATTTTGGGCAAGTGGCTTGCCCTCTCTGAGTTTTAGTTGTATTACCTTTTAGTTTTTTTCTTTTTTTTTTTAAGAGAGAGGGTTCCACTCCTGTCACCTAGGCTGGAGTGCATTGGTGCTATCATGGCTCACTGCAGCCTCGGACTCCTGGGCTCAAGCCATCCTCCCACTTCAGCCTCCAGAATTGCTGGGACTACAGGTGCGTCACCACCACACCCGACTTATAGTTGCATTACCTATGGCTCGAGAGCTATAGGGGCATCTGTCACATGAGACCTGTGAGAATTAAATGAAATAATGCCTGTAGAGCTTCGGTACCTTTCAGGACAATGTTCCCTATAGGGCTTAATTGTGTTCGCCATGATGGCATAAGATGGCATCGTCTATAGAACTGTCCTTATGGAATTATTAACTGAAGAGTTAATCAAAAATATTAAGTAGGGAATTATAAACAATGATAAAGATATTAAAATTATTTCATGTAAAAAGCAAAAATGCACACTGATTTGCCTATCTTTTGATGTAGGGTCAAGGCCCTGGCTTATGCCTTGTCTTTCTGCGGGAACTTTATGTCTTCTTCCTTATACAAACTACAAGTGTATAAACAGGCTATGCTCTGCAGTTTTGATTCTAAAAATAGAGCAAAGGTTTAAAGGAATATACGATGCAAGAGTCCTATGAATATTCAATTTTTCTCCCAAACATGTAAACTTGTCCTGCCCACACCTATGTCAATGCCACTGATTTCTAGAGACTCATCTTTCTTGGGTCTTTTCAACAAAAAAGCTGTCATTTTCACATTCATGTTTCATTAATTTGTAAGTGCTGAGTTAAATTGTGTAAGTGTGATAGCACATACCTCTGGCAGAGTGGGTTTGGGAGGAATCCCTGTGACTCTGGGTGAAGAGCACCTCAACTGGTGGGGCCAGAAGGGAGTGGTCTAGAGAATCCCCCAACACATGAAACCCCAGGGCAAGAACACAAATGGAGGCCCACATGCCATGCTGCTGAACATTTGAAAATTACAAATCAAGCTAACTTGGCCAGGTGCGGTGGCTCATGCCTGTGGTCCCAGTGCTTTGGGAGGCTGAGGCGGGTGGATCACTTGAGGTCAGGAGTTCGAGACCTGCCTGGTCAACATGGTGAAACCCCGTCTCTACTAAAAATACAAAAATTAACCTGGCGTATGCCTGTAATCCCAGCTACTCGGGAGGCTGAGGCAGGAGACTCACTTGAACTCAAGAGGCAGAGGTTGCAGTGAGCCAAGATCCTGCCACTGCACTTCAGCCTGGGTGACAGAGTGAGGCTCTGTCTCAAAAATAAATAAATAAATAAATAAATAAATAAATAAATAAAATAAAAATAAATCAAGTTAACTCTAACAAAATATAGTCTGCCTTCCTCTCCCGACAAACCCAGAAGGCCAGATTTTAACATTGAATTCTTGGACTCCATAGGGCTCCGTGCTAGAACGAGGTAGTCAGAGATGGCCAGCTCTGAGGCTCCAGCCCAGGTGTACCTCATTCCTCTTCTCACCCCCATTTCTCACACACCAAGGGGACTGGCAAGTACTGTGGAAGCTCCATCTACGTCCCCTACAGACAGTTGCCCCTTGGCCATCCTCAAGAAGAAAACCCGTCCTGTGATGGAAGGGGCTTGGGGTCCTGTGGGCAGGGAATGCTGGGGTCCCAGGTGCACTAAGAATGGTCTAGGCCCGGATTGGCAAGTATTTCTACAAATGACCACATGATAAATATTTCAGGCTTTGCAGGCCATACGGTCTCTGTCGTAACTACACAAGTCTGCCGTTTTGTGGTGAAAACAGCATAGACGCTATGCAAACAAATGAACATGGCAATGTTCCAGGAAAACTTTACTTATGGACACCAAAATTTAAATTCCATGTAATTTTCACATATCATTCTTCCTTTGATGTTTTTACAACCATTTAAAAATATAAAAACCATTCTTAGCTTATGAGCTGAATGGAAACTAGTGGCCCAGGAGTCATTTGCAAACCCTGGTCTAGAAGGTGAGGCAAAAACTCTAGGTGGACACATCCCAGTGGGCCCTGGACCTCTTACCCTGTGGAGTGGGGAGTGGGGCCCTCAGGGGCACAGGGCTGAGGGAGGATCCCGTCTTGCCCAGGCATCAGGATGGTACTAAAACTGCCTGCCAGGCCAGAGCAGTCACGGTGTTCTGCAAAGGTTAATAAGGGGCGTTGATGAAGAGGAGCCTCTCCTGTCAACAGGAGCTATTTTGGTCGTGATTCTTGACCAGGCCCCTTCTGTAGCATCCTGGGCCAGCAGCTCGCCTTTCCTCTCTGACCTGCTATTGCCAATACTCCAGGCCTCCTAAGAGATGCAAAACATGCAAAGGGTCTCATTTGCTATGATACATAGAGCCAGGGCTCACAAAGTACTTGATTTCCAGAAAACCCACCCTGGGACCCACAGTGGAATGAATGGGCTTCTCACGGCAACCCCTCAGCCCCTCCCAGGGAACATCTCCAAACAGCAACCAGCCAGACCCGCCTTGAGGGCACTGGGCGCCATCGATGTCTCCCCTTCTGCTGGGGCCTTGCAACTGCTGGGCCAGCCAAGGGACAGAGCATTCCTTTGCGTTTCAGTTCAGCAGCTGGATTTAGGCTGTTGTCTCAGACATTGGTTGATGTGGTTGTGGGACGATCTATTTTCCGTTTGCTCGCTTACAAGCGATTTCTAAAGCTCTTGTGGAAATCATTGTTAGTCAACCCTATATTTAGCCTTAAGCTGAATCAATTTGATGGCTTCGAGGCAGAGAGAGAGGGGAGAAAAAAAGAGGGGGCTATTTTGATAAGAATGCACTTTTCCTCAATTTTCACTTTTAAAAATTGCAATGTATACTCTGGAGGTGGGTGTGATTTTTGATAACAGATGTAGTCAAAGAAAATTATTTTAAAACACATTTTATGTCTAACTGACCATGCGGTGATGAGCTGCTTCCCCCACGATTTCACTCAAATTACCATGGGAACAGTCTGAATCTTCAGAAAGGCGCTGCACAGAGAGCCGCATCTGGCAGACGGTAGCTTCTGTCCCGGCCCTGCGTTCCCTTGAAGAATGAGCTCATTCATTTGTTCTTCCAGGAGCTCCAGTGGCCCTCAAGACCCACCTCCTGTTTCTAAGCCTGAGGGTTCTGTCAGGGTCTTCGGATAGATTACAGGGGAGCAAGGCCATTGGGTGCAGCGTCCTTGGTTAGCAAGGCCAGCCCTGGCTGAGCTCAGTGGGGAAGGACATCATCTGATTCTGAGCCTTCCTTTCCTTCTGCATCCAAGAATTCAAGCGAGGCCTGCCTGGCAAATTTGTTCAAAATCGGCAAGCCTACAAGAATGGGAGCCCTGCCTCTTGCCCCGGCCCCCAGCTATTCTCTCTCCTCCCTCAAATCTTAATGCCAGATTGGTGCCCCTCCAGGAAGCATCCCAGAAGGTTACAGGGGTTGGAGGGCCAGCCTGCACCCCCAACTGCCATAACTAGGACTTCCCTGTCCAGGCTCCATATGCCATGTGGAGTCCTTCTGTCATTCAGGTTCTATGCTAAGCATTAGAGCACTTGTCCAGAGCCCAGCTATGTCCACTCATAGGAGAAAGTTTAAATTCACATTCTCAGACCTCACCCTCAGGTCAAAGAATGCAGAATGCATAGGGGTGGGGGACTGGGCTTCAGTCATTTTTAAGAGCTCCCTAGGAGATTCGAACATGTGGCCCAAGAAGGCAGCTACTGTGTTAGAGATGCAAAAACGAATGACTCTACTTAGAGTCCCTGCCCCACAAGCCCATACCCTGCTCCAAACCTAGTGGTCCCACCCTGCTGCCAGCTCAGTGAGCAGCATCTACACCCCACAAACCAGGTACCCCTGTGGGCCTCCAAGTGTGCACATCCACATGCCTCTCTAGATGGTCAGGCCCACGAAGGCAGAGGCTGCGTTTATGTTGCTCGCCTGGCACTGCTTCTGCCTTGTAGTAAGTCTTTTCTATAGGCACAAATCAGTGAATAAAAAGACACAGCCCTCATCCATGTGGAGCGTACCCAGGAATCTTGAAGCATTTTATCTTGGCCAGAGTCACGTGTAGGTTTCTAGATCCTCCAATCCAGCAGGTCAGTTGGTTGGAACAGTGTCTTCTCCCCACAACCCTTCCTGCAGGATTGATATTTGCAGGAGCTGGCTGAGCAGGGCTCTGCTCACTCTGGAGGGGCCCAGCCCTTGGTTGGAGTCTGTGATCACCACTGGCTGCTCCTTGGCTCAATACCCACCGGGAGGCCCTCGAGGGACCATGTCTTGGACCCCCAGAGAGTTGCCTGCACCTCTCTGCTGGTCTCAGAGCCACCGGGCATTTCCTCTGTCACCTATGATGTCACTATTATATTATCTATGATGTCCTCTCTTCCAATTAGATCCTCCTAAGACAGGGTTCTCAGCTCTGGCCACCCCTGGGAAGCTTTGACACATTTCACCGGCCAGGACACTACAGGCCATTTCTGTGAGAGTTTCTGGGAATGTAGCTTAGCTATCCATAGCTATTAAAGCTCCCCAAGTGATTGCATTGAGCTGCCAAAGCTGAGACCCACTGAGCTAGGATGAGGCCCATTGATGGGTATATTTTAAAAATTCGTCAGGTTGATTGAACAGACAGCTAAGGTTGTGAGCCTGGCCAGGAAGTGACAATTGGTATGTCCTGCTGGTTTCTAAGGTATAACAGCAACAAACATTGACTAAGCATGAACTTCCATGCTGGTCACTGTTCTGGGTGCTTTCTGTGCATTAGCTCATTACATTTTCACCATGCCCAGAGGAAGTAATAATAATAATAGCTAACATTTATTTCACACTGCATATGCCCCTGGCACTGTGCTAAGGGCTTCACCTACCTCAATTTATTTACAGATAAGGCAAACCGAGGCACAGAGAGGTTAAGTAACTTGCCGGAGGTCAAGAGTTGAGAGGTGGTATTAAGAGGAGACACTCACCCAGGTCATAGGCTCCAGAGCCCGAGGGCTCTTCCACTGCAGCCTGGGCGAAATATGGTGGCCAACAATCTGTATAGACGAAGGACTAAGAGAAGGCACCTCAGAGCTGACGGTAGGTCTGATGGATCTGCCTGCAGTGCGCTTCCTCAAGGAGGAGCATGTCCCTGGGTCAGAGCTGGGGTCAGGGGAGAAGAGTGGGCCCGGATGAGGGCTTGGGAGCGGCCCTAGCATGGGGAGACATCCTGGAGCCTCAATTCTAACACAGGAGGAGGCGCAGAAGAAGCATCCTATGGTGTGCATTTCCTCCCCACCTACTTTCTGAGTCCCTCTGATTTCTGTTCTGTGCTCTCTAGCACAAATCCACATACATATGCCACAAGCTATGAGCCCTCTGTACAAGGGGAATAAAGATCTGCTTTCCATTCTCCCCACCTGACAACTTGGAGATGGTGCAGGGTTAGGACAGAGAAGGGCTGTGTGGTTAGAACCTGCTCCTGGGTCGAGGGACGGCCGGGCTGGTCCTGTGCATCCCCGCTCAGGGCTGAGCATCATTCTGCCTTCCCACCATCCCTTCCCCTCCTACCAGAAACACCCCCTCGGACTTGACTTCAGAGACGATGCCACCCCTATTCGGGCCCTGAGGCTCAGGAGCACTCTCTACCCCACTCCCCGACTAGGGGAGTGAGCGTTCTGGGGGTAAGCAGGGTGTCTGAGTTGCTTGGGCTGCTATGTCAGAATCCATACATCGGACAGCTTAGAAACTACAGAAAGTGATTTCTCACAATTCCGGAGGCTGGGAAGCCTAAGGATCAAGATGTCAGCAGATTTGGTGTCTGGTGAGGGCCTGATTCCTGGTTCATAGACGGCTGTCCTTCCACTGTGTTCTCACATAGGGAAAAGAGTTCACTGCGGCCTCTTTTATAAGGGCACTGATCCCATTCATGAGTGCTCAACCCTCAACCCTTATGACACTGCCACCTTTCAAGAGTCCCCGCCCCTAAATACTCTTACATAGGGGGTGAAGTTTTGACATATACATTTGGACGGGGGCACAAACACTCAGACCACAGCACATGGTGTCTAAGCCAGGCCAGTGAGCTTCTGTTCTGGACCTTTGGTGGAACATTGAGAGAAGTCCTCTTCCTGCTGGGATAGCTGAGAATGTGAGATGTCAACTGGGAGTGCTGGGAGCCTTCTGGACCCTACGAGGTAAGGAAGGGCCCACCTGGGGACAGAGGGAGCGTGAAACAGAGCCAGGCCGAGTCCTGAGGACAGCATCTCAGCCTCTAGGTCCTGCTGGGTCGGAAGTACCGACATCTCTCAGTTATGGGAATCAGGAAACCACTCTTTTGCTGAGCCCGTGTGAGCTGAATTTCTGACACATAGAACTGAAAAGTTTCTGCCGTGGGGATTAACGCCAGAGTTGCTTCGTGCTGGGTATTTAACCTCTTGGAGCCTCAGTTTTCTCATCCATAAAATGAGAACAATATTATCCACCTCACACGGCTGCTGGAAGGATGAAATGTGATTCTTATATAAAGTGCTGGCAAATGGTAGGCCCACAATAAATGTGAGCTCCCTTCCCCCGGTTCCAAATTTAAAACTGAAATCTGGATCTAAGAGACACAACATGTGGCGAGAATTAAGAAAAAGATATAAAAGCATAGCAAGATGACCCTTGCCTCAGGTAACAGAATATAAGTAGGCACAAAAAGTTCACTCAGTAAGAACCAGAAAATTCAGACCCCAGTTAGAAAATTAGCAAGTATTTTGAGCTATCTTGAAACTCCCACGACTTAAATATATAAGTAGAATGCATTTACCCTATAAAGTTCACAAGTCTTTTAAACAGACTTCCGTGAACTTTGCCTGCAGTGTGGGAGATTGCAGAGGGGATGGTTGGAGAAGGGAGCGGAGGACAGAAGACCCCCCGTCTCCGGTCTTAGTTCAACTGATTTCATTTCGGTCCTTTTCATTCAGGGTCTTTATCAGCTAGTGTTCATGTTGTTTTATTGTTCTCGTTCCTATTTTAGTAATTTTTCTCCATCCAATAGCATTTTCCTTTCTATCTCTCTGGAGATCTACACAGATCTGAGGACAGAATTGATCAACTCTGGTTAATAAAATACCAATCTTGAATGCAATATTTTGAGTCAGGAAAACTTTGAACTGGCCCTAACTGAAGATTTATGTTCCAGTCATCTATGAAGGAAATTGCAAAGCAAATCAATGAAGACCTAAAATGTTGCTTCAGTTGTAGTTGTCCTAGATCAGCGATCAATCACACCATCAATTGTCAGTGATTTATTGAGCACTTATTTATCCCATCACTATCCTGGGAGATGCAATGAAACAAAGGTGGTATAAGGTGCTTAAAATCTAGATGGGAAGGAAGATGAATTGTCACAAAATAGAAAACATATCAGTACTTAAAGTAGAAGTTAATGTAGCCAATTGCCGTATGCAAAGATTCATGGAAGAGGAAAGTCGATACTCAAACTGGTCCTTAAAGAGTGTACACAAATTGGAAAAGCCCAGAGAAAAATGAATGGGTATCAGGAGTTGGATATGAGAAGCCGAAGCCTGAGGTCTGCAGAAACCTGGAATATGTGGCGGCCAGTGGGGAGTCCATCCTGACCATGATGAATGAATCAGTCATGAGAAAGAGTGAACCAGGCCAGCCATGGCCTGCCCCCGATGGTGTCCTGTGACGGCCTGTAATGGGAGGCCTAGGGCAGCTGGGCTCCGCTGGTGCAACAGCTCAGCCGTCCCATCGAGAGCCGCAGGTCCGGTCATCTTCCATCCCATCATCTGCCAGCATGGTGGCTTCTAATCCACAGATTTGTCACCTCAGGCCACAGGACGGCCAGTGCAGCTCCAGAAACAACCACTCAACCACATCCAATTGCAGGAAGCAAGGGAGTGGCAGATGCTAAGACAGGAAATAGGTGTCTCTCTTTTGATTGAGGGGGTATCAGAACCCCCCCTTACCAGAAGGCCTCCCCTCATTGGCCAGAAATGGGGGCCCTGCCCACCCCTACCTGCAAAGAAGGCTGAAAAAGTGTGTATCTGGCATTTTTAGCCTTAACTGTGGGAATTCACACTCTGTCAGTAGGAAGAAAAGGATTGGAGCTGGGGAAGACTATTGGATAGGCCAACCAGAGCATCTGCTCAGAGGGTTCAGGGGGAAATAAGCAGGGTTTGAAGAGGGAGTCAGGTCTTGCAATGCCTTGAAAGCCAGACTAGATGTTCAGCAGTAGGACAGTCACTCTCAAACTCAGTTTATAATATAAGAATATACTCATGCCTGTAATCCCAGCACTTTGGGAGGCCGAGGCGGGCAGATCACGAGGTCAGGAGTTCAAGACCAGCCTGGCTGACATGGTGAAAACCCTTCTCTACTAAAAATACAAAAATTAGCTGGGCATGGTGGTACATGCCAGCTACTCGGGAAGCTGAGGCAGGAGAATTGCTTGAACCAGGACCTAGGAGGCAGAGGTTGCAGTGAGCCAAAATCGCACCACTGTACTCCAGCCTGGGCTACAGAGCAAGACTCTGTCAAAAAACAAAACAAAACAAAACAAAACAAAACAAAACAAAACAAAACAAAAATGAATATAGGGATCATCTGAGAAAGTTGATTAAAATGCACATGCTTGGGCCCTTGCCACAAAGATTCTGATTCAGTAGGGAAGGAGTGGGGTCTGGGTATCTACCTGCTTAAGTAGCACCCAGGTGACTCTGAAGCAGGTGGCCTGGCAATGTCACTGTGACAGTTGCTGCACTAAGGAGGCATTGCAAGGTCTCCATCATGAAGAATCCAGAAGCCAGTGGACGACAAGAGGCAACCCTAACTAGAGGCAGAGGAAGCCAACCAGAGGCTCCTGCAGCTGTCCAGGTGAGATGTGCTGAGGCCCAAAGTAGGGTGACCACAGGGGATGCAAAGGGAGCTTCTAAATCTTTGGAGAAGGGATAGGACTAATGGCAGCTTAGATGGGGAAAAGGAAAATGATCGAGACAAACAGAGGATTCCTAGGTTTCTAATCTAAAAAAAGGAAAGGAAAATAGAATAGAGCTTTCCCTGGCAGTGACCAGGGGGCTGAGTGTCAGGGTTCCTTGTTTGCTCCAAGGAACAGATTCACAGGGAGAGACAGATTCTGTTAGCACTATCCAGCAGTCTCAAGGAACACTGCTATTCACTGCCTCAAATGTCAAGCAGGGAGGGGCATAACATTTGAAGTGGTCCAAAAAAGTGAAAGTGCAACCTCCCCAAACCTAACGTAAAACAGACTTCACTCAGACTCTCTGCAGGTCAAGCCTCCTCATGGTAACCATCATTATCATAGGTTGGATGTGGTGGCTCACACCTGTAATCCCAGCACTTTGGGAGGCCAAGGCGGGTGGATCCCTTGAGGCCAGGATTTGAGACCAGCCTGGCCAACATGGTGAAACCCCATGTCTACTAAAAATGCAAGAATTAGCCAGGTGTGGTGGTGCATGCCTGTAATCCCAGCTACTCAGGAGGCTGAGGCAGGAGAATCATTTGAACCCAGGAGGCAGAGGTTGCAGTGAGCTGAGATCATGCCACTGCACTCCAGCCTGGGCAGCAGACTGAGACTGTGTCTCAAAAAACAAAAACAAAAACAAAACAATAATTATTATAACAATCACTTATTAGGCATCTGCATCAACCATGCTTTGTCATTTAATGGCCCCTATCAGACAGCCGTTCTTATTCCCATTTTGCAGATAAGAAAACTGAGGATTAGAAGACTAAATTCATTGGCTTATGTTCAGAGCTAGTGCAGGCAGAGTTATATCTAAACTACTGTTTAATTCTAAAACATTCCATGTTTAAAGTCGGCCCTGAAGCAGGCTGCTTTACAACTTCTCTTCACAGTCTCCTGTGATGGCTCCCAAGGTAACTAAATCAGAAGTCGTTATGTGGATTGAAGAAAACAGTGCCATCTTTCTTTATTAGAAACTATGGTTTTTCCCTTCCTAATAGCATTTCCCCCCTCCGTTATACAGAATCTTTTAAAAACCAATGGGATTGGAGACAGATTTTCCCAGTGAAGATCTTTCTCTTGATTCTAAATGGTTAGATCTGTGTAAAGGGCCAAATTCTGCTGAAGGCCCACATACTCACTTAAAAAATAGATATGGTGGATGACTGAAATGGGTGGCTGGTTGACTGTAATAGTTTATGGATAAGCAAAAAAGAGATGCAGGTAAAATGTTCAAGACTGAAACAAAATGCTTGCCAGCTTGGAAAACTAGCTTGTGACAAGACTAAAGCACAAAAAGAGAAATCCTCAGGGACAGAGACTGATTATGACCTTCAGCCTTTGGGTACCTGGCTCTGCTCCCGCAGAGCTTCCACAGCTGACTACCTTGTTGGCACCTTGGAGGTGGGCAGGCAGGCAGCCTCCAGCATGGGCTCTGCCTGCCATCCACCTTCCTCAACAGGTGCTTTCTTACCTAGCGCTTCCTTAATTACAGAACAGAGGATAAGGGAGCCAGTGATTCATAATTTCGTTGCTGACTTAAATTTTCATAAGGTAAGGGGAAAAAATAACATAGCTAGAGGAGGGAAAGGTATTTATAGAACTTCATAGTGATTCAGAGATATTAATAACACCTGGGACTCATCAAGTGCCATTGCCACAAAATGCTTTAATAAACAAAATAACTCAAGCTCACCATGTGCATGGAGAGAGAAAGCACAGCATTTGTCAGTCACCCACCCTCAGTTCCCAGAGTCACACTGTGATGTGCTCACCTCTATGGAGCAAACCTCTACAGCAGGCACATTCTGAGTATAGAACATTTGATCATTGCAAACCCCTCCAACAGTTAGTGTTTTTACCCGCCTGTTAAAGATAACAAATGGGGGTAAGAATATGAAGAAACTCATCTAAGGTCAATCAGCTGCTAAGTGGAGGATCTGATTCCCACCGAGGCCTGGCAGACCCAGAACCCCAGCTGGTGCACTTTGCTATCTAAAAGTCTCCGAAAGATTGAAGCATGAGCACAGGACACAGCAGGGACGAGAACAGGAGACTCTCACTTCCGGGGCTCCCATGCTCTGATGTAACACGAAATGTGGCAGAGAGAGACCTAAAAGGAGGGGTAAAAATCAGGGCTCTGGTCAGTATTCTGACACCCATCGCTTGAGTGATCTTGACTGGGCAAAACAGAAGAGGTTGCTAAGCCTCCACATTCCCATCTGTAAAATGAGGGGGCCACTGGAGTCTTCCAGTCAGTCCATGATGCAATGTTGGGTATCAGACTTACAGTCTCGCCATAAACAACTACAAAACTGAGAGAAAAATGGAAGCAACTCTTTTCAGCCATTGTACAACAGATAGTGTGGGGCTGTGGCCCTTGAAAGAAGAACACATGGAATGATGTCACATTTATGCCAGATTCCTGCCTGAGAGCATATTCTAAATTGTGACATGAAAGTGGAACCGAACTAGACAGCAGCATTCTGCCTGAGTGGAGAAAAAATATTAGTTCAGTGCTGATGAGGCAGCTGGAAATTGAGAGAGAGGATACCAAAGAAGAGGAAGGATGCAAGAAACCTGTTATCCAGAAATTTGTATAATGACGTCTTGAGTCTACGGACAAATACTAAACTACACGTGTAAACATGAAATTCCACAAGGCCTGAGACAGAACAACTTCTGGGAACTGAGAAATGCATGGAGATTCCAGAGAAGGCATAGTGCTTGGAAACTTTGGAGGTCTGATCAGCCCGAGGGAAGAAACCCTGCTACAGATGGAAGAATTCTAGGTATTCAGTTAAGATTGCAGAAAAGCTATGCTCCAAAGTAGGGGCTACTGCAGCCTGAGCTACCAAAGCCTAAAACCAACCTGTTTTGCCAGTAAATTAACTTCCTGCCAAAATAAGACTCAACATTCTTTCAAGGAAAAAAATTTAATTTAGGCCCTCAACAATATTGCATTCACAATGTAGAGCACACAATAGAAATTCACTACAAAAATAAAGAAGTAGGAAATATGATCTAATACTGGAGAAAACAATTGATAGAAACAGATACTGAGATGACACAGATAATGGAATTAACAGACAAGAAATCTTAAAGGGCTGTTACCTATTTATTCAAGGATTTATAAAGAAAATGTGGATATAAGAAACAGAACTCTCAACAGATAAGTTAATATTTTCATTGTATGTAATTATAGTCTCAGAAGGAAAGGCAAGAGATTTTACAGCAAAACGTATTGAAAATATACTGACAGAATTTTTTCCAGATTTGATGGAATATGTCAAACTAACAAGTTCAGATTCAACGGATTCAACAAATCCTGAGTATTATAAACAAAAAAAGACTACATCTTGGGATATCTCAGTAAAACGTCTGAACACCAAAGACAGAGAAAATTTTTAAATCAGTCAGAGAAATGAGACAAAATGTATAGAGGAGAACAATAAGAGTAACTGAAATTGGAAAGACTTATTTAAAGTGCTAAAGAAAAAAAAAGCAATCTAGAATTCTTCCAGCAAATATAACTTTAAGAAATAAAGTGAAAGAGATTTTCAAACTAAACAGAAGCTGAAAAAATTTGTTGATATACTGTACTACCAGAAATGTTGAAGAAAATTCATTTGACTTAAGAGAAATGAAAAAAAAATAAAAATATACAATGCGGTTGGTAGAATGTTTAGAATTAAAATGTAGGAAAAATAGCACAAAGATGGGAAGGATAAAAATGGAAGAATATTATTATTGAATTTTTACATTTTACAGGAAGTATAATGCTAAGTAAAGATTGACTGGGATAAGTTAAGGATATATACTTTAATCTCTAGTGAAACCACTATAAAACCCAAAGTCAACCCAAAGAGTAGATATAATGAAATACTAAAATTTATTCAATTAATTCAAAAGAAGGGAGGAAAGGGGGTGGAACAACCAAAGAATGGATGGGATAAATAGAAAACAAGTAGGAAAGTTGGTTAAACGTTTCAATTAAAAAGTGGAGCTTGTCAGACTGGATAAAAAGAAGAGATTGGATCATATGCTATTTACTAGACACACACTTTAAAACCAAAGGTACAGAGGAATTAAAAGTAAAAGATAGAGAAAAATATATCTTTTAATCACCAATTATAAGAAAACATGAGTAGTTATTAATATAATGTGGGGAAAAGAAAGAAAGATCAGATTGTTACTGTGTCTGTGTAGAAAGAAGTAGACATAAGAGATGCCATTTTGTTCTGTACTAAGAAAAATTCTTCTGCCTTGAGATGCTGTTAATCTGTAACCCTACCCCCAACCCTGTGCTCCCAGAAACATATGCTGTGTCGACTCAAGGTTTAGTGGATTTAGGGCTACGCAGGATGTGCTTTGTTAAACACATGCTTGAAGGCAGCATGCTTATTAAGAGTCATCACCACTCCCTAATCTCAATTACCCAGGGACACAAAACACTGTGGAAGGCCGCAGGGACCTCTGCCTAGGAAAGCCAGGTATTGTCCAGGGTTTCTCCCCATGTGACAGTCTGAAATATGGCCTAGTGGGAAGGGAAAGACCTGACCGTCCCCCAGCCCAACACCCGTAAAGGGTCTGTGCTGAGGAGGATTAGTAAAAGAGGAAGGCATGCCTCTTGCAGTTGAGATAAGAGGAAGGCATCTGTCTCCTGCTTATCCCTGGGCAATGGAATGTCCCGGTGTAAAACCCAATTGTATATTCCATCTACTGAGATAGGAGAAAACTGGCTTAGGGCTGAAGGTGAGACATGCTGGTGGCAATACTGCTCTTTAATGCACCGAGATGTTTATGTATGTGCACATCAAAGCACAGCACCTTTTTCTTAACCTTGTTTATGACACAGAGACATTTGTTCACCTGTTTTCCTGCTTACCCTCTCCCCACTATTACCCTATCGTCCTGCCACATCCCCCTTTCCAAGATGGTAGAGATAATGATCAATAAATACTGAGGGAACTCAGAGACCAGTGCTGGCGCGGGTCCTCCGTATGCTGAGTGCCAGTCCCCTGGGTCCACTTTTCTTTCTCTATACTTTGTCTCTGTGTCTCTTTCTTTTCTCAGTCTCTCGTCCCACCCGACAAGAAACACCTACAGCTGTGGAGGGGCAGGCCACCCCTTCAATTTAAGTCACTTATAAGTCAATATAATATGTCAAGGCAAACTTCAAAACCTATTGCTAGAGATAAAGAGATAAAATGAAAAAAAGGTCAATTCATCAAGACATAAAAATCCTATTTGTGTATACTCTTAATAAAAGAGCATCAGAATACCTTCAGAAAAAAATGGACAGCACTAAAGAGAGAAATAGACAAATTCAAAATCATAGTTATATATGTTTATACTCATCTGTGAATAATTAATAGAAAAAAGACAAAAAATTTAAATAACAATGTCAACATTTAATTGGCATTTATAGAACACAATGTCTGACTCCATACACATTCATTTCAGGCACACATGAAGCATTCACTAAGATGGATGATATATGGGGCCATTTAAAAAAGTCTTGATACATTTTAAAGTGTTGAAATCATAAGGATCATCTTCCTTGACTACAACAGAATGAAATTGAAGAGTAATATTAAAATAATGTCCTAAATCTCCAAATATTTGGAAGTGAAGCTACATATTTCTAAATATTCTATATGTCAAAGAAGAAGTCACAAGGGAAATTAGAAATATTTTAAAATAAATAATAAAATATTAAATATTAAAATTTGTGGCATGCAGCTAAAGGAATGCTTAGAGGGAAATATATAATATTAAATAATTACATGAGAAAAAAGGATTTAAAACTGACAGTATAAGATGCTACATCAAGAAGTTGGGGGAAAAAAAGATTTAACAGAAAAAATTAGAAAAAATTAATAAAAATAGGAAAAGAACATAATGAAAGGAAAAACAATAGGAAAATCAATAACATAAAAAGTTGTTTTTTTAAAAAATATTAATAATATTGGTAACTCCATAACAAGACTCATTTTAAAAGAGAGAGAGAAAAATTGCCAATCTCAGGAATTTAAGAGGAGCCATCACTATAAGCCCTACAGGCATTAAAAAAATAGAGGAAATTTATACCAAAAATTCAATATAAACATATTGATATTTTAAATATATAAAATTAATCAATTCCTTGAAAGACATACAATTAAACTGAACTAAAAAGAAATAGAAGAATCGAATTTCCCCTTATTTTCTAAAGACATTGAACTTGTAACTAAAAGCTTTCCTTCAAAGAAAACTCCACACTCACATGGCTTCATGGTTCAATTATACCAAGAATCTAAGGATGAAATAACACACATGATTTACATGTATAAATAAGATTTTACACAAAGTTTTTTTAGAAAATAAAAGGGTAAATATTCTCTAACTCAATTTACCTGGATACCAAAGTCATATAAGTATACTACAAAAAAGGAAAATATTAGACAGAAGATACCAAAGCAAGTTTCAGAGCAGGAGTAGAAGTTTACAAGAAAGTAAACTTGTATCTCCCTTTCAGTCAAACTCCCATCTATTCTGCCCACAAAAAGCATCAAGGCTGTAGACTAAATATGTCTCCCCCAACATTTATGTATTAAAACCTAATTCCCAATGTGATGGAGGAGGTGAGGCCTTTGGGAGGTGATAAAGTCATGAGGTTCTTCATCCCTTCCTCCATGTGAGGACACAGGGAGAAGGTGCCAGCTATGCACCAGGAAGCAGGATCTCGTCAGACACAGAATCTGCCAGCACTTTGATTTTGGACTTCCCAGCCTCTACAACTATGAGAAATAAGTTTCTGTTTGTAAGCCAACCAGTGTGTGGCATTCTGTTATATAACAATCATAACAGACTAAGACAATCACTGATTGACAATCACCATAGATTTGTTGTGCCTGTTCTAGAACTTCATATAAATGAAATCACATAGAATATACTCTTTTGTATCTCGCTTCTTTTGTTCACCATAATGCTTTGAGATTTATGCATTTTGTTGAGTCTATTTGTAGCTTATTCCTTTTATCACTGAGTACTATTGCTTTGTATGAATATTGTAGATATCATTCATTCATTTGATGGACATTTCAATTGTTTCTAGTTTTTGACTATAATGGATAAAACTGGTATGAACATTCTGTGCTTGTCTTTTTTTGTGTGTGGACATATGTTTTTTATTTCTCTTGTTATAATACCTAGAAATGGCATTTGCTGGAGCATAAGAGAAATATATGTTTAACTTTTATAAGAAACTGTCAAAGAGTTTCCCAAAGTAGTTCAATCATCTTACACTCCCATCAGTCATGAATGAAAGTCCCAGTTGCTCTGCCTTCTTTCCAGTCACCAGTGTTGTAAGACTTGGTAATTATAGCCATTATAGTGGGTAAGTAGTGGTATGTCACTATGGTTTAATTTGCACTTCCCTGATGACTAAAGATGTTGAACAGTTTTCACATGTTTATTGACCATCTGTATATCTTTCTTTGTAAAGTATCTGTTCAAGACTTTTGCTTCTTTTAAAAAAATGGAGTTTGTTTTTTTAATATTGAGTCATAGGAGTTCTTTATATATACTAGAAACAGTACTTTTGTCAGATATATGGATTGGGACTATTTTTTCCAGTCTATGGTGCTTTTTTTGGAGCAGAAGTTTTTTGTTTTGATGACGTTCAATTTCAACATATCTTTGCCTACCCCCAGGTCGTGATATTTTTCTATGCTTTATTCTAGAAGTCTTATAGTTTTATCACTTATATTCAGATCTGCAATCCACTTTTAATAGGTTTTGTATATGATGTGTAGTAGGGATCCAGCTTATCCCCACCACATAAATGTTCAGTTTTAGCACCATTTAATAAAAAACTTCCTTTCCCTATTACATTGCTTTTCTGTTGTTAAAAATCAGTTGACCATACATGCGTTTGTCTATATCTGGATTATATTTTGCTTCATTTGTCTATTTGTCAATTTATATGTTACTATCATACCATTTCAATTCTGTAGCTTTATAGTAAGTCTTCAAATCAAGTAGTATATACCCTCCAACTTATTTTTAAAATTGTTCTCCCTATTTTAGGTCCTTTTGATTTCCATATGAATTATAGACTTGGTTCATCAATTTCTACCAAACAAAAACAAAACCAAAAAATTGCTGGGTTAGGGAGAAATGACATCTCAATAATCTTGAACTTTCCAATCCATGAACATATTATCTCCATTTATTTAGATATTCTTTAATTTCTCTCAGTAATGTTTTGAGGCTTTCAGTGTGGAGCTCTTGTGCATCTTTTGTTAAATTTATGCCAAAGTATTTGGGTGATGGACTTTGGGGACTCAGGGGCAAAGGGTGGAAAGGGGGTTAGAGATAAAAGACTACAAATGGGGTTCAATGTACACTGCTCAGGTGATGGGTGCACCAAAATCTCAAAAATTACCACTAAAGAACTTACTCATGTAACCAAATGTCACCCGTTCCCCCCAAAACCTATGGAAAATAAAAAATAAGTAAAATAAAATTTTGAATACATCGAAAAAAAGAGAAAAAAATTAAAAAAAAATAAAGTCACTAAATGCTGGAAAGCTTGAGTCTTGAGAGTTATTTAGGAGAAGATCTATACCCAGGCAGCCATCCACGAAGCCTGCTGATCTCAAAGGCTGGGAGGCAAAGTCTGTTGAAGCTGAGATTTGCTCCCCAAGAATATTACAAAGTAGGCCTCTGCTGGAACAGCAGGGAGGGTGGTCAGCTGCAAAAGAAAGAAGGACAGGGCTGAGAGGAGCTCAAGAGGGAACAAGGTCCAGAGTTCAGGCAGTAGGTAGTGTGTGAGAAGAGGCTCAGCATTCTGGGTAAGGAGTGGATTCCAGCAAGAAAGCCTGACCTGTCAAACAGACTACATCCTCCCCAGGTAATTTTAACAAAATACACAGTCCGCACATCCAGGAGAGACAAAGGAACAGAATGTAGCAGTAAGAATGGAGATCTTTCAAATATGATTTATTCACCTCTAATGCACAGAGCAGCCCAAATGCAGGTGAAGTGGCTAAGAGCTGAAACCACTGATGAAGAATTTATTGGAGTGGTTTGCAAGACAGGCCCAGGATGTGCAAACCCATTTATTTTCCAATTTGTAAATCAAAATGTTCTGAGTCAGGTAGGAGAGTTAAGTCTGATGCTAAGAACTGCATGGTATAAATCAAAACAAAATTTACTATCAGGAGTTTAGAGATTCAAGTGTGAACTCAGTTTATCTCCTGTTTCCTCCAATAGCAAGGCGCTTGCTCTTGTGGCTCCCGGCCTCCAGTGTTACTCTCTCTGTTTCCCTGTGGATGGCCACTGTGGTGCTTCACACATCCCTACCCAGACCCAGTAGGGTCTCTGAGCTCTGAGCTCAAGGATGTGTTTTGAGGGTGCAAATGTCTTAGCTTCTGTTCTGGGCTTAGAGCTAGTTACAGGCTACAAGGTGTTGTCATTACAGACCCCAAGGAGGCTCAGTCTGTGGGATCCTTCCACCTGGATAGGCCTTTTCGGGCTGCACTTGCTCAGATGAAAGCCACTGACCCCCCTCCTTATGCCTGTAAGCTTGATAGTGTTAATGGCAAAGAGGGGAGAGGGTAAAGGTTGGCATAACGACTACAGCAAAATGATAATGACAACAAACTAACAATAGCATTTATCAAGCGCTCACTATGTGCCACGCACTCTTCTAAGCACTTTAGTTGTATTGACTCATTTCATCTTCATACCAACTCATTGTGATAGATACTGTTCTATTTTTTACAGATGATGAAACTGAGGCACAGAGAGAGGGAGTCCTCTCTTAATTCTTGAATCCCCTTCAAAACCTGGGTCTTTGGGGCCTCCTTCTCTTTCATCAGACTGCAGTCTAGAGCCATCAGGCAATCTCTGTGCCAGGTCTAGAGGGGAGGTGGACCAGGTTCAATGGAGTGTCTTGTAAATAACTGGGTGTCTGTCCCTGCCAGAACTGAGGGTTGCTTTCATTTTTAGCTGCAACTACCATTAAAGAGCTATTTGCCTCTGGGATCCCTTTTGGTTCCATACCCTCCAATAATTAAAGTAGGTCATCCCTGTGACCAGGCATGATGGGGGCCGGGGGCAAGGATGTAGGGATGTTACATTGGTTTCTCTCTCTCTCTTTCTCTGTCTCTCTCTCTGTCTCTCTCTCTCTCTCTCTCTCTCTCTCTCTCACACACACACACACACAAATATCCCTGGAATGCCCCCACAGAACTTCCTGGGTGGTTGCCTACACGCCCCTCTCTTAGACAATAAGCTCTCTAAAGAGTCTTTTTAAAGACAAGAGAGCAGTCAACCTGCCTCCAAGAAACACACAAACAAGGGAAGTCTTGAGCTACATTTTCCACTCAGGGTAGTGCCAACTGGGTCTGTTACGTCACTTGGAGCAGCTATTTATCTCAAATAAATGAAAAATCCTTTGCTTTGTGGACAATGACAGAAAACTTGCAAATTGGGAGCTTTGCCAGGAGTGGAATATGCACCTCATTGATGGGGGCTGTCAGGAGACTGAGGACAGAAACCACTGCTGCACCAATCACTGCTGCTGGGGACCACCATCCTCCATGGCCTCTGCTAAATGTAGCCCCCGGTGCCTGGTTCTGCCTGGAGGGGCTGCTGCTGCTACTCAAGGGCCAGGCCCCCTCCCAATACCAAGTGTAACTCTTCCTTCAACTCTCCCCTCTGACTGCCTCAGGGAAGACTGCCCTGACCCCCAGACTTGGAGGAAGGTCCAGTCCCATAAAATCCACAGCATCTACCACTTTCTCTGTTGTAATGCTCACCATGCTCATAGCTACCTACTTACTGCCAGTGTTCCCCACCCAGCTTCCTAGCCACTTTCCATGAGAGCAGTGACCATGTCTGTCCTGTCCACTGAGTCTTTGTTACCTAACAAGGGCTCTAATACACAGCAGGTCCCCAGTACGTGATTGTGGATTGACTTCAACTAAACAGAAGAGCTAACCAGATGCTGAGCTCTGTATTAAGTACTTTGTATATATCCACTTCACAGGTGGGTAGTGTGAGGGTCAGAAAAGTCTAGTAATTTGTTCAAAGTCACACAGCTGGGAAGCAGAAGTGCAAGGAGGATTTGGACTCAGTTATCTGACACCAGAGCCCAAGTGCTGGACCATGACACTAGAAGCCTCCTAGACCCCTTGGGCATCTACCCTCCTGGGGCGTGGGCTCACTAGAATCCTCAACTCTCCCCCATGCCAACCTTTCCCCTAATAAACTCACAATCCAGCAACCTCTCCAGACCCACAGCCCCTTGGGGAGACAATGTCCTTTTCATAAAGAACACCACACTGGTTGCCATGGGACCTGAGCTTGGCCTAGCTCCACCACCAGCTGCCATTGTGACCTCAGGCCAACGACTTGACTTTTCAGGGTCCTCATCTTCCATGCAAGACCAAGACCTTCTCGGGGCATTCTTCAGAATGCCAGCCAGAATAGCTCAGGCTCAGCAAGGCTAGATTTAATTTCTGCTACTCCATCTATAACTTTGTGACTCTGGGGGCAGCACAAGTGACATTTTGAGCCTCTGTTCCATTAATAAAATAGGGAGAGTCACCATATCTGCCCTCCTCGCCTGTCTGTGGCAAGGACATGGAAGCCCAGGGAGTTGGAAGTGGCTTGCTCAAGGCCCTACAGCAAACCCGTGATCAAATCGGAGTTGAACCCTGTCAAACCAGCTTGAGTTGCTGCTCTTAACCACCTCGCCACGCTAAGCATTAAAAAGCAAGCAAGAAGCTTGGCTGTAAAACCTGAGCCATACATGTGTTTCTCTTGCCTTATCTGCAAAGCAAGTCTAAAGAGGCTGGACAAGAAAGGTGCAGCCCCAGGATGTGACTCACTGTGACCTTCACCTTGACTTGTCCCAGCCTTGACACTAGTGAAGGCCCTTTAAATAAAAACAGGGTGATGTCCAACTGGGGGAGGGGGAATAGACTGAAAATAATGCAAAAGGCAGAACCTGGAAACTTCCCAGGAAGGATAAGGAGATCCACGCCCCTCTTCCCAACAAAACAACCAGTGAACAGGAGAAGATTTAAAAACAACAAGAACAACAATTATTTAAGTCTCTGAAAACTGCCACAAAGGCACACAGAAAATTTAAAAAATATGTATATATTTTCAAGAAATCAACTAAATCCCAGTAAGAACAGTATAAGGCTGTGGTATTGGAGCCATGACCTGCTCCCTCCCCACTCTCCCTGCAAGCTCCCTCTTAGGAAAGCTCTACTCCAGGTGCTCTGTCCAAGCCAGCACAGACAAGAAGATGAGGGCTCCCTTTGTCCCAAGTACCTAACAGGGCTACATTTTGACCCCAGGAAGGGCAGCCACTGGCATTTCTAACCCACTCCCCACCACTGCTGTCCCCATGTTGCAAGAGCTCAACTCCAGCTCCTGGTGGGTGTGGCCAAGAGTCTGAGGCTCCTTCCCCTCTGTCCAGCCCCTACTCATGGGGTAGAAGCTCTTACACCAGGTGCAGCCACAGCTTTCTCCAAGGCTGGAAGTTGTACACCTGGAGGGGCAATCCAAGAATATCAGGGGCCACTACCATTCCTCCAGTGACCACTGGCAGGACAGAGGTGTCTCTCTAGGAAAAATAGGCAGCTAGACATTCCTCACCCCCCAGCTCCTGTGCAGTGGTGCTGAGGTTCTGCTCAAGGGGTGCCTTAAGGACAAAGAGCTCTGCAGCTCTGCCTGAAAAGACTGACTTTATTTGGAGCAGATCATGGAGGATACCATGCCAGAGCTTTACCAAAAACAATGGGGATCTTGGTGGAGAACAATTAAAAGGCCCCTCCAGATCTGTGATACTGGTTGCAATAAGCAAAACAGCAAAACAACCAGAAATCTAATCATGAGAACCCACGAAAGAAACAACCAAAAAGAGCCCTCCTCAGATCACAGCCAACCCTGGGGGTTGGGAAGGCTGTGGGCATGGACTATCCCATTCAGGAGTAATCAGAGCAATGTGTGAGGCAGACTAAAACCACTCAAGGCTGCACAGAAACCCATCATCCAATGTGCAGAAGCCTCACAACAAACCTAATCACAAACCCTGACCAAGCACTGGCTGAACAAATTTCTCTATCCAGGGGAAACTCCTAGGAAGCTAGGATTAGAAATAAAATCACATGCACGTCTGCCAGTCTGGATGACTGTATGCATACCCAAGATTAGGCCTTCTCAGCAGTGATCAGAAGGGACATCCAAGCTACTACTCCTTGGCTGAACATGGGGCAAAGCATACACTCCTTAAACTGATAGCAGCCTCCAAGTCACACACGTAGTAAAGGGTTAAAAATCTAACAGATTAAGAGGACTTAAGCACAACCTCTCACCAATAACTATGTTATCATGACCTCGAGCAACCCCTAAATAGCTAGGCTAAAAGATAAAATAAAGCAAAACAACTGGAGCAAGGACATTAGAGGCTGTGCAATGCATAGAAAACAGATGTCACAGAGTTAGTTCAGCCAAGGCACTAAACAAAGGAATAAATGACCAAGAAAGCAAGAATGACATCAATTCAGGTGGCAATGGTGCAGAGTGGGAGAGGGAAGAGAGTTAGTATCCAGATCACTATAATACATTATCTAAAATATAAAGTTTTCAACAAAATAATTATGAGGCATGTGAAAGTTATAGGACTTCCCAAACAGGATAATATGGTCCCAGTTCAGGAATAAAAGCAATCAACAAAATTGTCTGTGAGGAGGTCCAGATGTTGAACTTCCTAAACAAAGATTTCAAATCAGCTATTATAAATATGTCCAATGAAATAAAGGACATTTTGTCTAAAGTATTAAAGGAGAGTATAATAACAATGCCTCACTAAAAAGAGAATTTCAATAAAGAGACAAATTATTTTCAATGGGCATTCTATTATATCATATTTAAACTCCATCCAAAAACTGCCCAACTGATGAAGTGATGGAGTGGTTTCTGTGTTAGTCCATTTTGCATTGCTATAAAGGAATACCCGAGACTGGGTAGTTTATAAAGAAAAGAAGTTTCTTTGGCTCATTGTTCTGCAGACTGTACAAGAAGCACAGTGCCAGCATCTGCTTCTGGCGAGGCCTCAGAAAGCTTTTACTCACTGTGGAAGGCAGGGAGAACCAGTGTATCACATGGCAGGAGAGGGAGCAAGAAAGATGCCAGGCTGTTTTAAATAACCGGCTTTCATGTTGGCGAGAACTCACTCACTACCATTGGGAGGTCACCAAGACATTCATAAGGCCAGCCCCCATGACCCAAATACCTCCCACTAGGCCCCACCTCCAACATTGGGGATCACATTTCAACATGAGTTCTGGAAGGGACAAACATCCAAACTATTTTTTTTTAAAATTATACTCTAAGTTCTAGGGTACATGTGCACAACGTGCAGGTTTGTTACATATGTATACATGTGCCATGTTGGTGTGCTGCACCCATTAACTCGTCATTTACATTAGGTATATCTCCTAATGCTATCCCTCCCTACTCCCCACACCCCACGACAGGCCCTGGTGTGTGATGTTCCCCATCCCGTGTCCAAGTGTTCTCACTGTTCAATTCCCACCTATGAGTGAGAACATGCGGGACAAACATCCAAACTATTTAAATGGCCCGTTGTAGGCACAGCTTAGGCACTGGTGTGAGGATGGTGTGTCACCTCCAAGAAGCAGGGGATACTCTAATTCAGTGTCATGTGTGCTCAGTTGTTAGATACTTGGATTGGTAACCAAATGGGTAGCAATGGGAGTATCCTCATATGAAAAATGTGTGCATCCCATCCTGGCATATCTGAATTGTGGGTGTTTACTGGTCTTGGTTTCCAAAAAATAATACTTTCAAGGGAATACATAGAGAGGCTCATTGAATTATAAGTTATGGCTCTTTCCACGGCATATTGGCTTCTGGTACCAAGGGATCATCAGGCATGTTAATGGAAAAACCAAACTCTGTAAAATATTTTAAAGAGGTTTATTCTGAGTCAATATGAGTGACCACAGCCTGGAGAAAACATAAACCTAACAAGCCTTGAGTAAGTGGTCCTGAGGCTGTTGGTTTACCATTTGGTTTTACACATTCTAGGGAGGCAGGAATCATAGGTAAGTTTATGGAAGATATACATTGGTTTGGCCCGAGAAAGCAGGACATCTCAAAGCAGGGGATTATAAGTCATGGGCGAGCCTTAGGTCTTATTGACAATTGGTTGAAAGAGTTAAGCTTTCTCTAAAGACTTGAAGTCAGTACAAAGGAATGCTTGCATTACGAAAAGGAGGTCTTCTGTAGGTCATGTGATGCTACACCACAGTCAGGTTGGAAAGTAAGCCACATTGTATCAGGTTAATTAAAAAAAAAAAAAAAAAAACATTTAGACTGGTGCAGTGGCTCATACCTGTAATCCCAGCACTTTGGGAGGCCAAAGCAGAACATCTGAGGTCAGGAGTTCGAGACCAGTCTGGCCAACATGGCAAAACCCTTCTCTACTAAAAATACAAAAATTAGCCAGGCATGGTGGCACACACCTGTAGTCCCAGCTAGTCAGGAGGCTGAGGCAGGAGAATCGCTTGAACCTGGGAGGTGGAGGTTGCAGTGAGCTGAGATTGTGACATTGCACTCCAGCCTGGGCAATAGAGTGAGACTCCTTCTCAAAAAAATTTCAACATTTAATGAGATTATAAAATCTCATTGTAGGCTTAACTTTTCCCTTGTATGGCCTTAGGTCTTGTTTATGATTTGGTGTCGTATAGCCACAAAGAGTCTGTTCTGTCAGTCTTATGGTCTCTATTTTAACATATATACCAGGTCATCTTTGCCTAAACTCCAAAAGGGAGTGGGGCATAATGAGGTGTGTCCAACCTCCCTTCCTGTCATGGCTAGGAATTCAGTTTTGAAGGTTTTTCTGGGGTCCCCTAGGCCAAGAGGAGCTTCATTCAGTTAGTTGGGAGGCTTAGGATTTTATTTTTAGTTTACAGGCAGGAAGAGGAGTCACCATCCTAATAGGGGCAATTTAAGAAAAAAAGGAAAAGGAAATTCTAGAGTTGAAAAGTACTATGACAAAAATGAAAATTTCACTAGAGGGGCTCAATAATATTTGTGCTGATACAAGAAAAATTCAATAAATATGAAATAGACCAACTGAGATTATGCAGTGTGAAGAACAGATAGAAAAAACAGTGAAGAAACATGAACAGAGCCTCAGGAAAAAGTAGGACGCAATTAAGTGTCAACATATATGTGCAAGGAGAGTCTCTGAAGTAGAGGACATAAAAAGAGACAGAAAATAGGCCGGGTGCAGTGGCTCATGCCAGTAATCCTAGCATTTTGGGAGGCTGAGGTGGGTGGATCACTTGAGGTCAGGAGTTTGAGACCAGCCTGGCCAACATGGTGAAAACCCATCTCTACTAAAAATACAAAAATTAGCTGGGTGTGGTGGTACGTGCTTGTAATCCCAGCTACTTGGGAGGCTGAGGCAGGAGAATCACTTGAATCTGGGAGGTGGAAGTTGCAGTGAGCCGAGATCACGCCACTGCACTCCAGCCTGGGCAAAGAGCGAGACTCCATCTCAGAAAAAAAAAAAAAGAAGAAGAAGACCGAGAAGGAAGAAAGAAAGAAAATATATTCAAAAAATTAATGGCTAAAATTGTCTCAAGTTTGATTAAAATTATTAATTTATATGTATGTAAGTCTCAATAAAGCCCAAGTAGAATAAACACAAAGAAACGTACATACAGACACACAGTTAAAATATTGAAAGCCAAAGATACGAATTGAAAGCAGCAGGAGAAAAATGATTCATCACATACAAGGGACCCTCAATAAGATTAACATCTGAATTCTCATGAGAAACATTAAGGCCAGAAGGTAGGGTATGAAAGAAAAACAAAATAAAACAAAAATTCTGTTGACTAAGTATCTTATATCCAGCCAAACTATCTTTCAAAATTGAAGGCAAAACAAAGGCATTCCCAGATAAACAGAAACAAAAAATTCATTGCTAGCAGACCTACCTTTCAAGAAATACTAAAGGAGGTCCCTCAGACTGAAAACAGGTGAGGGCTAAGAATAATTCTAATCCACACAAGGAAACAGAGTGCACCAGTGAAGGTTTGTGTAGCATCGAGTAATTATGTAGTAATTACGTCAGTAATTCTAAAAGATAAGATAATTGCATGTTTCTTCTCTATACTGATTAAGCAATTGTATAAAACAACATATATTATTGTATTGTTGAATTTATAACTTACAGAAATGTAATATGTTTACCAATAACAACGCAAAGGAAGTTAGGGGGAATACAAAATTATATTAAAGAAATGACACAAGATGGTAATTCAAATCCACAGGAAGACATGAAGAGACACAAAAGTGGTAAATAAGAAAGTTGCTAAATATATACTTTTTCTCCATTCTTTTCTCAGCCTCTTTAAAAGGCAGGTGTTATATATAAGGTAATATATATAAAGAGATTGAAAATAAAACCAGGGGAAAAAAGATATACCATCTAAATAGCAGTCATAAGATAGTAGGAGTTGCTATGCTGATATCAGATAAAATAGACTCTAAAACATAAAAAAAAAAGTTACCAGGGCTAAAAAAAAAAAAAGACTTTTTTTAACAATAAAAGGGTCAATTTATCAGGAAAATAAAAAATGTAACATTTCGTACTTAACAACAGAGCCCCAAAATACACAAAACACGTTAGACAGAATTAAAGGGAGAAATAGACAACTCAACAGCTGCAGACTTCCACAGCCCACTTTCCGTAATGGATAGAACACCATGGATGTTCTATGGTACATGGATGATAAGGAACTAGAAAGCTCCAACAGCACTATTAACCAAGCAAACCTAACAGATATCTGTAGAAAACACTACCCAACAACAGCAGAATGTACATTTTTCTCAAGTGCACATGGAACATTCTCCAAGATAGATCATGAACTAGGCCATAAAACCAGCCTCAAAAAACTTAAAGTAATTGAAATCATACAAATTATGATCTCAGACCACAATGGACTTAAGTTAGAAATTAACCACAAGACATTAGAGAAATACCTAAATATGTGGAAATTAAACAACACGCTGCTGAAATAACCAATGAGTCAAAGAAGAAATCACAAGCGTAATTAGAAAATACTTTGAGATGAATGAAAACAAAAATACAAAACAACAAAATTTATGAACTGCAACTAAGGTAGTAAAACTAATAGCTATAAATGCCTACATTAAAACAGAAGAAAGATCTGTTAAATCAAGTTTAGCCAAAAGCTGCCCCCTTACATAGTTTAAGTTTGGCCTAAAAGTTTCTCTGTACATCATGAACTGTAACAAGCAGAGGTGTAAACAGACCATAGCCTACACTTGTGCCAATCACCGAGTTTTAGCCAATCAAATGTAGCCAACTGTTCAAACTGTGTTCAAATAAGGCAAATGCCAACCTGTAGCCAATCCAGCCATTTCGGTACTCGCTTCTGTTTTCTGTAGGTCATTTGCCTTTTTCTCTCCATAAATCTTCTGCCACATGGCTATGCTGGAGTCTCAGAGCTTACTCTGGCTCGGGAGGCTGCCCAATTCGTGGCCTGGGCAGTTTGTTGGTCCTGAAACAAGCCTGGCACTGAGGGGCCTCCCGTCCCAGACTCCAGAACCAGGAAATTTGACTGGGTCAGTTTTCAGTTACAATCTCCTGACTTCCTCAGATGTTACTGAAATGCTCTGAATGAGATGGTCCCAATGAGACTGAAGTGTCCTGCCTGGAACCTCATTGGCCTTGTCTGATCCCTGAGATGGACAGCCTGAGCTGGCTCCAATATGCCAGGCCCTTCAGATATTTGAGTCTCAGACAACCTGGGGGTGGAGGGATGCAGACGAGAGAGAGTTATTCATGCTCTTCATGCATCTATCTGCTCCTGGGGTCGCTCTGATGGCTGGGGGTGGCTCAGGTCCTGAAAATGGAGCTGGGAGCCTCAGGAGCCTCCATTCTCCTGATCTATAAAGAGTGTGCAGTTTGATCATATTTCTTTTGGAAAGTGACTCTTGCTTTTACCTTCCAAACAAGCAGGGGTATAAATCAGACAACTGTGAAAACTCATTTTTATAAAACAGACAACCCTAGGAAGATGAAATGTGATGAAATCTTGCCATGGAGGGCAATGTTATGGGTTGAATTGTGCCAGCTTTCCATTCGTATGGTGAAGTTCTAACACCCAGTATCTCAGAATGGGACCTAATTTGGAGATAGGGTCTTTATAGAGGTAATCAAGCTAAAACAAGGTCATTAGGGTGACCCCTAAACCAGCAATACTGGAGTTCTTATCAAAGGGGGAAATTTGGACACAGAAACACGTATACAGGGACAACACCCATCTACAAACCAAGTAGAGAAGCCTGAAACAGATCTTTCCCTCAAAGACATCAGAAGGAACCAACTCTGCCGACACCTTGATCTTGGACTTCCAGCCTCCAGAGCTGTGAGAGGCTAAATCTCTATTCCTTAAGCCTTCTAGTTTGTGGTATGTTATTATGGCAGCCCTAGCAAACTAATACAGGGGATTCCAATTTACATCTAGAGTCCTGAAAGGATAGTGAATGCCTGATCCAGGCACATTCCCCCAAAAGCCGAATCTTCTCTTTCGAATCTTGCTGCACCTGGCACCCTCAGCAAGGCCTTTACAGAGTCTTTCCTTGGCAAGACTCCTGAAGACTAAGGGTGATTTATGAACTGGGTTCCTGACCACATTGAAAGACTCTAAAGCCTAGGTGTGGGGTACCCAGACCAATGGCCAGATACTTTGCTGGAGAGAGGATGGCTAAGACCCTGACTCAGTTGAAGCTCTTTCCTCTCCACCACCATTTTTCAATGGCCTCTTCTCCAAACCAACCCCTTTGTGGCATCCAATCCTTTCCCAGTTTTACTCCAAGCATTGGACAATTTCTAAGCCTCTGATTCACATTCCTTTAGGTTTTAGGTCACTGATTCCAAGGCTTCCTCTTCTCACACTAACGTCCACACCCGATGTCCCTCCATCACCCCAGCCTTAACCATGCCTGGATTTCCCATTCCCAGGTCTGTTCCCTCCACCTCAGCTCCCTCCTGGACCTCGTTGTCAGCAGGAACTACTCCTCATCTGACATTTCCTCTCTTATCATGACCTCTTAGCCTCCCACCTCCCCAATCCCACTGAACCTGTCCACCTCAACGCTGTTCCCCCTCCACACTATTAAAGCATCATTTTAGAAGAGAGATCTCTAAGAGGCTGAGGTCCACTTTCAACATCTGGTCTCTATATCTCTAGTCAGACATGGCTTCTCAACCACCACTGTTTCTAATTCCTGTTGGTGTCTGACCTCTGTCTTGGACACCCTTCACCCTTGAATAAGAACACAGAGTCAGGTTTTTGTGGCTCAACCTTGATCCTTCTCTTCATTGGGTTTCTCCCTCAGGCTGTATCGCCCTCTCCCCACTCATTAACCAGCTTCCCTACTTGGCTCTGGCTCACTCCTGTCAGTCTACACTGGCCTCCCCTAAAGGGTGGGATCAGGCAAAATCTACTTTTCTGTGTCCCACAGACCCCAAACTCTTGACCACCTCCTCCTCCTTCTCCTCCTCCTCCTCCTCCTCCTCCTCCCATCTTTGGGCTCCTCAGCAGGTTCTCATTTCCTCCTCATACTTCCTCAATGGACTGGCTTTCCCATTCACCTCGCTGCTGTTTTCAGCCTTGACACACCCCTCTCAGCGGAGACACCTCACCTCTTCTTCATCTGGAGGGAGACAGGCAGATGCCTCCATACCTGCCTTTCTGAGCGTGAGAACACCACTTGTCTGTATGTGACAGAGACTTCTGAGCAGGCAAAAGGCATCAGTGTGGGAGAGAAGAAGGGACCCTCTGATGCCCATTTCCAGCAGGATTTTCCATTTCCAGCAGGATTTTCCATTTCCAGCAGGATCTTCCATCTCCAGGCCATGGCCTTGAGAGCCGCTTCACAGAACCTGCTGCAGGGAGGGGAAGAACAAGTAGCCTTGGGCATAAACCCAGACTTAGAAATGTGGCCTAAGAACCTGAAACCTTCACAAGAAACAGGAACAGTTGAACAGAAACAGACACCTTCTCAGCCTCCATCAATTATCACCCTCTTCTTGCAACCGCAGAAGCTCCCACCCCTTGGCTGTGTTGCCTTCCCTACCCTTGGAATCTGGGCACTCCCATTCCTGCACCATCGTCTGTCAGTATTTTCTTTCCAATGAACTATCAGCCATCCCACTCCTTCTTTTCGTCCACACATTTCTTGTAAGGACCCTTGGCACTTCTTCGTCTCCTCCTCATCTTCAGCCAGTGCAGTACGGATTCTGACCCCAGATGGTGCCTCTGCCAAACACCCTCGGCAAAATCACTCCAAGCTCCTAGGTTCAGGGTTCTCTCCTTGGTTTTTATTATATTCAAATCCTCAGCAGCATCTGACTGAGCACTTCTTTTTGCAACTCTGGCCTCCTGTATTCTCCAAGGCAACTCTCTCGTGGTTCTCTTTCTCTAACTGCTTTTTCCTCTTCCTCCAACTGCTCTGCAATGACACCATCCTCCCCAAATTCCACACATCTCCTCTTTCTAGAGCCTCTAGAAGAAAGCGCTTCCTCTCTCTTACAGCTTGTAGTATGATCAGAATTTCCGATTCTCAAATGCAGTGGTGTCTGGACCCCAGATTTCAAACTGCCCATCAGACATTTCTTCCTGGAGGCTGCAAAACTTTTGGGTACTTTAAAATCAATCTGTTCAAAATGGAACTTTTTTGATACGCTCCTCCAATGAAATGTTTTGATACAGTAGAAGGAAGCTCATACATCCCTCTCTCCTGGCCCAAAATGACTGCACTGTTTAAGGCTATGGGAGCTGTTAGTGATGATGTCACCAATGTAGTTTCTAACCAGAGGTGAGTTGTACCACAGTGGCAGATCAGCCCCATAGAGAACTAAATTTCTCATTGTCACTTTTCTGGGAAAAAAAATCCCATGATGCTATAGTCGAGATGTTTGTCCCCTCCAAATCATGTTGAAATTTGATCCCCATTGTTGGAGGTGGAGCCTCGTGGGAGGTGTTTGGGTCATGGAGGGGTGGAGGCCTTGTGAATACATTAATGACCTCCCTGGGGGAGGGTGAATAACTTCTCACTCTATTCAATCCAGGGTGACCTGGTTGTTAAAAAGGGCCTGCTACCTTCCCCCTCTCTCATGCTTCCTCTCTCACCGTGTGATCTCTGCACACAGTGCCTCTTCAGCTTCCAGCAGGAATGGAAGCGGCCTGAGGCCCTCCCCAGAAACAGATGCTGCACCATGCTTCCTGTACAGCCTGCAGAACCATGAGCCAAATAAACCACTTTTCTTTATGAATTACTCAGATTTGGGTATTGCTTTATAGCAACACTAAACAGATTAAGACACAGAGAGACAGGTTTTAATATTATTCTGTTCTTTTCCCTAAAGGTTTTATATTACTATTAAATATCTTCCCAATCATAAAAATGATGCATTGCTAGGATAAAATGTTGTCTTGGTTTCATGCCCGCCATGTGTTACACAATCCTCATCTCTTCCTCCACATTCATCAACAATTTTCCCATTTAAAACCTCTCTGCGTATTTATTGCCTCCCTGCCTGACATAGTTATGGACAGCACCCAGGAGCACCCAGTTACTCATTTTAGAGTTTATGGAGCAGATGTCAGGCACAGAGAGATTACTGGTGAGCCATCGCATGGGTGATATTTTCATTCTGCATCCTTGTGGAGTAAGGTTGTGGTTTGGATTTTGCACTTGTTTTCTTTTTCTTGCAAGAGAAGGAAAGAAGGTTGAAATATGCCTGCGTTACAAGTCACGGTGCCTCCAGCAAGAACCACTGCAACAACAAAGGAAATTCGTTTTCTCACCCTACTTGGTGCAAGATTTGTTTATTCATAGAGAGACAAGCATGCTGTATAATATAAAAAGTGAAAGCCCAAAAAAGGATTTAAAAGGGTGTTTACAGTCTTATTAAAGTTCAGTCCTGACACCACTGCAGGAAGGCAAAATCTTAAAAGTACATACTGCACTTTAGAAATCATAGAGCTGCCTCTGAGTGAAGGAGGGATGGGGACCACTGGAGGGCAGCAGGAAGGGAAGATAAAGATGCAAGGGAGGTGCAGGTCCATGGGAAGAAAGGAGACAAGAGGACGGTGAGGTGCTGGCTCAGGCTCCTGAGGACCCTGATGCATGTGATTCCTGAAGAGTCAGGACAAGGCACCTGACGCCTTGCCACTGCCTCCATGACTGTGAAGAACACAGTCTTAACCCTCATGACTGTGAAGAACAAGGATGCGGCCAGGAGGAATTCACCCTGTGAATAGTGTTTGTAATGGAAAATAAAATACAAATTTTAAAACCTCTGTAGCGCTACTTCCGTAGGAATTTCTTTTGTGTGTGGATGTCAGGGTGCCCACGGCCCAGCTGTTGGTGCTATGCTCCACTTTGTGAGCAAAGCCAATGCTGGACCCACAGCCAGCTAACCCGGGGACCTGCTGGAGTAGGGGCCAGTGTTCATAAACTGCTGGGAAGTGCCCCCAGCACAATAATGCTCTTCTGGGGGTTCAAAATGGGGGAAGGGTATCCTCCCCTAAGTCAAAAGAATAAGAAAGGGGTAGCGGTCAGCCACCCTGGAGCCAAAGTGAGGCCCATGGTGCGCTGGGGGAGGAGGGAGCCTCGTGCTCACACCGGTCCTGCAGGCACCACTCAACTCTAGCATCAGAGTCCTGGGTTCAATCCCCAGCTCCACCAGCAACTGGCTGGCAAGCCTGAGTAAGCACTGCATCTCTCCAGGCCTTCTGCACTCCTCTAGGACAAGAAGGTGACAAGGGGCACATCTTGTAAGATTGTTAGAAGAATTTCAAAAGGCAGTGTGTATCAACTGCTTATTTTAAAGTCCCTGATACATACACAGGCACCAAGTGCTCAGGGAAAAGTTGGCTATTAACATGAGCTTTCTGGCCTCCACCGGAGATGCCGACTCTTTGGTCTCGGCTTCTTTTCTTTTGCAGATCCGTTCCTCCATGTGAGTGGTCCTGTCTTGCCCACCCCAGGAATGGGCACCTGACGAACCTGGACAATTATTAACACATCCTTCCCCCGCAGTGTAGCTGTGGGTTGGGGGGCACGTGACCCCCTTCAGCAATGCTCCTGTCTCTGGAATTACTCTCTGTCTGGTGATGTTGCAGGATTATCTCTGTCTCCTCCCTAGAAGGATTCTGCCTAAGAATGAAGTCGATGAAGGGAAGTAAGAACTGAGAGATGGAAGGAGAGATCTGGAAGGCCCCCTAGAGCCCCAGGTTCTAGCTATGTGAGAAGCCAGCACCACCCCCTGACACATTCTCATTATGGGAGCCAATAGGTCCTCTTTTCAGCTAAAGTTACCTTAAGTTAGATTTTTGTCTCTGACCTCCAGAAAGCCCTGTCTAATGCATACCATCCCCCAACACAGAGTGGAGACCATGAATAAGGGTGCGCACCAATGACAATGGGCGATAGTCAACCCTGTTATGTACCCAAATCACCTGTAGGCCTCTTAAAAGGACAGTCTAGGTCCTATCCCCAGAGATTCTGATTCGGTACAACTGGAGAGCATCTGGCCATCCTTCCATTTTAGTCCATAAAGGATGGGAAACCAGGCACCCCCCAGGAAACCCAAGGCATCCCAGTTACTGTGGGGAGAAGGAGGCTTGGTGCTGTCAGGCTGAAATCAGAACAAGCCACATCACACACTCAGAGAAAGGCCAAAATATCATCACCTTTGTTTTACTTGGTAAGAAATGGCCTGTTTCTGATAATAATCACGATCTTCCATTTGATGTAGCCAGAGATGCAACTGTAGCATGTTAATACTAAGAAGCCATTTCCATCATTCCTGAATTCAGGTTCACTCTGAGTCTGACAGTGTTTCCTTCCTTCCGCTGGCGTCGCCACCTCCACAAATATCACTTATGTGCAGGCAGCTCTTGTGTGCACTGTCCCCTTGCCCAGCACCGGCAGATGGGCCGACCCTGTGGAGCCACGGTGTGTCTGTGCCTTTCTGCATTCAGGGAGGCCTTTCCCCCAACCCCAGTGGGGCTTCTTTTCCCCCTGGAGGGCACTCCGCAACTGCATCTTTGTCCTCATGTTTAAAGGAGAAATAAAATCCTTTCTGCTATCATGCAGTGTAGGATGAGGAAGAGGCAGGTGAGCTATTTGAGTTAGGGCGATTTTAACTAGCTGGGGCTCTGAGAGCGGCCACAGACATCCAGCAAATGGTCCGCGGGACTCAACTTCTCACCAAGTCAGCCTGACTCTGGAGGCCATGGCCTTGCCACAGGTCACCTCTTAGCCTTATCCAACCCAAACATCAGTGCCTTTTCATTCCAAACATCTCAGACTCCTTCAAGCTCATTAACTCATGAGTACAGTTTATAGGGGCACTGGCTGCAAGGTAGGTTTCTCAAAACAGGGTGCAGGAACCATCCACAACCCAATGCCTTGGAAAGAGTAGGTTTGAAAAAACAAAAAGCCAGATACAGATTCCTAGGCCTCTCTTAGACCAATGAAACCAGACACTCTGGAGCCGGGGCCAGGGAATCTGCATTTGATTCAGCCCTGCTGAATCCAAGGCACACCAACATTTGAGAATCTCCATGGTGAGAGGCTGCTTCCTCTCTCTCCTTCCGTGCTAAATAGTGGAAACCAGACAGCTGGGCCCTAAGCGGGCACAGGGAGAAAGGCGGGGAGGCCACATCGCCTCCCCCAGAGCAAGGCATCTGTTAGGAGGCTCTCAGATGAAAGGCAGGAAGGAAAAATGGTTCTTCCACTAGGCTGGCATTTTAGAAAACTCTGTTTCAAACACCCTGAATTTTGAGCCCTGAAAATGGTTATTATTTTTGCCCTCATTACCTTCTTTCCCTATTTAAAATGGAATCATTGTCAGAAGAAAACTGCAGCTTCACACATCCCTGCCATAGCCTCACACAATAGACACTAAAAATAGGGCCCTGCTTCCAAGCTCCGCAAAACTCTCCAAAATGAGAAAATATATACATAACTGGAGGTCTTCCTGGCTTGTCTACTGACATCCGTTTTGCCTTTACTTTCCCCAAAATAGCCTTCCATTCTTTTTGGAATGACCTCATTTTCCTGATGTGCACCAGCTCCGAGCGCTGGGCAGGGGAGGGTGCTGGCCTGCCTGCCTCAACTATTCTTCCTGGGTTTTCTATTGCAACTTGTGAGTCAGTCATCTCTGGGGACAGAGCAGATCTGGAACCTTCTTGGCAAACGTCAGACTTGCCTGCAGATGTGACGATGGCATCCCTGCCCTGCCTACCTTTGACATTAGCCCGTGAGACAAAAACACTAGAGATTTGAACAGGATCAGCCAGGCAGGACGGGGGTCAGAGCTCCATACCTAGACTGAGGCAGAAGCCCCCGCACCGTGATGGGAATCGTAAGGGAAAGACCACAGAGTGACTTCATGAAGGGATGTGCTGGAAAGGCGGATTAAGAGGAATGTGGGCAGAAGCTCAGCGACAGGATGATGGGACTTTCGCAGGGGCAGACATGTTGCTGCCTTGGCATTATGGCAAATCCTAAGGCCTGAAATAGCACGGCTTCTTTTAAAATCCCTCCTGGCATCTGCCCACGGCACCCACACCCAGGAAATGGTGGGTGCGGTCTGTTTGCACCCACTGCGGTGAGCTAGAACAATTTCACTCACTTTGGAAAAGAATATAGACAGGAAATGATTGCAAAGCAGAGAAAGGCAGAGTTGTCATGGAATTATTCCATTCGCTTTGGCTTTTCCTTTTGTAGCTGGGGCACTGCTGTGACTATGGCATCTGCCGTGCACCCAGCTCACCAGGTGGGAGTTCCAACCTCAACTAAAGTAAAGCTTCTCCCATCCCCCATCAACTCCTTAGCTCATTCCCTAAGCCAGTGTCTAGAGATCACATGTCCCAGACCTGCCATAGGCTTGCTCCAGGGCCAGCGACGCCAACAGCCACTCCTGTCTGGGCCTAGTCCCCTCCTCTCTGCCGAATGGCCCAGAACCACTCACCAGCCCACGGCAAAATAGGCTCAGCAGGGTAGGGTCAACTCTACCATGGCGTTTTATTATCCTGAGAAGCCACAGTCAGACATATCAACCTGAACCAATGCCTGTCATCCACATGTCTTTCCAGCATCCTCTCCTCTGGGCATCTCTGGGCACACGCCATCTCTTGGGTAGCCGCCACTACACAATAGATGTGTTCCAGGAAAGTTATGCATGACAGGGATTTTTAAAATCTAGACTTGTGTGGAATGAAAATAATTATCTTAGTTGTTGTAGGAATTTTGTTTTCAGGACGAATTCTCCTAACCTGTAGCTCTCATGTGCAGATTTTCACTTTCAAGACTTATATGATCACATATATATTAACTCTTTTAGTTGTCCACTACCATTGATTGGAGTGGTTTCTAGCATGGTAGTAGACAACTAAAAGAGTTGATATATATGTGATTGCATTGCATATGTCTTAAAACAACCATTTTATTATTTCTCTCGATTCAATGAGTTGACTAGGCCTCAGCTGGAAACTTCTTCTGTTGACCTTGTATGGGGTGTCCCTTGTATGGGGTCTGCAGTCAGATGGCTTGGACATCCTGGACGGCTCCCCTCCCATGACTGGGGTCTTGCTGGAGCTGGCTGGAAGGCTGGGCCCTCTTGTTCAATTCACCTGATCTTTCCATGTGGCTACTAGCTTGGGCTTCCTTATAGCAGGGCGGCTGGCTCCAGGAGCAAGCAGTCCAAGAGGTTAATAAGCCCCATTGTGCTTGAGAACTTACCAAGCCTCTGTTTGCATCCCTCCTGCTAATACCCTCAGCCCGTCATGTGGCCAAGCTCAGAGACACTGTGGACAGCACCAGAAGGCTTCCTTGACAGCTACAGATATTACAGTCTACCATACCCATCATTCCATAAATGCAGCCTACTTAGAGATAACTGAGTCTGGCACACATGAAATCCTGTAAGCAAATTTCAGGTCTCCCTTTCTCAGGGAGGAAGCTACAACACACATAGAGCCACTCAGTGTGAAAGAAAGAGCCAGCCAGCTCTCCTTACCAGGCAAATTCTCATTAGCACCAAAGGAAGTTTGAGCACATTTTTGGTTTGTTTCTTTTTGTTGTCTTATTTTACTATTTTTAATAACTTTTTATTTTTTTGAGATGGAGTCTTGCTCTATTGCCCAGGCTGGAGTGCAGTGGCATGATCTTTGCTTACTGCAGCCTCTGCCTCCTGGGTTCAAGCGATTCTCCTCCCTCAGCCTCCTGAGTAGCTGGGATTATAGGCACCCGCCATCACGCCCGGCTAATTTTTGTATTTTTTTAGAGACGGGGTTTCACCATGTTGACCAGGCAGGTCTCAAACTCCTGACCTCAGGTGATCTGCCTGCCTTGGCCTCCCAAGGTGCCAGGATTACAAGTGTGGACCATCATACCCAGCCTTAATAACATTTTAATTGAAAAATAACACTTGTAAATAGTAACTCATAGTTCACTATTTACCTCCTTTAAATCACTAGATTTGATTGACAGTAACTATTTACATGACCTCTGGCCCACAGGCTTCTCTCGTGCTTCCCTCACCTGAGAAACAAGACTACCAAGTTTGCAAGGAGGTGCCTCAGTTCCCTGCAAATATGTCCACTTCAGAGAAGCCTTTGCCATCAGGTGCAGATCTTACATGCCATTGTCTATAGGACAGAAAATATCCAGTCTGCTGAAACATTTCCTCCCTTGGGCAGAGGTACTCATGATTTCTAGCACCTGGTGCTTAAAAAACTTCAATAGAGCAGGGGTTCCCAATTCCCAGACCGTGGACCAGTATAGGTCTATGGCCTGCTAGGAACTGAGCCGCACAGCAGGAGGTGATGAGTGGGTGAGCTCACATTACCTCCTGAGCTCTGTCTCGTGTCAGATCAGCAGTGGCATTAGATTCTTATAGGGGCATAAACTGTATTGTGAACTGTGCATTCAAGGAATCTAGGTTGTGCGCTCCTTATTAGAATCTAATCAGTGCCTGATGATGTGAGATGGAACAGTTTCATTTTTAAAATGAAAAAACTCTTGTTTTAGAAATTTTGCTTAGGTTAAACTTTATATATATATATATATCCTATTACTACTAATACTATGGAGAACACTGATAGTCCTTGATGGAAACTGTTTAGAGAGTTATGCAAAATAAATGCATTTGACACCTTTGCCTCCTCATCCATGGAACAATTGTCTTCCATGAAACCAGTCCCTGGTGCCAGAAGGGTTTGGGACATTGAAATGGAGGACTGGTTTTGTTTTGTTTTTAGTAACATTGATCCACTTTTCTGAGGTCCTGCAAGGAAAAAAAAGTGGATTTTAAAGCCTCAAAGAGGAAAATCAAGGATGATTATTTTGAATAACAGCAAGAAATAAAAATTCAAGACAAACCATATAGCAGTGTGACATAAAATAGCATAAAAGTGGCAAGGTGTAGCAAAAGTATTTTTTAAAACATTTCCTTAATGGAAAATTCGAAACACTTATGTAAGTAGACAGAATAGTATAATGAATCTCTTCTGTCCATGGTCTAGCTTCAATACTCATCAATTTACAGCCAACCTTCGTTCATCTTGACTTCCACTCATGCATTCCCTCCTCCTAATAATTTCGATGTACATCCCAGACATCATATTATTACAACTGTAAAAATTTCAGTGAATCTCAAAGTCATTGTGCTGAGTGAAAGAAGCTGGACAAAAACAATATATATTTTATTATTTGTTTAGAATTCTAGAACATGCAAACCAATCTATATTGACAAGAAGCTGATCAGTGACTGGGGACAGGACTGGGAGAGGCAAGAGGAAAGGATTACAAAAGCACCTGAGAAAATTTTGGAGAGGGTGATGAATACGTCCGTTATCTTGACTGTGGTGATGGTTTCACAGGTGGCTACACAAGTCGCAACTCACAAAACCGTGCATTTTAAGTACGAGCAGTTAGTTGTACACCAATTATACCACCATGGATTTATTTTAAGATAACACACTATGGTTGAAGATTGGGTTAATTAATTTATTTATTTTTTATTTTTTGAGACAGACTTTTGCCCTTTTCGCCCAGGTTGCTTCATTTCTTGGCTCACTGCAACCTCCACCTGCCAGGTTCAAACGATTCTCCTATGGCGTGAACTCAGGAGGCAGAGGTTGCAGTGAGCCAAGATCGCGCCTCTGCACTGCACCGCACTGCACTCCAGCCTGGGCGACAGTGCAAGATTCCGTCTCAAAAAAAAAAACAAAAAACAAAAAACAATCCTCCTGCCTCAGCCTCCCAAGTAGCTGGAACTACAGGTGCAGCAACCACACCTGGCTAATGTGTTTGTTTGTTTGTTTTGGTAGAGACGGGGGTTTCACCATGTTAGCCAGGCTGGTCTCAAATGCCTGACCTCGGGTGATCCGCCCACCTCGGCCTCCCGAAGTGCTGGGATCACAGGAGTGAGCCACCATGCCCGGCCTGAAGATTGGGTTTAAAAACAACCAGGGCTTTAAAAACTTGAGTTAGATGTTTAAAATAATTTGTTTTTTCTTTCTGTCCTCATTAACATAAATATTTAAGGATATGCCTTTTCCTTTGAGCACTGCTGCAGCTATACCCACAGGTTCTGTTATACAGTTTTGCAATTGCTGTTTTCTAAAATGTCTTTGTTAACGTAAAGTTAAGAGTTTTTTCTTTTAAAAACATTTCAGATGGAAGAATCTTTTTCTAGTTCTTTGTTATCAATGTCTAGTTTAATCCTATTATGATTAGGGGATTTGCTTGTACTATTTCTACTTTTGATAATTTGTTGAAATTTTATTATGTACATTTATGTAGTCAGAGTTCATGAATGTTTCACTGACCTTCGTAAAGAAGGTAAACTTTCCATTTTCAGGATATAGATTTTTGACATATATCAACCAGATCAATGTTCTTACTTTCTACTTATTTCTGTTATTTGATCTGACATGAATTAATAGCTTTGAAAAGTTTTCTACTACAAGTGTGTTTCTATTTCTCCTCATATCCTCTGTAATTTCTGCCTTATGAATATTGATGCTATGTGCTTTTGCACACAGACGCTTATTAGCTATTTCATCTTTTCTGTGCGTTGTGTCTTTTAGCATTAGAATGCTCCCTTGTTTGTCTCATTTAATGTTCTTTGGCCCTGAATTTCTTCCTCTTTGAAGGCAAACTGGCGACACTTGCTAGCTTTTGGTTTGCGCTTGCCTGGTGCGATGGTTAATACTGAGTGTCAACCTGACTGGATTGAAGGATGCAATATTGATCCTAGGTGTGTCTGTGAGGGTGCTGGCAAAGGAGATTAACATTTGAGTCAGTGGGCTGGGAAGGCAGGCCCACCCTTAATCAGGTGGGCACCATCTAATCAGCTGCTAGAGAGTATAAACCAGACGGAAAAACGTGAAGAAGAGAGACGGGCCTAGCCTTTCAGCCTACATCTTTTTCCCATGCTGGATGCTTCCTGCCCTTGAAGATTGGATTCCAAGTTCTTCAGTTTTGGGACTCGGACTGGCTCCTCTTGCTCCTCAGCTTGCAGACAGCCTATTGTGGCCTTGTGATTGTGTAAGTTAATATTTAATAAACATATATTATATATTATATATACATAATAAAATATATAATATATATAACAAAAATATATATATATATATATATTATATATATCCTATTAGTTCTGTCCCTCCAGGAGAACCCTGACTAATAAAGATTTTGGTACCAGGTAGTGGTTCTAGAGAAACAGAATATTACGGGTGGAGTTCTTTCATTGGTTTTGGGGTTTCTGGAGTTGGCTGCTTAATATGATTAAACACAAAAATGCTAAGGACTCTACTTCTAATAGTATGGAGAACACTGATAGTCCTTGGTGGAAACTGTTTAGAGAATTACACAAAATAAATGCATTTGACACTCCTGATTCACTGCTCATGAGAGTTTAGTGACACTTCACATAATACCTTCGGCCATATGTGGAGACCCAAGGAACATAATGAAGCTGGTTGATTGCTCCTAAGTTCAGTGGACAAAGTGATGACAGAAAATGGTGAACTCAGGGATTCTGTCTCCTGGCTTCAGAAGCAGATACTGACCCTCAAATCTGCTAAGATTGCCCTGAGTGAGAGTCTTGTCTCCTGTAGAGAAAGAGCTGAAATTGTGGAAAAACAGACACAAGCTCTTACCATGCGAGTGGCTGACCTGCAACAAAAGGTTCATGCACAGCCTCGCCAGCTGTCTACTGTTAAAGTGAGAGCATTGATTGGAAAAGAATGGGACCCTGCAACTTGGAATAGGGGCATGTGGGAGGACCCTGATGTTTGTAAACTCTGATGAACCTTTTTTGCCAGAAGGAACAGCTTCCCTATCCCCAGTAGTGGCAACATCCCCTCTCTAACCCATGCTGCCATCAGCCTTTCCACTTTTGTCTGAGGAGATAAACCCTGAGCTGCCTGAGGCAATAGTGACAGCCTCCCCTGAGGCAGTGGCCAGGTAAAATAATGTTGATTCTCCTCAGGAGCCAACCCCAACACCCCTTTTTGCTTCTAGGTAACTGCGTGGGGGAAAGGGAAATGATCAGACATTTGGGGGACTACTGGACACAGGCTCTGAGCTGACGTTGATTCCAGGGGACCCAAAACATAATTGTGATCCTCCAGTTAAAGGAAGGGCTTATAGAGGTCAGGTAATTAATGGAATTTTAGCTCAGGTCCAACTTACAGTGGGTCCAGTGGGTCCCTGGACTCATCCTGTGGTCATTTCCCCAGTGTCAGAATGCATAATTGGCATAGATAGCAGCTGGCAGAGCCCCCACATTGGCTCCGTGACTGGTAGGGTGAGGGCTATTATGGTGAAAGGTCAAATGGAAGCCATTAGAGCTGCCTCTACCTAGAAAAAATAGTAAATCAAAAACAATATCACATCCCTGGAGGGATTGCGGAGATTAGCGGCACCATCAAGGATTGAAGTATGCAGGCTGGTGATTCCCACCACATCCCCTTTCAACTCTCCCGTTTGGCCTGTGCAGAAGACAGATGGATCTTGTAGAATGACAGTGGATTATCATAAGCTTAACCAAGTGGTGACTCCTATATCAGTTGCTGTACCAGATGTGGTTTCATTGCTTGAGCAAATTAACATATCTGGTACCTGGTATGCAGTCATTGACTTGGCAAATGCCTTTTTCTCCATTCCTGTCCATAAGGCCCACCAGAAGCAATTTGCCTTTAGCTGTCAAGACCAGCAATATACCTTTACTGTCCTACTTTAGGGATATATTAACTCTTTGGCTTTGTGTCATAATCTTATCTGAGAGACTTTGATCGCTTCTCTCTTCCATGAGATATCACACTGGTCCGTTACATTGATGATATTATGCTGATTGGATCCAGTGAGCAAGAAGTAGTAAATACACTGGACTTATTGGTGAGACATTTGCATGACAGAGCATGGGAAATAAATCTGACTAAAATTAAAGTAACTTCTACGTCAGGAAAATGTCTGGGGGTCCAATGGTGTGGGGCCTGTAGAGATATTCCTTCTAAGGTAAAGGATAAGTTGCTGCGTTTGGTCCCTCCTACAACCAAGAAAGAGGCACATGCCTAGTGGGTCTATTTGGATTTTGGAGGCAACACGTTCCTCATTTGGGTGCCTTACTCTGGCGCATTTATTGAGTGACCCAAAAGCCTGCCAGTTTTGAGTGGGGTCCAGAACAGAAGAAGGCTCTGCAACAGTTCCAGGCTGTTGTGCAAGCTGCTCTGCCACTTGGGCCATATGACCCAGCAGATCCAAAGGTGCTTGAAATGTCAGTGGCAGATAGGGATAGATCTTGGAGAATGACAGTGGATTATCATAAGCTTAATCAAGTGGTGACTCCAATTTCAGCTGCTGTACCAGATGTGGTTTCATTGCTTGAGCAAATTAACACATCTGGTACCTGGTATGCAGCCACTGACTTGGCCTTCGGAGCCTTTGGCAGGCTCCCATAAGTGAATCACAGTGGAGGCCTGTAGGATTTTGGAGCAAGGCCCTACCATCTTCTGAAAATAACTACTCTCCTTTTGACAGACAGCTCTTGGCCTGTTACTGGGCTTTGGTGGAAACTGAATGTTTGACTATGGGTCATCAAGTCACCATGCGACCTGAACTGTCTATCATGCACTGGATGTTTTCTGACCCATCTGGTCATAAAGTGGGTCATGCACAGCAGCATTCCATCATCAAATGGAAGTGGTATATATGTGATCGGGCTCGAGCCGGTCCTGAAGGCACAAGTAAGTTACATGAGGAAGTGGCTCAAGTGCCCATGGTCTCTACTCCTGCCACCTGCCTTCTCTCCCCTAGCCTGCACCGATGGCCTCATGGGGAGTTCCCTGTGATCAGTTGACAGAGGAAGGGAAGACTAGGCCCTGGTTCAGAGATGGTTCTACATGATATGCAGGCACCACCCGGAAGTGGACAGCTGCAGGACTACAGCCCTTTCTAGGACATCCCTGAAGGACAGCGGTGGAGGGAACTTCCCAGTGGGCAGAACTTCGAGCAGTGCACCTGGTTATGCACTTTGCATGGAAGGAGAAATGGCCAGATGTCTGATTATATACTGATTCATGGGCTGCAGCCAATGGTTTGGCTGGATGGTCAGGGACTTGGAAGAAGCATGATTGGAAAATGTGTGACAAAGAAATCTAGGGAAGAAGTATGTGGATGGACCTCTCTGAGAGGTCAAAAACTGTGAAGATATTTGTATCCCATGTGAGTGCTCACCAATGGGTGACCTCAGCAGAGGGGGATTTTAACAATCAAGTGGATAGGATGACCTGTTCTGTGGACACCACTCAGCCTCTTTCCCCAGCCACTTCTGTCATCACCCAATGGGACCATGAACAAAGTGGCCATGGTGGCAGGGATGGAGGTTACGCATGGGCTCAGCAACATGGACTTTCACTCACCAAGGCTGACCTGGCTATGGCCACTGCTGAGTGCCCAATTTGCCAGCAGCAGAGACCAACACTGAGCCCTTGATATGGCACCATTCCTCAGGGTGATCAGCCAGCTACTTGGTGGCAGGTTCATTACACTGGACTTATTCCATCATGGAAAGGGCAGACGCTTGTCCTCACTGGAATAGACACATACTCTGGACATGGGTTTGCCTATCCTGCATGCAATCTTTCTGCCAAGACTACCATCTGTGGACTCACAGAATGCCTTATCCACCGTCATGGTATTCCACACAGCATTGCCTCTGACCAAAGCACTCTCTTCATGGCTAAAGAAGTGCGGCAGTGTGCTCATGCTCATGGAATTCACTGTACCATGTTCCCCATCATCCTGAAGCAGCTGGATTGATAGAACGGTGGAATGGCCTTCTGAAGTCACAATTACAATGCCAACTAGGTGACAATACTTTGCAGGCCTGGGGCAAAGTTCTCCAGAAGGCCACGTACGCTCTGAATCAGTGTCCAAAATATAGTACTGTTTCTCCCATAGCCAGGATTCATGGGTCCAGGAATCAAGGAGTGGACTTGGAAGTGGCACCACTCACTATCAGCCCCATTCTTGTTCCCACGACATTACATTCTACTGGCCTAGAGGTCTTAGTTCCAGAGGGAGGAATGCTGCCACCAGGAGAAACAACAACGATCCCATTAAACTGGAAGTTAAGATTGACACCTGGCCACTTTGGGATCCTTCTACCTTTAAGTCAACAGGCTAAGAAGGGAGTTATAGTGTTGGTTGGGGTGATTGACCTGGAATATCAAGACAAAATCAGTCTACTACTCCACAATGGAGGTAAAGAAGAGTAAAAATGGAATATAGGAGATCGATTAGGCAGTCTCTTAGTATTACCATGCCCCATGATTAAGGTCAATGGGAAACTACTACATCCCAATCCAGGCAGGACTACAAATGACTCAGATCCTTCAGGAATGAAGGTTTGGGTCACTCCACCAGGAAAAAAAAATACGTCCTGCTGAGATGCTTGCTGAAGGCAAAGGGAATACAGAATGGGTAGTAGAAGGAGGTAGTCATCAATACCAGCTATGACCATGTGACCAGCTGCAGAAATAAAGACTGTAATTGTCATGAGTATTTCCTCCTTCTTTTATTAAAAATATATTTGTACATGTATACACTTGTACTAAGAAAATATCTTTGTTTTATTTCCTTTTCCTTTATCATGTGACATAAGATTTATTGACTTCATATCAGCATTTAAGTATTGTTAACTTTATGTAATAGTACTTGGTTGGGGATTGGTGTGTTTCCAGTTGTATGAAGGATAGTTGTATTACGTTAGGTATAATTATGACCTTATTATTGTCTTTATTTGAAGATTATGTATGATCTCAGGAGATGTGTATGGGTTCAAGTTGACAAGGGGTGGACTTGTGATAGTTAATACTGAGTGTCAACTTGATTGGATTGAAGGATGCAATATTGATCCTGGGTATTTCTGTGAGGGTGTTGCTAAAGGAGATTAACATTTAAGTCAGTGGGCTGGGGAAGGCAGACCCACTCTTAATCAGGTGGACACCATCTAATCAACCACCAGTGAATATAAACCAGGCAGAAAAATATGAAGAGGTGAGACAGGCCTAGCCTCCCAGCCTACGTCTTTCCCTTGTGCTGGATGCTTCCTGCCCTGAAATATCAGACTCCAAGTTCTTTAGCTTTGGGACCCAGACTGGCTCTTGTTGCTCCTCAGCTTACAGACAGCTTATTGTGGGACCTTGTGATCATGTAAGTCAATACTTAATAAACTCATACATATATATATATCCTATTAGTTCTGTCTCTCTAAGATAACACTAATACACCTGGTACACATTTGTTCATTCTTATCATTTCCAATCTTTTATGGTTCACTTGTTTTAGATATGTTTCCTTTAAACAGCATAGAATTGGATGTTGCTTTATGATACAATGTGAAAATCATTTACCTTAATGAATGAATCCAAGGGGGAAAATCACGAACTGTGTTTCCCCTGCTCTTACACCTACAACAATCAACACACAAGACTTCTGTGACCAGATGTGTTAGGGGAGGGGTTCCCCACAACCAAGCAAGCAATCCATTCTGCCACAGGCACCAGCTGGGTGTCCTCAAATTCAATTCTAACACCATCTACCTGGAGGTAGCATCAGATCCCCCAGGTTGAGGGCTCAGTCTGCAAGACTGACCCCCACTTCCAATGCCAATTGCAAGCCCCGGGTTTTTCGTGTGCTTCTGACTGAGTGGCTACAAATAGGAGATTTGACTAATTTACTAGAGCGGCTCTCAGAACTCAGGGAAACACTTATGTTTACCAGTTTATTATAAAGAATATGACAAAGAATACAGATGAAGAGATGCATAGGGCAAGGTATGGGGGAAGGGGCGTGGAGTTTCCCTGCCTTCCTGTGCTGTACCACCCTGTAGGAACCTCCAAGCATCTAGCTATCCGGAAGCTCTCTGAACCTTGTCCTCTTGGGCCTTTTATGGAGCCTTCATTGGATAAGCTTGATTGATAACCATGTAGAAATGTAACTGGACAAAAAGGGCATGATCTAATGCTAATAGACTGAGTGGGGAAACCTGGCAAGGACTGTCTGTTCAGATTCTTCCTGGCCTCTTTGTGTGACACTCCTTCCTCCAGGGTGCAGGGCAGGATCATGTCTGAAATGGAGATCTGATGTCCCACAATGAGATAAGGTAGGTCAGAGAATTGCCAAGACAGAAAGGCAGGGGAAGATTAGAGTCCTGCCTTGGGGAGGGAAAGGAGCAGGTGAAAGGAGAGCAAGGGATGGCCAGAGAGAGAGAGAGATTCTGTTTTCTGAGGCTGGCCCAAGGGCCCCAATATTATAACAAGGGCTATGGGAGTTATAAGCCAGGAACCATGGATAAAAACCTATATAGATATCATAATATCACAGTGAGTTAATAAAAATATATATAGATATATACATATCATCGTATCACAATGAGTTAATGTCATTTATATTTATTGACATGACAGGTGAGTTGATCTTTGATCTGTTGTTGTTGTTTTTGTTGTTGTTCTCTGAATACAATTATTTAAAGTCTTTCAACATAAGGTCAGTTTGCTTTTTTGGGAGTGGGCAAAGAGAAAAGAGAGAAGAGAGGAGAGGCGACGAAAGGAGAAAAGGCCACAGGAGACGAGAAGTGAATTAAGTTCTGGTATTTAGAAGGATTTTTAATGTGGTTTCATTATTTCTTTGTAATCATATTGTCATATAAAACTCTGGTCATCTGCTTCATAAACAGCATTAGGCCATAATAAAATAAGTGTGTATTTTCTTCCCTTTCTCCTATCTCTCCCTCCACTTCCTGACTCAATTCAATAATATTATCTTTGTTAATTTTTACTTTGGACTCTTAAATACATTTTTAACAAAAACACTGTTTGTTTCTTTGGCTTTAAATTATTTCTTTTGTCTCCCTGAGTTTATCCAAGAAGCAATTACTTTACTTCCTGCCATCTTTACCCCTTTCCCATCCCAATTTGTGTTAGTTGTGTTATTTCTACATTGCCAGGGCTTATAAGATTTACATCCCATTATGTTACACTAATCCCCACATTATATTTAGTCTTAGATCTGAACTTAAGTATAATCAATACTTACAGTCAGACTTGTGGTTAAAGCTTCCATAGTAGACTCTCAATTGGCTGACGTTCATTTTCTGGTCATTTCCTTAAGAAGGTTCACAAGAACTATACTTTCTAAGCTCTTGTATGTTCAAAACATTCTGCTATAGCCTTTGTAATTGTTGAACAGCTTGGATGATATAAAATTCTTGGTTTGCACTTTCCTTAAATATCTTCTAAATGTTTCTCTATCCTCTTCTAATGTTAAATGCTGTTTTGATGAAGTCTGAGTTCAACTCGACTTTTTTTTTCCCTGTATGTGACTTAGTATTTTGTGCTTTACTGCCTAAAGGATACTTTCTTTAAATCCAATAACTTGACTAGATTGCATCTCAGGTGGAGACTGTTTTAAATCAGGTTTCCCTGGGAAGTAGTGTGAACATCCGATATGCAGATTCAAGTCTTGCTTTATTTTAGGAAATGTTTTGAATTGTATTTTAAAACGTTTTTTACATCCTATTGTTTTGGCTTCTTCAGAGACTCTAGTTTTGCACGTGTGGCTTTCCTTCACCTCCCTGTTATTGCGATCACTTTCTCTCTAATCTTAACTCCCTGTCTCTACGACATCAGATTTGCATTCCACACTCCCATCCTGTGCTTCTCTTACAGAGCCTTTTGCAGTGACTTCGCCCCCTTATTATCCTCTGCTTCTTTCCTGAGTCTTCTAGCTCCATCTCATCACTTCCCATCAGCTTTTCATCTTCTATTTGAGTTCCTGCATTTGTGCTTTGTGGTTTTCCATTAGAGATCAAATTGCCTTGTCAAGGTGCTTTGTTTCTAATTCATGGTGGAATGTTTCATCATAATTTTCACCTCTTCCAGCCCACATTTTACGGGTGCATGTTCTTCGGTTGATGTGATTTGCTGCTCTTTGTGTCTTATAGAATGTTTGTATTGAGGTTATTCCATCTTCTTTTAAATTATTCATGGAGTGTACTGGTTGAACTTCCCTAGATCAGCTTTTTGCAAGATGTTCTAACCAGGGGTGGGGCAAGGACAGTCTTCCAGAATTCTTCATCTCACAGGACCTCTTTCTCTTTGTTTTCACAGAGACAGACTTCTTCCTGAAAATATGGTATTATCCTTTATAGAGCTCTGCCTCCTCAGCTTCTCTGAATCATACTGGGTCCCTGAGGGCTTTTGCTGCAGGGACCTCTAGCTCCTTCCCAGGAAATGCAAACAAGGGGCCGGTGTGTGCCTCATCCTTGGGAAGTGTAGTTCTGCTTGTGCTCTCAAAGTTCCGCTGCCGCCCTAGATGCTGCTCCTCTTCCTGTGAGCTTGCAGCTCTTTGCAGCCCTTACCCATGTTTTGGAGTCTATAGATTATATCTGTCTCTAAGTTTCAATGCAAATGAAACTCTCTGAAGCTGCATGTGATTTCCATGAGGAAAAGGAAGCACCACTTCCATGCTCATTTCCAAGTCTGATGATTCGGGGGAATTGATGCTGAGTTCCAAGCCATCCTTCCCAAGGCTTTTGACCAGGTGCAGCCAAGGTACTCTTCCTCCACCACTTTCCTTCCTTCTCTCTGGGCCCTGCATCGCTGCTCCAGCAGGTAATGTGGTAATATACAATAATGGTAATATACAATATACCACATACAATATAATATAATATACAATATAATAATGGTAATATACAATATACCACATCACAGTAGTGATGCAGTAATATACAGTAATGTGGTAATATACAAGAGGGAAGAGGAGGTCAGTGAGCATACGTAGGAGCTGTAGGAAAGAACAGAATTCATGTGCCATCAAAAAGCATTCAGCATCAACTAAGGGGAAAATATGCACACACACACACACACACACACACCCATCCACTCCCCCACACACATTACATAGGACAAATAGAACATACCTGGAGGACACTGGTAGACCACTTCTGGTCTATATCATCTCTAGGGTCCTTCTCTGCCATCTTGTGTTAAGGATCCACCATCACCATCCGTGTTAAAATTTCATCTTAATTGGGAGGCCATTAGGTGATGGTGGCTTTGTTCTTTAAATTTCTTCATAAGCAAGCACAAACTCTAGGTAAACAGCAAACGAACCTGGACACTTTTCCAGTCAGAAACCCTCAATGAATCTCTAACCAGGGACTTTCCATTCTAGCGAATTGAATCTATTTTCTTTGTATCCCTTCCGCTCCAGCCTATAAAGGCCCAGTGCCCACACTGCTCAGCAGAACTCCCAGAACCTCCTCTGGTTCTGAGTGCTGCCTGATTTGTCAATTGTCCTTTGCTCCAGTAAGCCCTATTAAGTTTATTTGGTCTAAAGGTTTTCTTTTAACACCTATCATGACTGCATGTTATCTTGGCGGCTTCTCCACTCCCCACCAGCCCTGAGGCTATCCTTGATGCTGATTTCCTCTGCATCACCATGCGTTTATAGAGCAACACTGTTCTCCACCTGAACCCCAGAACTCTAGATTTGGCCCTGTTCCAGTCTGAGCTGTTTGCCTTAGGCAGTTTCCTTCTTAACACCCAAGTCCTTAACCCGAAGCAGCTCTGTGCAGGCGGGAGCTGGCCTGGGCTCATGCACCACACTACGGGGGCTCTAGTTGCTTCCAGAGTGAAATTTTGGCCACAGTAACTTCTCAGGTCCATGCCTACGTACAGAGTGTGGGGATATTAGGGTAGGGCAGCCCTGCCTGGAGCAAGACAAGCTGGGTGACCTGAAAGGAGGAGACAGAGGGATGCTGATGTGGCAGGACAGCCAGAGTGGGCCTAAAAGAGACGCTGAAGACAGGTCCTCAAGAGGAGACATGGCCCTGCATGCCACCTGGGGCTGCATGGAGATTCCTAGGCTGCTGTAGGCTCCCAGCTGCTCTGGAATGGAGTCGGGATGTTGTTGGAGAACAGCCTGGCAGGGGTGGGGGCCAAGCGGTCTGGACACCTACCAGAAATAAACAGACTGCAATGAAACAGATCAAGAATCCCTTCCAATTAGGACAGTTGTGTAGATTTAAAAAAAATTCTTTTTTTTTTCCTGAAATAGGAAAGGGAACAAAATGCAAAAATCTGTTCTTTTCTTCCAAAAGACTTTAAGTAGCAAATAAGCAAGGTGTCAGGACTGGGAAAGCCTTCTGTCTAGGCTCTGAGTAAATGAACTTGCCTTTTGGTATAGAGCTTGAGTTAAAATTAAAAAGATACATATGCATATCTTGCAACAAGAATGATTCTACATGCAACGCCTTAAAAAGAAATCTGAACATTTTTCTGAGTAGGGCAAGCGAAGAGAACAGACAACCATCCCTCCTCCAGAAATCCATCAACAGCCCCTCTGCTTCCACAGCTGATGAAATTTCTCAGAGCAGCTTCCCAAGTGTCCTCGTGGTCTGAAAACAGAGCAGAGGTCTTCACTGGGCTCTTCTGGATAAAGGCACTTACAGTACCCTAGTAACAAAGACACCATCCATGTAAAGGACCGCCCCGCCCACCTCCACGTCTGCCCCCAACTCCAGTGGAGTCTTCAAAGTCTGCAGAAATATCTGCAGTCCTTATACCAATTATCTGTGTTACCCCGTTCTTATGTAAATTTCAATCCAGTTTTAAATTCAAATTTAGATTACGTATTTTGAAGACCTAGAATAGTGCCTGGCTCATGGTTGACACTCAATGTGTCTAACTTCTCTCTCTCTCCTAATTTCAACTGTAATTGACTCTTTGAAAACCTGACCCCAAATAGTTTAATGTATTTCCCATATAGTCACAGATGCAGCCCAGCAGAGGGCTGCCAGCAACCTTAGGAAGGGCTTATTGAAGCATTAGGATGACACCCCAAATCTTTACCTCTACTAGAAAAACAGCTGTGTCAAGTTTAGTCTAGGAATGTTGGCAGGTATTAGAAACAGCCTGAGCAATGCAGATTTGGGAATTTTTAGGGTGAACTTATTTCAGAGGGTGAGCTGGTTAGAAAGTTGCCAGGGAGGGAAGTTGTCTGCCCATAACCCTGGGGTAAGTCATTGAGACTGGACCACACCATGTGTTTTTTACTTCCATATAGTTACTTGTTTCATGACCTCCAAACTGTCATTCATGGCTTCTCCAAATAGACCACTTCAGCTTCACTGTAGGTAACTAGGGTCTGAACTGACTTAGCCCAGGTAAGGGAGGTACTGTGCACTGTCATACACAGAGGCAAGGAAGAAGGGGGTGCTCCCAGGACCATATGTGTAGAGCATATTTCCTTGTTCCTAAGCATGGCCATGGAATTGGATTTCCCCCCTGAATTTAGCAATGCAGTCAGGCCCCAAAGAAATCTGAGACCATCTGATTAACCCAAGGACACGCAGGGACATATTGTGTAGCTTCTGTCCTCAGCAGCCCCCTCCGTGCTCCCACATTACTCCCCTGAGCAAGGCAGCTTCCTCCTTTGGGTACCTGCATTTTTGCCAGTAGAAATGCCCACCAGGAATCATGAGCACTGGACATCTGCCCTGCCTGCTTCTGCCCTCTTAGAAGTACAGTTTGGATCACTTGCACTTTTCCAGCAAATTACTCTTCCTTCCCTGACACCATCCTCACTGCTTCCTTGCTACTTGAGTGGAAGCAGCCCATGGGATGGAGTCCAGCTGAAACCTTTGGTAGACAATGGGAAACTCCACAAGTTGTTTCCCATCCAGGTGTGAAAAAAAGCAGAGACAAACATTTTCCCTGCCCAAGCCACTCCAATAGCTGGTGCAACCCCTTGGGAGTGGTGTTAGTGCATTCTTGGAGTTTTGTCTGGGAGCTGGGTGGGAAGCATTTACAATTTTTTTGTGATGTGCCCATTTCAGGGAGGTCTGCCAGTAATGCTCAGAGGACTGGATGAAGGTTGACCCTTTGGTATTTGCTTGAAGTCTCATTCAATCTACCACCTTAAAATAAAATGTTCTTAGTTCAGAATCTATAAAAGGGATTTTTAAGGGATTTCAGCACATTTCAGGGATATTATTAGACTAAAAGCAAGAGCTATGGTTTGCAGAAGCCACACTGTATGGATGATGCAGTTATTATTTCCATTATTAAAACCCCACTCAGTGCTGTCATAGGGAGACCACTCAAGCCTTGCTGAAAGGGGGATACAAGTTAAATTCAGTGCTCTAAGCCACAGCATCTAAACTTTTGTATCCGAGGCCCCTTCTTTACTATTAATGTATAAATCTCATACTGTTCCCATCCCGCCCTCAAATTCTGCAAGTCACCCAGCTAAAAATCGCTATATACTTTGCATATTTCCTTTACCCCAAAAAAAACTTCTGTTGAATGTTACTTTGGGTAGTTTGTACTATAAAAACTAATAGCTTTTTTAAAACTTTGTAATGGTAAATGCCTACACAATGTTGAATATGCTGTTTGCACTACACTTGGCTTCTTAAGTGTCTCTGATTGGGGATGAAGTCCAAGGGTAGACCCCACCTGCTAGATGATCACTGCTCAAGTGCTTACTGTTTTATTGTTAGGTTGGTAGATGAATAAGCCTAGACCACCTCCACATTTTGCAGGGAGCAAATCTCCTTGCAAGGGCAGGGAGGTGGCCAGGCTCAAAATGGGGAAGTAGCCATGACAGCACCATCCAGAAATTTCTGGACCATTGGAATTGGGAAAATCAGCAACAAAATGGATGTATTAGAACACATGGCAGGAGGAGGGGATGTGTCACCATGGCCAATGGGCCACTGTAGCCTGACCCATTTCTCCTTGCTGCCTGACTTTTGATTTCGGGATGAAAGATGAGAAAACATGGCCAGTTATAATATTAACCTTTTAGTAGCAATGTTTTCATGGTCATTATTCTCATTGACATTTGCAGGAATCAGTTGTTGCTGCATGACCAACCATCTCAAAGCTCAATTGCTTAAAACAATTCCATTTCCCATTGCTCACAGTCTGCAGATCAGCCGGGCAGTCCTTCTGGACTCAGTGGGGGCTTGTGCCACCAGCTGTGGCGCTGCAGGTGGCTCTCTTGATCTGGGCTGTGCTTCCTTGTTTTGTGGGGGTTTGGCTCCTCTATGGCTATAAACTTCCAAAATGCTTGTGACTGGGCCAGCTGGGTTCTCCCTCAGGAGCTTCTTACCCACAGCAGGCCAGCCCAGGCCTGTTCACAGGACAGTGCCAGGGGCCCAAGACAGTGGAGCACTGCAGGACCTCTGTGGGCCTCCACTTTTCCTGCATCTGATTGGCCAAAGCTAGTCACAAAGCAGACCAAATTCAAGAGGAAAAGGAACAGACTACCTTCTGATGCCAGGCCCAGCAATGTCACATTGCAAACATGGATGCAAGGATGGAACAGTGAAAAAATTTGAGACATTTCCCATTCACTCTACCACAACATTCTTCTGTTCCAAAGAGTAAATGACCTAAAACACAATTTTCCCCTGGGACTCAATAAAGGTATTTATATTTTAATTTTTTTAAAAGGTGGCTTATTTTGACCCAGCAATCCCATATACTGGATATACACCCTAAGGAATATAAATCATTTTACTATAAAGACACATGCACATGTATGTTTATTGCAGCACTATTTATAATAGCGAAGACATGGAATCAACACAAATACCCATCAATGATAGACTGGATAAAGAAAATGTGGTACATATATACCACAGAATACTATGCAGCCATAAAAAGGATGAGTTCATGTCCTTTGCAAGGATATGGATGAACCTGGAAGCCATCATCCTCAGCAAAGTAACATAGGAACAGAAAACCAAACACCACATATTCTCACTCATAAATGTGAATTGAACAGTGAGAACACATGCACACAGGGAGGGGGACAACACACACTGGAGCCTGTCAGGGGATGTGGAGTGAGAGGAAGGAGAGCATCAGGACAAATAGCTAATGCATGTGGGGCTTAAAATTCAGATGACAGGTTGATAGGTACAGCAAACCACCATGGCACATGTATACCTATGTAACAAACCTGCACATTCTGCACATGTATCCCAGAACTTAAAGTAAAATAAAAATACAATTAAAAAGGTGGCTTATGCGTGGACAATTGTTCACTGCTCTATTAGAACTAGAACTGGAGTTTCATCATCTCAGTGAGTGGAATAATATAAACACGAATGATTAGGTCAAAATAAAGCATTCAAACCAGCAGTCACCTGGAAGCACTTGTTAAAATGCAGATTCATGGCCCCAGACAATCTAATTCAATAAAGACCAGGATAAGACCCTGGAATCTGCATGATAACAAGCACCTCAGGAGGAATGATGCAGGTGATCCTGGAAACCTTATCTGAGAAACACTGGTCTAAATTTACTCAGACACAGGTTAAGTGGAAATATTTCAAAAAATGGGAATGTGGGGGAGAACATCTTAAAAACTGCTGGCCTGGGGGTCTCATACTTAAGCTTAAATTGATGTATTTTATTAGTTGCTGGCTCCCAGCTTAGTCCTGAGAATATGTTTTCCATCCCTTCAAGAACATGGAATGACAAGAGAGGAGGAAGGGATAAAGAATGAGAAGGAAGAAGAATATTTCTGTTTTTCTCTCTCTACAGGTAGATTCCTTGTACTTTCATGCTAATGAACCCAAGTAAGGCTGTCTGGATGCTGAAGGCTCTCACTGCCCCGGAGTCAGCCCAGAACCATGAAGGCAGGCTGTGGCTGGCAGAAAGGACTGCCACTCCCTCTCAATACACCCTGCTTATTTCTCATTAACTGGATCTGAAGGCAGCCAAAATATCGATTAACTTAGGGGTTAATTTGTGTGGTTCTGATTAGTCAAGATTTTCTTGATTGAATACAAAAGGCTTTCATTTTAAAAAATCAAAAATTATAAATTTTAAAGAATATTTAGTGCAAATTAAGAACAGACTTTCTTTTTTTACTCTAAGTTCTAGGATACATGTGCAGGATGTGCAGGTTTGTTACACAGGTAAACATGTGCCATTGTTGTTTGCTGCACCTATCACCCATCACCTAGGGATTAAGTCCAGCATGCATTAGCTATCTTTCTTGATGCTCTCCCTCCCCCAACAGGATCCAGTGTGTGTTGTTCCCCCCAGTGTGTACCTGTGTTCTCATTGTTCACCTCCCACTTATAAGTGAGAACATGCAGTGTTTAGTTTTCTGTTCCTGTGTGAGTTTGCTGAGCACGATGGCTTCCAGCTCCATTCATATCCCTGCAAAGGACATGATCTCATTCCTTTTTATGGTTGCACAGTATTCCGTGGTGTATATGTACCACATTTTCTTTATCCAGTCTATCATTGATGAGCATTTGGGTTAATTCTATGTCTTTGTTATTGTGACTAGTGCTGCAACGAACATACACATGCATGTATTTTTATAATAGAATGATTTATATTCCTTTGGGTATATACCTAGTAATGTGATTGCTGGGTCAAATGATATTTCTGTTCTAGATCCTTGAGGAATCACCACACCGTCTTCCACAATGGTTGAACTAATTTACATTCCCACCAATAATGTAAAAGCATTCCTGTTTCTCCACAGCCTCGCCAGCATCTGTTTTTTCTTGACTTTTTAATAATTCCCATTCTGACTGGTGTGAAATGGTATCTCATTGTGGTTTTGATTTGCATTTCTCTAATGATCAGTGATGAGCTTTTTTTCATATGTTGGTTGGCTGCATGAATGTCTTCTTTTGAGAAGTGTCTAGAACAGACTTTCTTATAAAAACCAATGCAGCATGCTTTCTTGTGAAATGTAACAAGAAATATTTAAAAAATAAAACTAACCATAGATCCCACAGCCACTGAAATGACAATAAAGAAATACTGTGAATAACTCCACATACATAAGTTCAACAACTTAGATGGAATGGATCAATTCCTTAAAAACCACGAACTACCCAAACTCACTCAAAATGAGACAGATAACCTGAATAGTACTAATTTATAGTTTAAAAATTTTACAAACGAAATCTCCAAGCCAAGATGGTTTCACTGGCAACTTCTACCACACATATAAGAAATAACACTAAATATGCACAATCTCTTCCAGAAAAGAGGAGGGAATATATCCCGCCTAATTTTATGAGCCCATTTTTACCCTGATATCAAAACCAGACAAAGACAGTATAAAAATTAAATCTACAAACTAATATCTCTCATCAATTTATTTACTTATTTATTATTTATTTATTTGACAAGGCCTCGCTCTGTCACCCAGCCTGGAATGTAGTGGCATGATCACAGCTCACTGCAGCCTCCACCTCCCAGGCTCAGGTGATCCTCCCACCTTAGCCTCCCAAGTAGCTGGGACTGTAGGCATGCACCACCCCTGGCTAATTTTTGTCTTTTTGGTAGAGATGAGGTTTTGTCATGTTGCCCAGGCTGTTTCTCATGAATCTAAATGTCAAAATATTCAACAAAATATTAACAAATGGAATCCAGCAATATATAAAAGAACTTATACACCACAACCAAGTAAGATTTATTCTAGTTACGCAAGATTGCTTCATCATTCAAAAAATCATTCAAAGTTATCCACTGTGTCAATAAGCTAAGGAGAAATATCATATGATAATGTAAATTGACACAGAAAAAATATTTGACAAACTACAACACTACCTCATGATAAAAATTATCTGCAAGTTAGGAATAGAGGGAATCACTTCAACCTGATAAAGAGCATCAACAAAAACCTGCATCTAATATCATACTTAATGGGGAAAAACTGAATACTTTGCCCCTAAGGTCAGGAACAAAGCCAGGGAAGGATGTCCACTATCACCACAGTATACGTCATAACACTAGAACTTCTAGACTCTGCAATAACGCATGAAAAATAAATAAAATACATACAGATTGGAAGGAAGACATAAAACTTTCCCTATTTGCAGTTTACACAATTGTCTATATAGAAAACCCAAGAAGTCTACCAAAAGCTCCTTTAAGGAATCAGTGAGTGTATTAGTCCACTAGCGCTACATAACACAATACTGCAGACTGAGGGGCTTAAACCGAAGAAATTTATTTTCTCACACTTCTATAAGCTAGAAGTCCAAGAGCAAGGTGCTAGCAAGTTGATTTCTGGTGAGTCCTCTCTCCTTTGCTTGCAGATCACTGCCTTCTTGCTTACATGATGTTTTCTCTACACTTGCATTCCTGGTATCTTCTCCTCTTCTTATAAGGACACTAGTCCTATTGGATTGGAGACCCACCATTATGACCTCATTTAACCTTAATTACATCCTTAAAACCCCTATCTCCAAATACAGTTAACTGGCTTCAATATGTAAATTTTTGGGGAAAACATAATACTGAGTTTAAACACATTCTAGAATATAAGGTCAATACAAAAAATCATGTATATTTATAAAGATAGTAATAAACAATCAGAAACAAACAAAAAATGATAAGAGCTCCCCCCCAAAAAGAGATACGTATAAATAATTTTAACAAAACATACATAGAATCTATGTGCTGAAAACACTAAAATGCTGATGAAATAACTCAAAGAAGACCTCAATATATGGAGAAACATACTATGTTCATGGATTGGCAGACTCAACAAGAAAAAGGACAATTTTACCCAAATCAATCTATGCTTTTGATGTAATGTCAATCAAAACTCTAGCAGAATTTTTTGCAGATATTTGACAAGCTGATTTTGAAATTCATATAAAAGGCAATGAAACTAGCATAGCCAAAAGAAAATTGGCTTTGGAAGAATCCCACTATCTAATTTTAAGACTTATAAGAATCAAGACAGTGTGGTATTGGCAGAGGGAGAGACACATAGATCAACAGAACAGAATAGAAAGTACAGAAATAGACACAAATCAATCTTGTTTGTCAAATGTGCAAAGGAAATTCAATGAAGAAATGATAGTGTTTTCAACAAATTGTGTTGGCATTTATACACACAAAAACATGAACCTCAACCCTGCAGCTAGTTGTAACCATGTAACTAGGTTTTGGGCAGTGGGATATAAGTAATTACTTAAAGATGAAGCTGTTGAGATTCTCCTAATCCTCCAGCCCCTCTCCTGGAGGTGGTGCTGGCGAGCTACTTTCAACCACGAAGTTGAGAACAACTGGAGCAGGAGCCTTAACCCAAAGAACAGCCACATGTTGAAGGCAGACATGCTGGGCCAGTTGGAAACCTTGATGACCTTATGAAGCAGAGCTCACCTTTCTGCCCTGGACTGTTTACCTGAGGCAAAAATAATCTTTGAACTCACGTAGGCTAATGCACTTGGGGATCTTTGTTATAATGAATATACATATGCATTGCAGAAAAATATAAAGGGTAAAATAAAAGTCATTCAGGGTCTCACTACCCAAGAGAGACATACTTTGATCTCACCTTGGCCCTTTCAATATGCTGCTAGGGTAAACTTCCGAAAAAAAAAAAAAGTTGGCTGGGCACGGTGGCTCACGCCTGTAATCCCAGCACTTTGGGAGGCCGAGGCGGGTGGATCACCTGAGGTTGGGAGTTCGAGACCAGCCAGACCAACATGGAGAAACCCCATCTCTACTAAAAATACAAAAATTAGCCAGGCGCGGTGGTGCATGCCTGTAATCCCAGCTACTTGGAAGGCTGAGACAGGAGAATCGCTTGAACCTGGGAGGCGGAGGTTGCAGTGAGCCGAGATTGCGCCATTGCACTCCAACCTGGGCAACAAGAGTGAAACTCTGTCTCAAAAAAAAAAAAAAAAAAAGTTAATAAGCTTGTCTAGCATTGCAGTAGATATCCTGAAGAACCTTGGATTTGGGGAGTAAGGTATAGGAATCTATTTCCTTTTCAGCCCTTAGATTGCAATAACTCTCCCTGGAGATTGTGCCACTAACATGACTACTCAGTGCCAGAGTCAACCAGATTGTGACTGGCTGACAGACAAGCAGCCAGTCCTTGCTAAATACATGTCCCTGCACCATACCCAGCAAGAGGAATGAGTATAATATAATAGTTAGGATCGTGGTCTTTGCAGTTGAAAAGTCATGGGTTCAAGTCCTAGCTTTGCTTCTTCCTACCTGTGTAACCTTGGGCAGGTGTGTAAACTTGTCTGAATTTCAATTTCCGCTTCTCTAAAATGAGAACAGATAGTAGCACCTCCCTCTTAAGCTTGTTGTGAGAATTAAACATGATGATACATGTGAAGTGATATAGAGCCTGGCACATAATACATACTCCATAAATGGGTGCTATTGCATCATCCATTCATGCATCATGTGTAAATTAAGTGTCTACTATATGCCTGGCACCTTTCTAGGCAATGGCAACATAGCAGTGAGTGACACAATAAAGATCTTTGCTCTCATGAATCTTACTTTCTACTTGAGGAGAAGGACTATAAACGCAATGTTTAAATAACAGTAGATCTGATGCAATTAAGACGGATAGAGAGTGACTTATTGTTAGTCATAACAATAGCTTTGTCCTGTGTGAGGATGGTTGGATTCAGTTGCCTCCCTCAGTCCTGCCAGGATTCATGTAGACAGCTGGGCAGGGCTGGTGTGGGCAGGGAGGACATGAGTGGACACTACACAGAATTCGTACAGTCAACAACTTTGTGAGCCATGGCAGGTGTCCCACTGTGAAACATGGCTGAAACCTTCACCTGCCAGACCCCTGGGATCACAGGGCAAGAGGAGGAGCCTAGGTTTCCAAGGACACAGGCATGAGGCAGAAGTCTGGAGTACACTAACAAGGTTTCAGATTTGCTGGGCCCTCCCATAAGAGCCCAACTGGCCCCATTTGGGGACCAGTAGCAAACAGAGTTAATTTTTCTTAACTAGTGGATGACAGGGTGTTTCGATTCAGAACGAATTTCTCAATCCATACATCAAGAACTCAACAGCAGTTCTCAACCCTGCTTTTCTTCAGAATCACTTTTAAATCTATGAAAACGACATCACCCAAACCGTCATATCCCAGAAAGTCTGATTAGTGCAGCTCAGGGATGGAAACTGGGCATTCTTGCAATGCAATGTTCCAAGGTGATTTAATGTGCGCTCAATGTTTGGAACCACTGATTTCACCCTTAAACCAAATCACAAAGCACTTCGTGCCCCCAGACAGTCATGGTCCAAATGCTGCACCATGGTAGGGTCAGCCTGCAATCTCCCTCCGCAGAGTTTGGAGAAGGGTGGCCACAGTAAAGGATTAGAAACATTCCCATGGGAGAAGCAGGCTTGTTCCCACCGACTTCCTCAGTCATGCCGTCTTTCTAGTGAGCGTTCTTCCTCCTCTCCGTGGCCTCTCCAAGGTTCAACCAATCTTCAGTCTCTCTACATCCAAATCCTCTTCTGGGGCAATAGCAGCCCACAAGGCCTCTGCTTTCTTTGAAATCTGGCCCCTCTTAATAGTAACAGGGCTTTCCAGTTTATAAAGTACCATGGCATTTATTTTGGCATTTAACTTTCCAAGCACCCTATTAAACAGATAAAATTATTTTACAAAGGGAGAGGCCACAACTTTAGAATACTAAGTGATTCACAAACCCTCCTTAGCCCATAACTGGCAGGTCTGGGACCTACGTCTCCGTTTTCCAAAGTGTTCTCAATTTCTCCCCAACCTGGCCAGTTCTCTTACGAAGTGTCCCAGCACCTGACCATTTAACTTCCATAAGCGTCAAGATTGTCAGTTTAACCTTTCTAAATGCTCGATCACAAAAATCACATTGTTTGCCTCTTCTGTCACTCATCGTGTTAATTCGTTCATTATAGTACCCATTTAAATGAATTTATTAAATATAAATTATTCACCTAGTGTCAGCTGAAAATGATGTTATCTACCAAAAAAAAAAAAAAATCAAAACGTATTTTCTGGAAAAGAGACTGACTACACAAAGCAATGCACACTTTTCTAACTTTAGTTCGAAATCCTAAATTCAGAGAGTTGACAACAACATGAGCCAGGGTGAGCTGACCTTTCCCGGTTGCTTTGCTGCAAGCACAGGATTGTGAGGGTTTGGGGTCACGAGGGTTTGGGTACTGTCATATTTTTAACAGGGCCCTTCATGGAATTGAGTCTTTCCACACATAAGCTCCTGCACTGGCATTCATTTAGTATAGGTGCTAAAAGGTCTCAGAAGAGCAGCAAAGCACTTTCTCTGGAAGGTCACTGGCCCCGTCACTTTAACATTCCCTTGCAGAAAAATTATAAATGAGTCATCGAGGACACTGAATCACGTGGAAGAGACTTTCAAATAATTTGCACATTGAATAAAAAGACACTGCCTTTACCTCATCCCCAGGATGAATTCTTGGGGCCCATCACTTTAAAGTGCCTTGATAGAAATTATCAGAACTCAATTCATTAGGCAATTGTTAATTTCATTCAAATCCGAAGGTCAGTGGCACAATAGGGCTTGGCATAGGTTCCTATGCTTCTTTCACGTGGCTCAGATTTCCTCATCATTCACAGCAGTTAGAGAAGCAGCTCTGTTGCAAGGAGGGAACGGGGTGGGGGTGAGGCGGGGGGAACTGCCAGCTGTGGCATTGTGTGGACCAGGAGATATTTCCAATTAGGCGAGAGTGGGAGGTTGCCTCATGAGAGATAGGAAGATGACTACTCCCTTGCACTACAAAAGGGAAGAGAATTTGACTCTCTAGGGAGAGTTTGCAGTTGAGAAATGGCTGCATTTCCACTCAGTTGCCTGAAAGGACTCCTTGCAGCAGGTCAGCATACAGAACTTCTCTTCCCTGCCGCTGAGCTGAGGCTGAGCTGAAGCTGAGCATGGTGAGATCACAGGGGACGCTGCAGTTCCCAGAGCCCCCCGGCTGCTGCCTATCTCTGTACCTTTGCAGAGTCTCTCCCCCTGTCCTGGATGGGACCAACGGCGGATTAGACACTGCAGAAGAAAAGAGGTGTGAACCCAAAGGTGAAGACGTAGCAAAAAAAGAAACAAGACAAAACAAAAAACTATCCAAAATGTAGAATAGAAAGAGAAAAAAAACTTTAAAAATGAACAAAATATCAGTGACTTGTGAGACAAATCAGGCAGTCTAATATATTCACAATTGGAATTCCAAAAAAAGGGGAAGATGTAGAGGGGAAAATACAAGAAGAAATAATTTTTTCCAAATTTTGCAAAAACTATAAATCTTGAGATCCATGAAGATCACCAAGCCCAGGAGGATAAACACAAAGAACACGACACCAGGTGAACGTCATAATCAAATTCCTGAAACCGAGTCCTGGAAAGATTATCTTCCGGACAACCAGGCAAAAATGACACTACACACAAAGAAACAAAGACAGGAATCACAGTAAATGCCTAGTAAGAAATTATTAAGAACACAAGAGATTGGAACAAAGTATTTTAAGATGACAAAAAAGAGTCACCCTAGAATTATATACCCGGTAAATATCTTCTAAATGAAAAAAAAAAATTGGAGACTTTCAGACAAAAAAAAAAAAAAGCTAATTCTTCATCAGCAGCCCTGCACCATGAGAAGTGGTAAATAAAGTCCTTCAAGGTGAAGGAAAATGATACCAGATGGGAACTTGGATCTACACAAAGAAGCGAGAAGCAACAGAAAATTTAAATATGTGATAAATAAAAATACTCTAGACTGGACACCATGGCTCATGCCTGTAATCCCAGCACTTTGGGAGGCCAAGGAAGGAGGATTCCTCTAGCCCAGGGGTTCAAGACCAGTCTGGGCAACATAGGGAGATCCAATCTCTATAAAAAATAAAAATAAAAATACTTTTTTCTTATTATAATTTTTAAAAATTCCTTAAAAGGTAATTGTTTAAAGTAAAAATAACAATATATTGTGAGGTTTATAACATAAGTGGAATTAAATACATAATAATAACACAAAAGATGTCGGGAAGGGAAGTATATTATAAGGTCCTTATATGTGAGGAGGTATAATATCTCCTTTTTTTTTTTTTTGAGACAGGCTCTCGCTATGTCACCCAGGCTGGAGTGCAATGGCGCAATGACAGCTCACTGCAGCCTCAAACTCTGGAGCTCAAGAGATCCTCCCACCTTGGCCTCCCAAAGCACTTACAGGTGTAAGCCACCATGCCTGGCCGATATGATATTAATTAAAGGTAGACTTTATAATTAAAGAAGAATATGATAAATCCTAGAACAACCACAAAACAAAATGAAAGATATAGCTAATAAGCCAATGGTAAAATAAAGAAATAAATTCAATACAAAATCAGGAGGGAAAGAGAAAAAACGAATAAAGAAGAGATGAAAAATATTTTTAAAAATTAAAAACAAATAACAAGATGGTAAAATTAATCCCAAATCACATCAATAATTACATTAAATATAGTCAACCTATTCTGTCTAGTACACAAACCACTAGCCACGTGGGGCTATTGAAATTAAGTTAAGGCTGGGTGCAATGGCTCATGTCTGTAATCCCAGCATTTTGGGAGGCCAAAGCAGACAGATAGCTTGAGCCCAGGAGTTCAAGACCAGCCTGGGTGCGATGGTGGAACCCAGGCTCTACAAAAAAATTTAAAATATTAGCTGGGCACGGTGGCGTGCGCCTGTAATCCCAGCTACGCTTGAGCCTGGGTTGGTGAGGCTGCAATGAGTCAAGATCGCACCACTGCATTGCAGCCTGTGTGACAGAGTGAGACTCTGTCAAAAAAAAAAAAAAAAAGAAAAAAAGAAATTAACTTAAACTTTAATAAAATCAATTTAGTTCCTCGGTCACTGTGGCCATATTTCAAGTGCTCAGTAGCCATCTGGTTAGTGGGTAGCACATTAGACGGAACATTTATAACATTTTCATTATCACAGAAAGGTCTATTGAAAAGGGTTAGTCTAAGCACTCCAATTAAAAGCAAAGATTATAAGACTGAGTGAAAAAGCAAGAACTATTATTCAAGGGAACACACACACACACACAGAGAGAGAGAGAGAGATCAAAAGTTAAAGAATATAGAAAAGCTATACCATGCCAACACTATTCATAACAAAGCTGGAGTAGTTCTATTCATGTCAGACAAAGACATTCTTCAGACTTCCAAACAAGGCATAAACCAAAGACAAAGAGGAATATTTCAAAAACGATAAACAGATCAATTTAGCAAGAATACTTAACAACACTAAAAATGTTTGTACCCAATAGCAGAGATTCAAAACCCATGAAACACTGCACAGGATTTTCCTTCCTGCATGAAACAACATAAAACACTAGACAAAATACGTGAAACAATGGCTTTTGAGACATCGGATCAGGCAACAAAGGACAACAATCCCTGAGAGACAGGAAACCAGTGAGGTGAGGCCTATAATTGCCTGTCTTATTGCCTGAAGAGGGTCTCCAGGCCCTGGTGCAGGGATGGGGCACACAGCTAGAACCTAGTGGATTCCCTGAGTGGAAGAGATGGAGCTGATGGCCCAGGGAGAGGACAGAGGCGAGAGATTACAGGGCAGACTGCCAGAGAGGAGAGAGCTGCAGAGAGGACTCTGGAGGTCTGCAGGCTCCTCATCAACTACTGATAGAGCACTGGTCAGTGAAATGGGTGAGGCTAGAGAAGGAACCGCCCAAAAAGATGAGGGGGAACATTACCTGGAGCTCACACCAGGACAGAAATGGTGTTTATTCTAACCAGCCGGACATGAAAACCTCATATGAGAGAGGTGATGGAGAGAACACTTGGAAGGGTCTTGCCTATAGAGTGGGTAAAAACTAGCCCTAAAATGGTTTCACAGGGCTGGACATATGTCAAAATGTATCAGTATACACTTAAATATGCACAATTTATGGTGTCATTATAGCTCAATAAAGCCAAAAGATAAGAAAATACATGAACAACTTTATGCCAATAAATTCAACAACCATAAATAAAATGGAAAAATTCCTTGAAAAACACAAGTACCAAAATTGTCTCAAGAAAAAAAATAGACAGTCGAATAATTCTATGTCTATGTAAGCAATTGAATTCATAATTACAACATTCTCACAAAGAAAATCACAAGCACAGATGACTTTACTGGCAGATTTTCTGAAAGACTTAAAGAAGAAACACCATTCCTACTCAAACCCTTTCAGAAATTGGGGGAAGGAACATGTCCCAATTAATTCATGGAATCAGCCTTCTTACTTTGATACCAAAACGAGACAAAGACATTGTAAGAAAAGGAAATTACAGACAAATACCCCTCATGAACATAGATTCAAAAATTCTAAGAGAATTTTAGAAAATTAATTCCAGTAATATATGAAAATAATAATTCTTGGGTTTCATCTCAGGAATTCAACGTTTAACATTGGAAAATTATCAATGTAAATTCACCATATTAAAAAATAAAGCAAAACCAATAGATGCAAGAAAATTATTTGACAAAATTAAAAATCCAATTAAGAAAAAACTCTCAGGAAACTAGGAATAGAAGACAACTTTCTCAACACGATAAAAGGCATCTCTGAAAAACCTACAACCACCATCATAGCAAGAGGAATGATGAATTCCCTCCTAAGCGCAGCAACCAGGCAGTATGTCTACTTTTAGGGGTTTATGCAACATCATACTAGATGTCATAGTCAGTGTATGAAGACAAAGAATAAAAGATATAAAAGGCATACAGATTGGAAAGGAGGAAGTATAATTGTCATTATTGAGAAACAATATATTTATATACAAAGAAGATTTTTAGAATCTGCAAAAAAGCTGCTGGGACTGACAAACTGAAGTGTAACAGGGACATGGGGTAAAAATCACAGGCCAGTAAACAAAATGAACTGTATTTCCATTTACTAGCAACAAACAATTGAAGATTGAAATCTGGCTGGATATGGTGGCATGCATTTGTAGTCCCAGCTACTCTGGAGGCTGAGGCAGGAGGGTCATTTGAGCCCAGGAATTGGAGGCCGTGGTGAGCTATGATCATACCACTGCACTCCAGCCTGGGTGACACAGGGAGACCCTGTCTCAAAAAATAAATTGAAATTTAAAAACAACACTATTTACAATATCACCAAATGACACACATAGCAATATGTTTAGACAAAATATATTAAGGATCTACACCCCGTACACTATAAAACATTGCTGATATAAATTAAAGGACACCTAAATAAATAACTATACCACATAAATGGGAAAAAAGACTTAATATTATTAAGATGGCAATTCTCTTCAAATGAATCTATAGTCTCAATACAATCCTAATCAAGTTCTTAACAGGCTTCTTTTATAAATATTAGATAATTCTCAAATGTGTATGGAAATGCAAAGAACCTAGAATATCCCAAGATATTCCTTTGAAAAGGAAGACAAACATTAGAGTCTTCGCATTGCCTGATTTAAAGACTCACTGAAACCTACAGTGATGAAGACAATGTGAGACCAACAGAACATTAAAAAATGCCAAATGTGGACCCACACATTAATTGATTTTTAACACAGGGATGTGGATCCACACATTAATTGATTTTTAACACAGGGGCTAAGATAATTGAACAGGAAAAAGAGAGTCCTTTGAACATATGGTGCTAGAACAACTGTGTATTCATACTGAGGGAAGAAAATGAAGCTCGGTGCCGTCTCAGCATAAACAAAGAACACTCAGAGTAAAACTCAAAGTGGATCACAGACCTAAATGTAAAAGCTAAAATCGTATATATTTTAGAAGGAAACATAGGAGACTATCTTACTGATTTGGGATTAGACAACAATTTCATAGACAGGACACAGAGAGCAATAACCCAAAAGGAAAAATTGATATATTACCCTTAATCGAAATTTAAAATTCTGCCCATCAAAAGACACCACTAAGAAAATGAAGAGGAAAACTACAGATTGTGATAAAATGTTAGCAAAAACATTATCTGACAAAGGGCTTATATCCAAAAGAAATAAAAAGCTTCTGTAACTCAGAAATAAAATAAAAAGAACTCAATTTTAAAAGAGATGAGGCTGGGTGGTGGCTCACACCTGTAATCCCAGCACTTTGAGAGGCTGAGGTGTGCAGATCACCTGAGGTCAGGAGTTCAAGACCAGCCTGGCCAACATGGTGAAACCCCATCTCTACCAAAAATACAAAAAAATTAGCCAGGTGTGGTGGTGTGCACCTGTAATCCCAGTTACTTGGGAAGCTGAGGCACGAGAAGTGCTTGAACCTAGGAGGTGGAGGTTGCAGTGAGCCCAGATGACGCCATTGCACTCCAGCCTGGATGACAGAGCAAGACTCCATCTAAAAAAAATAAAAAAATAAAAGAGATGAGAGCAAAAGATATGAACACACACTTTGCAGAAAAAGATATACAAATGGCAAATAAGCTTGTGAAAAGATGCTCAACATATTAATAATCAGGAAAATGCAAATTAAAGTTGCAGCATGGCAGCACACGACCACCAGAAAGGCTAAAATTAAAAAAAGGTGGATGATGCATGGTCCCCACTGACCCCCCTTCCTGGTACTCCTGTCCTTGTGGCGTCCCTCCCCTTGAGTATGGGTGGGACCTATGACTTGCTTCTAACCAATAGAATATGGTGAAGGGGATTGGACGTCACTTCCGTGTTTACATCACAGAAGACCGTAACTTCCGTCTTGCCAGCCCATTCTCTCTAATGACTGTCTCCCTCGCTGGATGTGATGAAGTAGGCTACATTATGCAGCACCCCATGAAACAAAGAATTGAGTGTGACCACCAGGCAACATCTGGCAAGGAACTGAGTTCCAACAGTGCACAAGGAAGTGAATCCTGACAACAGTCCCAAGAGCTTAGGAGTGAATCCTTCTCCACTCCAGCCTCAGATAAGTCTTGCCCTTAATTGCAGCCTCATGAAAGACTCTGAAACCTTGGGCCCAGGTAACCCATGCCAAGATTCCTGACCTGCAGAAACTGTGGGTCATCAAGCATGTTCTTTCAAGTCTCTACATGTGTAGTAATTTGTTATGCAGCTTTAGATAACCAAGAGATGGAACAATTGGAACTGCCCTACAGTTACGGTGGGGCATAAAATGACACAAGCATTTTGGAAAACAGTTGGGCAGTTTCTTATAAAATTAAACAGACACTTACCCTAACACCCAGCATTGTGCTCTAGGTATTTACCTAAGAAAAATAAAACGTGTTTATACAAAGACTTATACATGAATATTTATAGCAGTTTTATACATAATAGCCTACAAGTAGAAACAACTCAAATGTCCATCCAAAGACAAATAACTAAAGTATGGAATATTCATACAGTAAAATACTACTCAGCAATCAAGAGGAATGAGCCACTAACACATTCAACAACATCGATGAATGTCAAAAACGTCATGTTGAGGAAAAGACCCCAGACATAAAAGAATATATTATATATTAGTCCATTTATATTAAACTCTAGAAAGCACAAATCTAATCTTTGATCATAGAAAATAGATCTGTGGTCATCTAAAACTGGGGGTGTGAGGTCAGGATTGACAGCAAAGGCTCACAAGCCTGACTTTTGGGGGTGGTGGGCAAGTTCTACATCTTGATTGTGACAGTATTTACAATCAACTGTCAAAACTCATGGAGCTGTTCACTTAAAGTTGGTAAATTATATTTTATGTAAATTTTTCCTTGATAAAGTTTTTTTAAATGATCTCAAGGTGGATTAAAGACTTAAACTGTAAAACTCCCAGGAGAAAACATACAGAGGATCCTTCATTATATTGGTATTGGCAGTGATTTATTGGATATGATGCCAAAAGCACAGTACACAAAAACAAAAACAGAATACAGCAACGGAACAATTAACAGAGTGAAAAAGTAACCTGTGGAATGGGAAAATGGGAATGCTGTTCTGCATAGCAACGGAACAATTGGCAGAGTGAAAAGGTAACCTATGGAACGGGAAAATATATTTGCAAACTATATATCTGACAAGGGGTTAATATTCAAAATTTATAAGGAACTCATATAACTCAATAGTAAAAAAGTGAAATAACCCAATTTAAAAATGGGCTAAGCACTTGAGTAGTCATTTCTTTAAGGAAGGCATACGAATGGCCAAACAGTACATGAAAACATGCTCAACATCACTAATCATCAGGAAAATGCAAATGAAAACCACAATGAAATGTCACATTACACTAGTTAGGAGGGCTATTACCCGCCCCCACCCCCACCCCTATCCCCCCAAAAAAACACAGAAGGTAAGCATTGGAGAAATTAGAGCCCTTTTACACTGTTAGTGAGAATATAAAATGATGAAGCCACTATGGAAAACGGTATCTTAATTCCTCACAAAATTAGAAATAGAATTAGTTTATGGTACAGCAATCTCACTTCTGGGTATTTATCCAAAAGAAGTAAAATTAGGATCTCAAAGAGATATTTGCACTCCCATGTTTACTGTTGGCTATTCGCAATAGCCAACATGTGGAAACAAACTAAATATCCATCAACAGGTGAATGGATAAAGACAATAGGGTACATATGGACAATGGAATATTATTAAGCCTTAAAAAGAAGGAAATCCTGCCATATGCAACAACTTGGATGAAAGCGAGGACATTATAGCAAGTGACATATTTAGGACAAATACTGCATGATGTCACTTAAAAAGGTATCTAAAATAGTCAAACTCTTATAAGCAGAAAGTAGAATGGTGGTTGCCAGGAGCTGGGGGAAGAGGGACATAGGAAGTTGTGACTTGATGGGTATAAAGTTTCAGTTAGGCAAGATGAGTAAGTTCTAGAGATTTGCTGTACAGCATTCTGCCTGTGGTTCACTATACTGTAGCATACACTCAAAAATTTATTAAGAGGGTAGATCTAATGTTACATGATCTTACCACAAGTAATTTTTTAAAAATAAATCTTCCAATAGCCATTTGCTCAAGGGCTATCTTCTGCTGCACCTAGACCAGGTAGGTGTGTGTTGGCTGTGCAACCCTGAGTTTCCCTTTCCACCATACTTTTTACACATTTGTGTCATGGACTGTTTAGTCGTGGGTCTTTCCATCTAAAATACAAGCCCTTTGAACCCAGGGGCTGCAGCCACACCGTACACTATTATCTCCTCAGTGCCGACAGTGCCTGGCCTGGGGCAGACACTCAGCAAATATTTGTGGAATAAATGAAACTATGTCGTTCTTCTGCCATTGTGTGGGGTTAGTCAGTCTTAACTGAGCTATTTTGTGGTCTTTATAAAATTCCCCATTGAAGACTGTGCATTCCATCCTGACTGAGTTTCTACAGACTTACTGTATTTCTCTGCCAAGTTCACTCCAACAGACAACTGTGATCAAAACTATGATGCCAGAATTGGTCCAAACTAAGAAAACCCTCTCCCCCGCTCATTTCTGTCTGGGCAGGCTACTCATGACACTTGACAAGTCCCAGCCTTGATCAAGAACAGCTGGACTGAGCTTCTTCCCATGTTTCAGTGTCAGGGAATGGAGGAGGGTTCTTACCAGTTCTTTCAGGCGAGATTGGCAATTCCTTCCTCCGGGAACCCCAGAGCCGGCTGTTCTTACCTCTAGCCTAACATCAGATGATTGTGTTGTTGACCTTCTGATCAGATACAGAAGCTGTATGATTTCTACAAAGGGAGAGTCAAAATCGCCTTTTAACGACTGAAACAGGAGACTATGGGGACTGGGGCACTGCTGGTACTGCCAGACTCTGTCCCACGTGGTGTGACTTGATGGGAAGGGTTTTTCCATGAATGGCCCACACAGGCATGCTTATTGAAAACATATGTAAAATATACCCATTACATCATTCTTCCAGCCTGTGCTTTCCTGGGAAATCCCAGTGTAGTAAAGTTAGGAAATCTAACTGCTTTTCCACTCACACAGCACTTTACTATTCACATTGGCCAAGTAGGGGAGCCGCACTTGGCTTGACTCTCTCCCTGTGTTTCTGCACATAAAGGAGCAGATGTAAGAGTCCAAATGGTTGATTCATCCACAGACCCTAACACCTTAAGGTCACGGGTGAATAGAGAAGCAAGAATTAACAATTTAATGCTTTATTTCCAATACAACATGGAAGTTCAAAATTAAATATCAGGCTGGGCACGGTGGCTCACACCTGTAATCCCAGCATTTTGGGAGGCTGAGGTGGGCAGATCACCTGAGTTCAGGAGACTGAGATCATCCTGGCCAACACGGTGAAACTGTCTCTACGAAAAATACAAAAATTAGCCAGGCATGGTGGCGGGCACCTGTAGTTCCAGCTACTCAGGAGGCTGAGGCATGAGAATTGCTTGAACCCAGGAGGCAGAGGTTGCAGTGAGCCGAGATTGTGCCACTGCACTCCAGCCTGGGCAACAGAGTGGGACTGTGTCTCAAAAAAAAAATTTTTTTTCAAAAAAAATGGAGTATCAATCCCGCCTGTGTTTGAAACAGTTAAGAGATCTCTGTCTCCTCCACTGTTCTCTGGGCAGCAGCACCACAGGACCAGCTTGGCCCCTTCCCCATTCAGAGTGGAAAGTTATTCATCTTTCCATCAAGGACACCTGGATGTTTACTTATTCTGTATTTCTAGAGCACAACCAAGGAAGGGGCCGCTTTGGGGGTACCCAGGGAGGATGTGAAGGCCATTGAACAAGCGTTGCCGCTGTGCTAAGTAACCCTTCTTCCTTCCTCAGATCGTTGGCTGGGGCAGAATTGGCCCAGGCAAACAGCCACGCTGCATCCACTCACATTTCCCACATTTTTCATAAATGCTGCAAATTTTCCCAGGGTTTAATTCAAACCAAAATATGTGTGTTCCTATCTACTGTGAGCAGGGGACCAGACACACACAAGAGTAGACTGAGGCTCCATTTTCTGGCCCATTGCAAAATTTATTTTTCTGTGCACTTGCCACTTGAGGGTGTTTACCTGCTGCAAGATACATTACACCTTCGTAGAACTCAGGGCTAAAGGGGAGGTCACTTGAGGTGTCACAGCAACCATGGAAAACTGAAAAAGGCTTTACTAGGAATCATGTGGACCCAGTGAGCAGACGTGAAGCAGCTGTGAAGATCTAAGTCGATCTGAACGCAACAATCTCTTTTGGTCCCTTTCAGCCCTGAGTTAGGCAGCTCTGATGTGTTACACTTCGCGGAGCACTGCTGAGGCAGCTGAGGACAAGCCGACCCAAGCCTGCCCTCATGAAGCTTGACGCACGGATTTCACATTCAACGCCTACCCCCGTCACTGGATTCCATCCAGATTTGACTGACTTGAGACCAGTCCCTTTGTTCTTGGCTGCAACTGCACCGACCCAGACCCATGCCCCTCTGAAACTGGCTGCTCTGCTTCCCAGCCCCCAAAATGATTGTCCCCCAGATAGCTTTGAACGGAGGGGTCTCCCGGGATGCAGAACATTTAATGCTAAAAGCAGAATGTCCCAGGCAACCCGGGCTGAGTTGGTCACCTTACCTCCAAGTGAGAGATGACCTCATCAGGAGGGAAAGTGAAAGTGGAGAAACCAGAAGCAGTTTCTCACCCGGACTACTGCAATAGATCCATGCAACTTGAACAACCACCACTTTCCCTGGCATACCTGTGTTCACACACAAATGTGATTGAGGGGAATTGCAGAGGCCGCAGTCTAGTAAAATGAGCTTTTCACTAGACTGACATCCAGAGAGACAGCCATAACCCAACCACTGGTGACCTGATCTCCCCTCCAGATTCTTCCCTTGTGGCTACTCTCCCTCCACACTCACCCCCACATTTCAGGCCCAGAGCCTGCCAGTTCATGCTGGGCCCCAGACAGTTGCCTAAATGGTTCCCTCTGCCTTTCCTGCCAGCAACTCACAGATACTCACTTCATTTCTGCCTCTGCCTCGGCCCCTGTCCCTGCTTCCATCCTGTGTCTGCTGTCCCTGGCAGTAGGAGCAATAGTTAAGAGCCCAGGAAGTGTGGGAGTCAGATACCTGGGGTCTGGATATTGCTTCTTTCCAGTGGGCACCCTGGCAAGTCACACTCTTCAAGCCTCAGTTTCCTCATCTGGAAAATGAGAATATCTACCTAACGGTAAGATGATATACCTGCATGAAGAGTGACACAGGAAAACCCTCAACTGATGGAAACACTCTAGTCCAGTGCAACCATTTGTTTACAAGGTTTATGCTTTGGTCTTCATGTTCCTAGTGCCTGGCCTGAGCTATCTGTTGAATGAAGGAGGTTTGCTGAAAAGATGAGGATCCAGCTTCTTGTAGAACTGGTTAGTGAGAACATCTGTATTAATCAGGATTCTCCAGAGGGACAGAACAAATAGGATATATGTATATATGAGAAGGAGTTTATTAGGGAGAATTGGCTCACATGATTACAAGGCAAAGTCCCACGAAAGGCCATCTGCAAGCTGGGGAAAGAGGAGCCAATAGTGGCTTAGTCTGAGTACCAAAGCGTCGAAACCAGGGAAGCTGACAATGCAGCCTTCAGTCTGTGGCCAAATGCCCAGGAGCCCCTGGCAAGCCACTGGTGCAAGCCCCAGAGTCCAAAGGACAAAGAACCTGGAATCTGATGTCCAAAGGCAAGAGGAGCAGAAGCAAGTGTCCGGCACTGGAAGAAGAAGGAAGCTGGAAGATTCAGCAAGCAAAACCATGCCACTTTCTTCTGCTTGCTTTGTGCCAGCCATGCTGGCAGCCGATTGGGTGGTGCCAACCCACATTGAGGGAGGGTCTTCTGCTCCCAGTTCACCCACTCAAATGTCAATCTCCTCTGACAAAACCCTCCCAGACACACCCAGAAACAATACTTCACCAGCCATCTAGGCAACCCTCAATCCAATCAAGTTGACACCTAATTATTAACCATCACAGCATCTTTTCATTAATCTTAGGGACAACTGCAAAAGTGACAAGTTGTGCTTTCCCAGCCCAGAGGGGTGAGTGACAAAGACATTCTCAAGCTCTTCACGTCTCAGAGTGGAGAATTTGGCACATGCGTAACAAAACTCTTCAACATGGTCAATTTGACAATTGCACTTCTAGGAATTTGTGCTACAAAAATAGTCAGAAATTTATACAAACATGTCCATACAAAGTCACTGGGAACAGTGTTGTTAATTGGAGTGAGAATTATAAGCATCCTAACTATACACAGTGGTTGGATGACATGCCTAGGTAAGAGGTGCGGACAGGCTGAGAACCCAGATTTTCAAGCCAGGCTGCCTGGGCCTTGCCAGCGGTGCACCCTGGGCAAGTACTTAGCATTTCTGTGCCTCTACATCCTCATCCACAAAGCGGGGCTAAGATGAGAAGCACAGGCCTTAGAAAATTCGCTGATATGTATGAGGCCTTCGATATGAATTAGCTACTAGGATTATTTTCCTACTATTAACAGTTCTATCATAGAAGGTGAATGATATGAGACGTTTTCACAAATATATTATCAATTTTTCTAAAATGGATACAAAAGTGGATGATTAGCATAACTCTAATTTAAATTCTAAAATGTAGCTTTTAGAAACAGAGGAATATGGGCTGGGTGCAGTGGCTCATGCCTGTAATCCCAGCCCTTTGGGAGGCCGAGGCAGGTGGATCATAAGGTCAGGAGTTCGAGACCAGCCTGGCCAACATGGTGAAACCTTGTCTCTACTAAAATACCGAAAATTAGCCAGGCATGGTGGCACACACCTGTAGTCCCAGCTACTCAGGAGGCTGAGGCAGGGGAATTGCTTGAACCTGGGAGGCGCAGGTTGCAGTGAGCCGAGATCATGCCACTGCACTCCAGCCTGGCAACTGAGCAAGACCCCATCTCAAAAAAAAAAAAAAAAAAGAAATAGAGAAATATGTACTGTAATCAACAATGGTTACCTTTGGGTGATAGAGTTACAAGTGGCTTTTTCTTTTCATTTGCTAATTTTCTGTGTTCTTATCTCCTGTGATGAATAGTTTCTTGCAGCTTGGTGTGGTGGATCTCACCTGTAATCCCAGGACTTTGGGAGGCCGAGGCAAGAGGATTGCTTGAGACCAGGAGATGAAGACCAGCCTGGGCAACATAATGAGACCCTGTCTCCACAAAAATAAAATAAAATAAAATAAAGATAAAAATAAAAAATTTAAAAATAATTTTTAAAAATAGTTTATGGCCACATTTATACCAAAATGGTAAGGTGGTGGTGGGACGACCTGCAGGAAAACTTGGTCCAGGAAGGGGACCTAGGTACTAGTGCCCATCTCCCCCTGGGTGGAAATTCAGGCATGTCCTTTCCTCACGCATGGGGAATGAAGGCATGGGCTACAAGCAAGCCTGTCTACATTCCCTCTAGCTCTGAGTGCCTCTGAAGCATGTGGTTCAGATGTAGGGACATGTTAGATGCTTGCTAGAGAGATAGAATAGAGGGTAAGCTGAAAAAAAATTATCTTTACATGAAGTAAATTAAATGGAAGCCAGTTTCCTCATAAAGGCCAATTCCGAACCCTATTAGTCATACATTAAGGCCTATGATAAGCCAGGCCACTCTAGTCTAAGTGTCCTGAAGGTAGTGATTACCTCCTTGGTGAGATTAGAGGAGCCACAAGAGGCCTAGTTTCTGAAAAATATCCCTTCTAGCAACTTCTCAGGTGTCTTCAATCCCTGTGTTCTCAGTCCGTTGGGAAGACATTATCTGCAAGAAGCTGTATTAAAACTCAGATATTTTTTCCATGATTGACTTTACTCTGTACTTATCTGGTCATATTTATCCTGGCCCCCTGAGTGGTGGCCACTTTGCAAGGCACTGGAGCCACAGAGCCTCTGAGGTGCAGCCTCTGATTCAGGGGATTTGCAGCATGATGGGAGGAAGAGGTGAGGAAATAATGATTGCAGTCCTGTGCCAGGCAGGGGGAGGAGAGGGTGCTGGGGAATCGGGAGTCATGTGGGGAAGTGGATCTGAAAGGCTTCCTAGAGAAATCATGTCTGAGGCGGCCCAACCTAACAACAGAAGGTAATCACTCCTCCCCCAGATCAAGTGGGAGTTTCTCCAATATCAGATGAGCCCCAAACTGCTGGCAAGTAGGTTGATCAGGAGCCGCAATAACTAAGCAGCAAGGGGAAACAGTCTCTCTGCACAGGTCCAACACTCCCTTTACCTACTGAGAGATGGATGTTAGGGGGACCGCGAAGGGAAAACCACAACATAACAAGTGGTCTGGCTCAGGAAGCCTCTTTGTGGAGGCACCAGGGGAGCTAGAGGGGATCAGTAGGTGGGACCCTACAATAAGCACCTGGCCTGGGAAGCCTGTTGGTCCCTGCAAGCCTGCAACTCCCCTCTGCAACCAAGAGACCCTCCAGCCCCTCAGGCTGGACCTCAGCAGGGACCTGGGGGAGCCTCAGCAGCACCAGCTAAACAAAGCTAAAATGCCCAGAAAATTTAACTCTCATTGGAAGCACAGCCCTTAGAAGTAGGTCAGTACTCCCATGCTAAATCTAAACAGGGTGACTGCCTACTAAAATATAAGAGTTAAATATAACCAGAGTCTTCTAACATAATAGACAAAAGGTCCAGGACACAATCAATGTCACCCACTGTACCAAGAACCAGAAAAATTTCAACTTGAGTAAGAAAAGACAATGAACTGATTCCAACCCCAGGATGAATCAGATGTTGGAATTTTCTGACAAGAAATTTAAAGCCACCTTCATAAAAATGCTTCAATAATCAACTACAAACTTTCTTAAAGTGAATGAAAAAATAAAAATCTCAGCAAAGAAATAGATGCTATAAAAAAAGAAACTCAGGGGGTTGGAGAAATATTGGTCAAAAGATACAAAATTTCAGCTAGATAGGAGAAAAGAGTCCAAGAGATCTATTGTACAACATTGTGACTGTAGCTAATAACCATGTATTATATTCCTGAAAATTGCTATGAAAGTAGATTTTAAGTGTTCTCACTATAAAAGACGGTATATGAGGTAATGCATGTGTTCATTAGCTTGAGTTAGCCATTCTACAATGTATACATATTTTAAAATGTCATCTTGTACACAGTAAATATATATATATATATACACATATATATATAAAATTTCATTTGCCATATAAGAAGGAAGGAAGGAAGGAAGGAAGGAATGAAGGAAGGGAGGGAGGGAGGGAGGAAAGGGGAAACCCAAATGGAAATTATACTACAGAAAAATACAAGAACAGATATGAAAAAGTTGCCTGACAATCTCAGTAGTAGAGTGGAGAAGACAAAGGTTAGAATCAGTGAACTAGATGGCAAATCAATAGAATTTACCCAATGAATAACAGAGAGAAAATAGCAAAGGCAAAAAAGTGAAAAGAGCCTCATGAAAAAATGAAACTTAGTTGCATCATTGGATCTTCAGAAGAAGAAAAGAAAGAGACTTGGGATAAAAGAATGTTTGAAGGAATAATAGCTGAAAACTTCCCAAATTTGGTGAAAGATATTAACCTACAGAATTACGAAACTGAGAAAACCCCAAATAGGACAAACCAAAGAAATCTGTGCCAAGATACATCACAATTTGATTTCTGAAAACTAAAGATAAAGGAAAAAAATCTTTAGAGCAACTAGAGAAAAATGATACATTACCTACAGAGGAGCATCAGTTTGAATTTTTCATCAGAAACTATGGAGGCCAGAAGGCAGTGGCACAACATTTTTCAAGGGCTGAAAGAAAGGAACTGACAACCATGATATGTGGCAAAACTGTCCTTACGTAATGAAAGGGGAAAATAAAGACATTCTCAGACAAAGGAAACTAAGGGAATTTGTCAGTAGCAGACCTATCTTCAGAGATTGACTAAAGAAAGCTCTTCAAACAAAACGATAGAAGAAGGAAGCTTGGAACATTGGGAAAACAAAAGGACAACAGAAATAGAAGAAATATGGGTACATACTGTAGATAATTCTTTTCTTGAGTTTTAGAAATAATAATTTGATAACTGAAACAAAAATTATGACAACAGCTAATATTCAGGCCAATGATATTTGAATGCGGGGAAGGTAAAGGGACCTAAAAGGACATAAGGTTTCCACACTTCACTTGCAGTGGAAACATTGATACAGTAGGCTAAGATAATAACCAGAGTGACCACTAAACCCTACAGATACACTCAAAATAAGCTATAAATAAATCAGAACAGAATCCTAAAAATATTCAAGTAACCACAGGAAGGCAAGATATAGACGAATAAGAACCATAGGAAACAAATTAAAAACAATAATAACATGGGAGACATAAGTGCTAACTTGTCAATAATTACCTTAAATGTAAATAACCTAAATGTACCAATATGAAGACAGATTGATAAAGAGGCTAAAACATCATGACCCGACTATATGCTGTTGACAAGAAACACACTTTAAATTCAATGTAGGAAAGAAAGCCCTGAAAATGGAAGGGACCCACTTCAAGTCACATGACCAGTTAGCAGGGCATGGACTAGGATCCGGGTCTCTTCTGCCCACACACCAAGCCCAAACACAGACTGTGCCCCCTCCAACCCATTTCACTGTACTGTTCCCGTTGTCTATACTCTGGAGGTTCATTTCCCCTTGCATGTAGCAGGAGTGAGGATGTAGGAGGTGGTCCTTTACCTTTAATGAGAATTGAAATAGAGAAATATCTCACATGAGCAACCTGGCTGTACCTCCTTTTCATCACCCTGGCGTATTCCTGTCTAGCAGAATTTTTCTTGCTAGTATCATGTTGCTGTGTTGGATGTGCACCCTCCCTCATCCCCTGACTCTGCCCCTATAATCTCTCAGATTATTTCAGAGGTGACAGTCCCTAGGTGACAGGCTGGAACTTGAAGCAGCTAATCATCCTTCTGACAACTAAAACTGCTGCATTGTCTGATGTTGACATGTTGTGGCCTCTGTGGCAGGGGAGATGCAAAACTGCATTTCCCAGAATCACTTTCCCTATGCAGTTGCAGGGTAGAGTCTGCCACTGAGAGGAGCAGGAGGTGGAGAAGGAGTTATTCCAGGAGGAAGTTACAGGCAGATGTGTGGGCAGCCAGCAGGTAGGAGGTTCATGGCAGCTTCCAGGTAAGCATCCCCTGCCTGAAAATGTAGGCAGTGGACCTAGTAGGTGGCAGCTTCTTTTTTTTTTTTTTTTTTTGAGATGGAGTCTCCCTCTGTCGCCCAGGCTGGAGTGCAGTGGCATGATCTCGGCTCACTGCAAGCTCTGCCTCCCGGGTTCACGCCATTCTCCTGCCTCAGCCTCCCAAGTAGCTGGGACTACAGGCGCCCACCACCACACCCAGCTAATTTTTTGTAATTTTAGTAGAGACGGGGTTTCACCATGTTAGCCAGGATGGTCTCGATCTCCTGACCTCGTGATCCGCCCATCTCGGCCCCCCAAAAAGTTGGGATTACAGGGGTGAGCCATCGCACCCGGCCGGGTGGCAGCTTCTTAAGATGCTGCAGGCTTAGATGGTCTTCACAAGCTTCTTGGGGTTTCTTGGGACTTCTAGGGGCTTCCAAGTGAGCTCCTTTTCCCTGGCTGTACTGCTGCAGGCTGAGATTTTGGGGACTGCCTTCTCTTACCTCCACTCTCCATTTTGTAGCTGTGACTTCTGCTTTCCTGAACTGCGGAGCCACTCAGACCATTTACCAAGTATTTCTGTCTTTCTTCCTTCTGAGCTCAAGAAAGGATTGCCTGGCTATACAAGTTGTGTCAGCCACTAAAATTCAAGGGCAAAGAATGTATGCCCCCAACAATTTTTTTTTTTTTTGAGACATAGTCTCTCTCTGTCACCCAGGCTGGAGTGCAGTGGTGTGATCTCAGCTCACTGCAACCTCTGCCTCCTGGGTTTAAGCAATTCTGTGCTTCAGCCTTCCAAGTAGCTGGGATTACAGGCATGTGCCACCATGCCCGGCTAAGTTTTGTATCTTTAGTAGAGATGGGGTTTCACCATCTTGGCCAGGCTGGTCTTGAACTCCTGACCTCATGATCCACCCACCTCAGACTCCCAAAGTGCTGGAATTACAGGCATGAGCCACCGTGCCCTGCCAGATGTATGCCCCTTCTGAGAAGCTTTAAGAGCTGGTGCGTCATTCACCAGCTTCCCTTTCCTCTACATGCTCTGACAAAATCTTTATCATTCTGACCCTCACTGCTGCCCCACATTGAACATATAGCATGAGTGAGAAAGCGACCTGCCATGTCGCTGAGATGTGGGGGTTATTACCATAGTGTCATCTTGCTTGACCTGACCAATATGGAAACAAAAAACAAATATAGAGACAGACTAAGATAGTAGTGTAGCTATTTCACTTCACTATATGATTATTATACAGTATGAAGGTGGCATATCATTTCAAACTATTGCCTGAATGAGAAAACTGAAAATGAATCTATACATCTCATAAAAGACAACAACAAGAAAAGTATACAGAAACACAGTTTCTCAATTATTCTACGTTTAGAAGAGTGGAAATTTCAGATTCATGAATGTCTTTTCTCCATTCATTCAAAAAGTATTTATTGTGCAATACCTATGAGTCAAGTACAGGGTTAGATACTCAAAATAGAAGACAAATAGTTCCTGTTCTCAAAAGCTTGTCATCAAACACTGCAGATGGTATGAAACCACGTCAAAGGCAATGTGATAAATGGGGAGGAATAATATTCACCCATTTCTCTAGCATTTGCCATGCACCAACTCTATGCAAGCCATTTTATACACTTTATCTCATTTCAACCCACCACAGCCTTATTAATTGGGAGTTATAATCTCAGTATTAGACCTGAAGGAACTGAGGCTCAGAGAAGCTAAGTAACTAACTTAAGGTTACCCAGGTGGTAAGTGGCAGAACCAGCATGCAAACACAGATTGGCATATCTCCAAAGCCTAAGCTCCTTTCAACAGTCATGACATGGTACAGAAACATGGGCATGGTACCAAAGGAACTGAGATGGGGCCCACTGCTCTTTGGGGAGTATTAGATCAAAACACTCTGTTCTCAAACCAACTACAAATAGTCTTGGTACAACAGAAAAGTTTTGCTCTTTAGGATCCTCAGTGGTCCCCAACTCTATAATGACTACCTGAAACTACCATACTCCTCTCCCAGTTCCAAGTGTGTCTATCAGGGAGGGGGGATATGAAGGGCAGGCACTACCTCAAGAGTTAATCTCCCACCAAGCTGTCTCCAGCAGCAGAGATCTGCCTTCAGCTCACTGAAATTCCAAACGAGAGGATGGTAAGTTCACCTCATTACCCAGGGAGGGAAACGTGGAGGCTCTCAACCTTCAGTGGCTTCATAGAAAGACACTTGGGAAGCTTCTGGAAGCAGACTTAGAGAGCTGGAGGCCAAGTCACTGATGCATCCTGAGCTGATGGGTGGACCTTGTTGCATATGGGTAAACTGCCTGGCTTGCTGGTAAGAGGAGCAGCCCTGAGACTGAGCACAGAAGGAGGGAGTCCTGCCTGCTGGGAGTCAGGAATTCAGGAACCAGTGACAGGCATCTCAGGCTTGAACCAGGGGGATGCTCGAAATAAAGTTGTATTCATTGTTCCAACTACGCACAGAGGGTCTTTGCTAGGCTTCTGGATCCTCTTTCTCAGTCCTTCAGGCATTATCTGCTAATCTTTAGGTAAAGAATTCTAAATGAGCATTCATTTCCTCCTACATGAAGCCACAATAGCCCATGGATTTCTATTTTTCAAGTCCATTGGACACACTAGTGAGTTTTAATGTCCAAGTCTTACACAGTCCACAAAGGACAAAGCTTCCAAGATTCGTTTAAGGCCAGAACAGGGAGAAGTTTGAGTTGGAGAAGAACCTGCTTATACCTAGCTTTTAAGCAACTAACTTTCCACATTCTTTGCAATGAAATGTCAGCCTTTCTTTCAGATAGTTGGTATATGGGTAGATTTGCTTAGAGATGCTATCTTATATACTTCTATTTTTTGTCCCTTAAGAAGCTGAAAGAGGAAGAAAGTCTCTTCTACTGACCCTAGGAATCTCTCCAGAAATATTTTGGCAGATTCTTTTACTCAAAGGCTGTCCATTGATTTTTAAGACAAACAAAGCAACAAACAAAAAGCAAAACCTAGTTTTGTTAACATTCAACAATCCTAAATCTTCAATCCCAGGAGTAGCCTCCATTTATTTTTCTTGCACTGGTTTATGATTTTTCTATTTTCACTGTGTCTTATGAAAATAAAACATGTTAGAGTTTTAACAAGACATCAGTTTCCAGTAGATAATATTGGCATGAAGTTAACCTTTACATTTATTTGTATTTTTTCCTGGTATGTTCAATATTTCTTATAGCACCAGATGGGTTGCATTTATCACCTATTCTAGCCTTTGCCCTGACTGATTTTTTTTATTTCATAATCAGCAAGCTCTGCAAAAACAAACAAAAAAGAACTGTCAAGTTATAAAAGTTGTTTTATTCAAGACTATTTTAATTTAGTTAAGTATTTTTCTTTCCAGTTTTCTCAGATGTTCTCATATGAGATGATAGGAAAGGACTAAATGATGCACAACTTTACATTTGTGGAATACATACCACGTGTAAGGCACTGCTTTCAATTGCAGTCATAGAAAACTTAGCTCTGAATAATAGCATGAACAATAAAGAAGGTTTACTACCTCACATCACAGAAGTCCCAAAGTAGGATCATTCCTAGTTGGCTAATTCAGTGACTCAGTGCCATCAAAGCCACCATCCCATTTTGCCATCCTGGGGCTCCGCTTGCAGTCACAATATAGCTGTCATTCTCAAGATGATAATGCTCAGTAGAAGAGGCTGACTCTTCCACTGGGTCTCTTTCTATGAATGAGGAAACCTCTCCAAGAATGTCCCAAGCAGATGTTTCCTCATATCATATCAGCCACAATTCCCTCCAAGCCTCAACTCACCACCGACAAAGGAATTGGACTAGCTAATTCCCTTGGAGATGTTCCTGGCTGCACAAAGCTGAGCTAAACCAGAAGGAAGAGTTAAACCAGAAGGAAGGGACATGGATGCGAGTGAACGTTCAGAAGGGATTGCTACATATAATTCATTTCACTTAGTCCCCACAACAACCTTATGAGGTAACCACTATTATCCCCATTTGATAGAGGGGAAACTGAAGCCTAGGAATTTTAAATCCTTTGCATGATTATCCACACATAAATATAACAGGACCAAGTTTCAAGAATTGTCTTCCTAATGAATTCAAACTCGATTGGAGCCATTTCACATTCTTACTTAGAGGTTACAGTGCTTCTCTGTTTTAATAATTAAGTCAAAATTAGAAAGCTGAAGGCACAGAAACCACAGAGCTTAAGAATTGGGAAGGACCTTTGATGTCTCACCCAATACAACATTTAAACAAGTGGTTACTGAGCGTCCACCTTGTGAAGCACCAAATTGGAATTTGTTGAACCTGCCAAGACAAGCAAGATGTGGTCCCTGTGCCCAGGGCTCACCAACTAGTAGGCAGAATGAGAAAGCTATATAAGTAATAATACAACATGGAAGAATATATTAAGTCCTAAGAGAGGTACCCAAAAGCACTAGGGCAGGGAGCAGTGTTCAGAAAAAAAGGAATGCTAACCATAAAAGGTTGTCATGGAAAAGGTAGGATTTGGCAAGGTGCCTTAGAGGTAACATTTCAACAAACAAAGAGGGGTGGAAGGGAAGTGGACCCCAGGATGGGAACCCCATGCAGGAACAGCCGTATGGACAAAATATCAGGAAGTTAAATTTGATTTCAGTGCAGAAGACAAATCACCTTGGAAAGCAAGGCTTGAGCGGTTGATTTTAAACACATTGGAAACTGAGGGAGAAATTTGAGGTTTTTGATGAGGTGTGGCATGATCGAAATTGCCTTTTATAAAGGTTAGTCTGGCAACACTGTATGTAGTAGGGTGTTCTGTGCATCTCCTGTGATGTTTAGGCTGCAAAGAACGGAAAACCCAACTCAGTATGACTTGACCAACAAAGGCATTTACTAACTCATTCAAAAGATGGTTGAGAAGTTGAGGTGTCCCAGTGTTGGTTCTTTCAGTAGCAGCCTTCCATCTTTCTGCTCTGCCATTCTCAGAATGTCAGCATTCTACTCAGTGTAGCTCCCTCTAAGAAAGGGGCTGCCTCAGTTCCCAGATCTGGCAATCATATGTAACGATATCCAGAGGAAGAAGAAAAGATCTCTTCCTGCTATCTCTCTCAGGAATGAGGGAATCATTCACGGAAGCTTCCAGGAGACTTCCCCTTACAACTCACTGGCCAGAGTTGAGTCAGATGTCCTGGCCTAAACCAATCATGGATAAAGAGAATGGGACCACCACAACTGGCTTCACCTGATTTTTATTTACACCTGAGAAATTGGGAGGAAGGCTGGACTCCCCAACAAAAGTAGAATTCTGCAAATAAGGAAGAAGGAAGAAACAGGTGCTGAGGAGTCAATAAATGGGGCCTACATATGTTCCATGAGGGAGGAATTTGAAGCAAAAACATGACCCAGAAGGAAATGGCATCATTCTAGCTAAGAAATAATGGCTACCTAACTGAGGTCACTTTTACAGAAATGGAAAGGGAAATTTTTCTTATATGACATAGGATTCCTGGGTTCATTATATTCTCTGCTTGATTATCTTTAATGATGAAGGGCTCTCAACTTCCTGATGCTACCATATGCTATTATTTAACAGCCTTTGGTATTGAGCCAAAAGCCCTGGCTCTTTTCCACAGGAAATATTTCCAAGCCACGAATTCCCCATTTTGTATTTATCCAACTGAGTTTTTCATCTTAAATGGTCTCTACTTGTATCCCCTTAAAATGTAGTTTTGTTGGTTTTATAGTACAATATTCCAGCCTGATCTTTCAACAACATTGATTAGCTCTGTTGTGTATCGGTACTAGGCACTAGGTCCTAGGCACTGACAATAGGTAAAGAAGAAGCTCACAGACTAGTGGGGTGGTGAACACATGGACAAGCAGTTACAAACCTCGTGTGACGATGCTGTGGCATCAAGTAGGGTTAACCAACGTGTGGACTCCAGACCACCTACCTGAGAATCTGATTGGCACTCATTAAAAGCACATGTTCCTGACCTCCCCAAAGCCCACCAGGAGTGGAAACCACCAGCACTGTATTAGTCCATTTTCATACTGCTATGAAGAAATACCTGAGACTCGGTAATTTATAAAGGAAAGAGGTTTAATTGACTCACACTTCCACATGGCTGGGGAGGCCTCAGGAAACTTACAATTATGGCAGAAGGGGAAGCAAATATGTCCTTCTTCACATGGCAGCAGGAGAGAGAAGTGCTGAGTGAAGGGGGAAAAGCCCCTCATAAAGCCATCAGATCTCATGGCTCATCACCTCTCACAAGGTCCCTCCCCCAACACGTGGAGATTATAATTCAGATTACAATTCAAGATGAGATTTGGATGGGGACACAGAGCCAGACCATATTAAGCACTTAAAACAGCATTCTGGTTGATTCTTACGCATGTTATGTTGGCTACCTATCAAGAGATGGAGCGGAGAGACACAAACATGGATATAAAGCTCTGGGACCTTTGAATAGTGAATCTGTCCTCCAACCCATGACTCATCTTTCCTGGCCTACGGCATTTGCAAAGAGGATAAACAAACTTCCAGAGCTTCTCTCAAGTCCCTGATGAGAGTGTTGATGAGAAAAAACAGGCAGTGAGACTCCTTAGGACTTCACAGAATCAGAAATCAGCACTCTCAGGTGGAGCTGTCCCACCAGCAGTGAATTCACTGCACTGTCCTGGATTCAGACTATATTTCAACCTTTTTTTTTTTTTCAAAAGGAGTCATGGGAAACAGTGTCTAATATCTTGCTAAAGCCAAGATTGATGACATCCATGACATGCCACTGCTCTTTGTGCCTCAGACACCCTGCTTCAGTTCCATGGAAAAGAGCCTTCTTCCTGACCCACCTGGTTGAGTAGAGACTTTGACTAACACCGGAAAACTAATCTCTGCAGCCTTAACATTGGAGGTTGCGCTGGGAAGACCAAAAGCAGGAATTTGGCCTAGTAAATTACCTACTGTTTGAACTAAAGAGAAACAACATTGTTACTCACCTAGCCCATCACAATCTGTCACCTGGACAAGCACAACAAGCTCCTAACAGGTCTCTGCTTATATTGTCATCCTTGTAGTAAACTCTTCATCCAGCAGTCAGAGAGAGCCCTGTGCCAACCAATGACTTTCCATTGTAAGCATAAAAAAGCCAACCCTCTTGAGAAAGACTTCAAGGTTTATGTGGCCCCTGACCATGCTCTGACCTCATTTCCAGCTACTCTTCCCCTCAGTCACTATGCTCTAGCCACACTGACCTTCTCTCTGCACTTTAATTTCAGGGACGTTGTGCTTATCAGTTGCTGTGCTCAAAAGCTCAGGACATTCTCCCTCCAGATCTTTCCATGGCTATCTTCTTCTCAGCACTCAAGGCCTTGATCCTGGACTTCCCAGGCTCTAGAACTATGACAAATAAATCCCTATTGTTTAAAAGCTACCCAGGTTATGATATTTTGTTACAGTATCCCAAGCACACTAATACAGGAATATTACTCAGCCTTAAAAAAGAAGCAAATTCTGACACATGCCACAGTGTACCTTGGATGGACGATCCTTGACAATATTGTGCTAAGTAAAATCAATTAGACACAAACAGATACCACATGAGTCCACTCATATGAGGTACATATTATTGCCAGACTTGGGAGAGTAGTCAAATTTATAGAAACAGAAAGTAGGGGCTTGAGGAGGAAGAATGGGAGTTGTTTAATGAGTACAGAGTTTTAGTTTGGGATGATGGGAAATTGTGGAGATAGATAGTGGTAATAAATAATTGTATAACAATGGCCAGGCATGGTGGCTCATGCCTGTAATCCCAGCACTTTGGGAGGCCTAGGCAGGCGGATCACCTGAGGTCAGGAGTTCGAGACCAGCCTGGCCAAGATGGTGAAATCCCATCTCTACTAAAAATACAAAAATTAGCCGGGCATGGTGGCGGGCACCTATAATCCCAGCTACTCAGGAGGCTGAGGTAGAGAATTGCTTGAACCTGGGAGGCGGAGGTTGCAGTGAGCCAAAATCGTGCTGCTGCACTCCAGCCTGGGCGACAGAGAAAAAAAATGATAATAATAATACTTATACAACAATGTGAATTTACTTACTGCCACTGAATTGTACACTCAAAAAGGGATAAAATGGTAAATTTTATGTTACGCATATTTTACCACAATAAAAAATTTGGAAAAGAAAAAGAAACCTTGTATTTGCTTCCTTCCCTAGCCTATCTCACTTCCCAAGTGAATTTTTGTGCACAAATCTGGCACTGGTGCCTGCTTTGTGGGGAAGCCAACCTAAGACAAGGCTCAAGATAAATGGCAGAGCTGGTACACAAACCCAACCTTCAAACCCAGTCTTTAGGCATCAAGTAGCATGCTGTTTAAGCTGCATGAAGCTGTCTTCTGTGCAGCATCGATAAAATAAGTTTCATCAGCTTAGTAGTCACCATTCTGAGACTTTGCCTTGGCAGCACTTGTTTCTTTGCAGTTCCCTTAGCCAATTGCAAAATAAAATTTCTTGATCACAAGAAACTGTAGCCTTTGGTTCAGCTCCTCTTAGCCTATCCCCTTCTCAGCCCTCTGCAACTTGCCTTTCTTCTCTACGTTGAAATAACCACTTGTACTGAGTAGTGTCTGCTCCATATAAAAATAAAGGTAAATTAAAAAGCTCAGTGTAATTTCTGCAATTCAGGCCGGACTTTAGTCCAGGCTGTGTCTCAGTACTGATCAAATCAATCTGCTAACAATTGTGCCTCCTTTAACTCGGGGCGTTGTGGTCACAGCCACTGATGCAATACAATTCCATTTAATTTAAGAAATTTAAGGGCTGAGATGTGGCATTAGGAAACAGGGTATTGTTCCACCATTTTCAAGACTCTACTACTGCATTTATCATAATATTATGATTATTGGCTACTGTTATAATGACCAATTGTAACCAGTGGGTTACATTGTTACCCACTACCTTTGAATTCGTTGAAGACAGGGATGGTCTTTTACTCCTAGCACCAGGTGAACAGAGTAGATGAGCAGTTCTGCTTGGTGAATGAACATTCTAGCACTCCCTCATCCTGAGAAGACTGAGGCCCTCTGCCACAGACTCTCTCAGCGTCCTTTCTTTCTACCTCAACAGACATTCATATTTGTACAGAAAACATCAGTATCTTGTCATTTCCTCCTATTTCTTTTGTTTTTGTTTTTGTTTTTTTGAGACCGAGTCTCGCTCTGTCGCCCAGGCTGGAGTGCAGTGGCGCGATCTCGGCTCACTGCAAGCTCCGCCTCCCGGGTTCACGCCATTCTCCTGCCTCAGCCTCCCGAGTAGCTGGGACTACAGGCGCCCGCCACCACGCCCAGCTAATTTTTTTTTTTTTTTTTTTTTTGTATTTTTAGTAGAGATGGGGTTTCACCGTGTTAGCCAGGATGGTCTACGATCTCCTGACCTCGTGATCCTCCTGCCTCGGCCTCCCAAAGTGCTGGGATTACAGGCGTGAACCACCACACCCGGCCCATTTCCTCCTATTTCTGAAGAAGAGTGTGAACCTTGTAGTCTTAGAGACCTGGGATCTAATCCTAGCTCTGTTATTTATTATTCAGGCCAACACTTCTCAGACTTCACATGAATCAGCTGGGGGTCTTGTTTAAACCAATTTTGATTTAGTAGGTCTGCAGTGGAGCCCGAGACTTTGCATTTCTAAAAGGCTCCCAGGTGCTGCTGACGCTGATGGTCCGTGGACCACACTTTGCATAGCAAGTCTCAAGGGCCTAAGTGATCTTGATGATCTTGATGATGAACTGTCTGAGCCCATTTCCTCCACTGGGGAAAAACAGGAGGGTACAGAATAGGAGTTCAGGTTTGCATTTGGCTCCACATAATAGGAACCAGACAAACGATGGTAAACAAGTTTGAGGTTCATTTTTCTCACTTCAGAAGGGGTCCAGGGACGGAGAGGTCAGGGCTGGTGCTGCTGTTCAAAGATTCAGGCCCCTTGACTCTTCCTGCTCTACTATCCGTAGCAAGTGGAGATTTATCCTCAAGGCCACCAGATGGCTGCCCCACCTCTAGGCATCTGCATTCTAGGCAGAAAGAAGGAAGAGCAAAGGAAAAAAAGTAGTGCCAGCTGACTGTATTTAAAAAAAAAAATAGGATGAATAACAATTGACTCCAAAGCCCCACCCTATAGACATCTGTGAACAACACATTGGTCAGATCTGGGCCATAGGACACCCCTGGCAGCTCAAGAGTGTGACAAGGTGAGTATTCTAGCTGGGCACATTGCTACCCTGAGCAAACTTGAGGGGTTATTAGTAAGGAAGCAGGGAGGAAAGGATGTTGGGTCACTTCTAGCAGTGTCTGATACAAATATCTGTTTGTGCTGTTGTAATGGCACTCAATGAGGCTTCATGGGCACTATGCCCAGCGTATCACCTGCCACAAGGTCCTGACTGCATCCCCTCCAGGAACTGCTGCATTTAGAATTTCTTCTCTCTGGCGTCTTGAAAATCTCCTAATGAGCTGGCTTCTTCCCTTCAGTATTCCCAACTTACTAATCTTTCCAAGCCTGAAACACTTTCTCTTCCCACCCTCCCCCTGAGCCTGCCTTGCCCCCACTGCTGTCGTGTATACCCCATCACCCATCACCTTGACAACCACCTGCATTCATGAGCTTAAGTGTCCATACTACCCCTAAAACTGCATTCTCAAAATCAGAAATGCCATCCTAATCACTAATTCCAACAGTCTCTTCTCAATGCCTGTCCCACTGAAATTCCGGGAGGTATTTTAACATCGTGGCACACACCTCCTTCTTAAAACACCAACTTCTAGTCTCTAGGGCACTTGAGGTTTTGAGTTCCCTTCTTCCTCTCAAAATGCATCTCTCTCCCCTGGCTTTTTCTGTACCTTTGCCTTAGACATAGGCATTTCTCAGGTTCTCATCTGGACACTGTCCACCCTACATGCTCTTTTCATAATTTCATTCATTCCCATGGTCTACAGTAGACCTCTGACCAAATTCCACCCTCACTGTCCTCTCCCTTATTCCTATTCCAGCCTCAGTTTTTAAAATAAAAAGTTTTGTTGGAACACAGCAACACACAATTCATTTGCATATTACCTGTGGCTGCTTTTGCACTACAGTGGAAGAACTGCTGTAGTGACTCTCTGGCCCACAAAGCCTAAGATGTTTACTATCTGGTGCTTTGCAGAAAAATCTTGCCAACCTATGCCCTCTTTTTTTTTTTTTTTTTTTTTTGAGACAGGATCTCACTCTGCTGCCCAGGCTGGAGTGCAGTGGTGTGATCACTGCTCACTGCAGCCTTGACCTCCCAGGCTCAAGCAATCCTCCCACCTCAGCCTCCACCCACCTCAGTCTCAGTAGCTGGGACTACAGGCATGAGCCACTACCCCGGCTAACTTTTTAAAATTTTTTGTAGAGACGAAGTCTCATCATGTTGCCAAGGCTGGTCTCGAACTCCTGGAATCAAGCGATCCTCCCGCCTCAGCCTCCTGAGCAGCTGGGATTACAGGCGTAAGCTACCATGCCTGGCCATCTTAGAATCATAACTAGCAATTTCCAAATCCACTAGCTAGCTGGTGTTCATTCATGCATTCCAGACCCAGATTGTAAGGGTCAGCTAGACAATTCAGTGGGGTTTCCACTAGCATCTCCAATCCAAGTCCCAAACTATCTTCCTCCCCAAATCTGTTTCTGCTCATTTGTCCTGTTTCAATCAATGGCTTCATCCATGACCTACCTGTGGTACAACTGAACATTTGCAGTCAATTTATGACATCAGGACCATGGAGCTATGAAAGGCCCTCATATGGTTTGGCTCTGTGCCCCCACCCAAATCTCATCTTGAATTGAAATTCCCATAATCCCCAAGTGTCAAGGGTGGGACCAGGTGGATATAATTGAATCATGGGGGCAATTCTCCCACGCTGTTTTCGTGATAATGAGTGGGTCTCATGAGATCTGATGGTTTTATAAGTATCTGGCATTTCCCCTCCTTGCACTTCTCTCTCCTGCTGCCATGCAAAAAAGAATGTTTTTGCTTCCCCTTCCACCATGATTATAAGTTTCCTGAGACCTCCACAGCCATGCAGAACTATAAGTCAATTAAGCCTCTTTTCTTTATAAATTACCCAGTCTCAGGCAGTTGTTATACAGCAGTGGGAGAACAGACTAATATAGACTCCCAAGTTCAGAGCTTCAATGATATCAATCATGGACATTGATCTGGCTTTACGTCTAAAAAATCAATATGACATTAGTAAATAAAAAAAATCTGCACTCAAATTTTTGAATTCAGCTCCTTTTTCTTTAAAATCTGGCTCTAAATCACAGCCCTGGCATACTTACTGTAGCATGGTGCCTTATCTCCATGACAATAAAGGAGGAGAAATTTCATAAAGATGAGACTCCATTCTCTCCATCGACCCAAAGAGCAATCAATCCTTCTGTCAATTTAACATGTAAATGCTACCTTCCTAATTTCTAATTGTGTAAGTAGCTGCAAGACTGAATTATATGTTACTGAAGAAAATATAGGAACCCAAATGTAAACAATAACACAGTCAAGTTTGTTGTATAATTGAGACTCTTTCTACTTCCCCCAAAGAATAGCCCTCTCAATTTATTACTTCTTAGGTTATTGGAGCAGAATATCAATTATTTGATCTATTAACTTCTGCAAAAGTATCAAGTAGACATTCCAAGGTCTCACTGGCAATGCTGGGATTCTCCTGTAAAAGTTCTTTGAACTTTGCCAGCGATTTCAGCAAACAGGATTCAGAAAATTTACAAGCATTGGCAATGACAAAGAGCAACAGTTGCTAGCCCTTTGATATCTGGGTACTTTTAGTCATAAGCAGTCTAAAATGTTTTTCAGAATTAGCATTAACATATAGTAGAAAATATGATCGTCTTATCGTCTAAGTGAAATTTAATATTGCTGCTTTATCAACTTCAACTTGTCAAAACCCAGGAATCAATATTACTTGTCTTTGATTCATAACATTTTTTAGGCCCACATGTGGGCCATGCCTTTGTGATAGTTAATTTTATGCATCAGCTTGACTGGGCCAAAGGTGCCCAGAAATTTGGTCAAACATTCGGTGTACATTTGTAAGAGTGTTTTTGAATGAGATTAACATTGGAATTGGTGGACTGAGCAAAGCAGTCTACCACTCCCTAATGAGGGTGGTGCTCATCCAATCAGTTGAAGGCCTAAAGAATGAAGAGCCTGACCCTCCTGCTAACAACAAGGAACTCCTCTGCTCAGCTGTCTGCAAGCTAGGGCGGAGGTCTTCTCCTACCTTCAGACTCAAACTCACACTGGAACCTACACCATCAGCTCTCCTGGTTCTCAAGCTTTTGGACTCAGGCTGAAACTAAACCATTGGCTCTCCTGGGTCTCCAGCTTGCTGACTGTGGGTCTTGGGACTTCTCAACCTCCTTGCCCAAGGGAGCCAATTTCTTATAGTAAATATTATATATAGACATATGTCCTATTGGTTCCATATATCTGGAGAACCCAGATGAATACAAGGTATAAGGAGCACAGACAAACTAATACAGTAAATACACAGCTAGACCCAAATTTCCAAGGGTTAAGCTGAGTTGCTGACAGGTGCATTTCTTACCTCAACCCAATCAATTCAAGTGGATGAAAAGTTCGTTATCATAAACAATAACATAGAATATGCAAAATAAACGTTCACAAAACCAAGCAGAATCATTACTGGTGTGATTACTTCTTTGTATGATGTTAGGAAGTGAAATTGAAAATATTTTTAAAATCTATGAATTCATTGAGAGTTATTATAAAACTCTAAAACAAGAGTAAGTTTAAGTGAGATTGTTATTTATTTTTAACAATTCTCATTATTTTCCCTGAACAGAACTTTTTTAAAAATTAAGACTAATTTAATATTATTTAAGAGCAACCATAGTGCAACAACTTCTAAAGGAGTTAGTGCTGAGCACACAAACTCAAGCAGATTTTTAAAAAGAAGAGGAAGTTAAAGACTTATTGATGATTTTGCTAATGTCAAATCATAGCAAAGCCTATTTAAAATATTTTTCCAAATATCAACGTTTGTATTATCAACTTAGCATATTATGTTTTGCTTTAGATGTTAGATTCCAAAGTATTTATGTAAAAAAAATACTTCATCAGAAATAATGCTGTCTGGTAGTAATAAAGATGTGTGCCTAAGTATGTATGGCAGAATAAGCTCTTGCTGTCTGGACGGTAATCTGCTCTTGGCCCCTTTTACTGGCTGAACCACTGCCAAGCACCTCCTTAAGCTACAAGTCTTTGTTGCCCTCCCACCCGTGCCTTTCATCCCTAGTCCTGCCCTATGCCTCCCTCTCCTTCCAGCAGCTCTCACGCAGCTCACTCTCACTTGGCCCCTGCCAGCCCATACTCCAGCCAGTGGCCCCCGTAGAGGCAGGGAGGGCATTTCTTGTCACATGACCTTGGCACAGTTGCACCTCTCAGTCCCTCATAGGTAGAGTAGCAACAATAATAGCTTCTTTGCAGGGCTTTCCTGGGAATTAAATGAGGTAGCTAGTCAAGGTACCTAGTATGCCCAGCCTGACACATAATAGAGCTTTAATAAGTGTTGGTTTCTCTTCCCTTCACTATTTCTCATGTGGACAATTGCAACCTCACCCTAACAGGTTTCTACGTCCCCAGCTCCCTGTTACTCATCCTAACCCCAATCTATCGTCCTTGAGGTAGCCACCATGATCTTGCAAAATATAGACCTGGTTATAATTTTCTCCTTCTTAAAAACCTTTGGTGAGTCCCCATTGCCTACAGAATAAAATTTGAGGTCCTGAGCAGAACAGGTAAGGAATATCTGCTCTTCTGGACACAAGAAGCTTTGCCTCTCCCTGTGCTATTCGCATTCACCCATTGGCTCTAGTCTGGGCTTCTCAATTTTTCCCCCTCCACATTTGCTCATGACCTTCCTCAACCTGGAATGCCCAGCCTCTATCTCCGTGGCGGATTGCTAAGCCCTGCTCAGGGGCTGTCGTCTTTGGGAGGCCACCCTCTTTCCCTTGAGTCTAGCATACATAAACTACTCCCTGCCCAACGCATTGTGCAAATCAGCTTTAGGATGCCTACCCTCTCATGCTTGGAGAGTAATTATCCATGAAGAGTTCCTCCCTGACTGCACTGGAGGCCCATCGAGAACAGGACTCTGCTTCCTACATCTCTGTTTGCTCAGCACCTGGCTCAGAATAAGGGCCACCAATGAGCGACATTGAAACCCTGAGAAAAAGGAATCCTGGTTAAAGAAGGAAAGGAAGACACAAGGGAGAGAAAGACCTTGGATATCCTGCAAGTACAAGAATAGATTTCTAAGTCCTTAACAGGTTAGGTGCAAAAATGTTTTGAGATTGGACTGACTCCACATTGATTCCATCAGTGAATCATTACCACACAATTATTACTGCAGGGAATCCTATCCTCACAGTAGGACTGGGCACTGGCCTTTGCTGTCCCTAGAATAGAAATGTCTGGGTCCTCTCACTCCTCATCACAACCTACTCCCTGGGGACTCAAAGCTGCAGGCCCTCCAGAAGGTCTCTGCTTCCCCTGGGCAGTCCCAGATACTCCTGCATATTGTGGAAAGCACCTCTGCTCAGATGCAAGAATTACCATACAGGCAGCAGCCTTCGTTTAGAACATGGTCATTCATCACTGACTTGATCCTGGGAATGGAAAGCAAGCCAAGACTTTTCAGGGTGGCTCTTGTTGTTGTCTTAAACCTTTCCCGTAATAACTAGCTACCCTGTCCTTTGAAAGCCTACATGCCCCACGGTTTAACTTTCACTGATTTCCATTGGTGACAAGGTATAATCTGTCTTCCTATTTTAAAGAAATGAAAGGCAGTTGTAGACTCTTGGAAAACATCCTACAGAGACAATGGAAGAAGCCAGTGCATTCCAGTACTTTGACTTATCCTTTCATCCATCAGATTCCTAGGCATCTGCTATTTGTCAGACATGTGTGCTGGGTGCTAGAGATGCTGGAATAAATAAGACTCTGCAGAGCCTCACTGCACTTCCTTCCTGGAAGTTTTACAAAGGGGTTAATGAGCTCTGCTTACCCTATAAAATCAAATCCACGGGACTGCAGAGCAAGTGAGTCATAATATTTGTGGAATAAATGAATGTAGCATGACAGTCCCTGGATATGACTTGCCAACAATTACAGAGGGAAGAAGGTGACCCTTTAAATGCCAGTTGGATGACAAGCTCTGTAGAATTTCCTTAGTATAGGCTCAATAGAATTCTGAGCCTTGGCAGAGGATGGTCAGTATTCAACATATGGATTTTAGTATCAGATCTCCACACACAAGGTCTGTATGATCTTTGTTATAAGAAGAAGGACTATATGATCTTTGTATAGCCAAATACAAGCGCTTTATGATCTTTGTTATAAGAACAAGCTCTTGTTTGCATTTGAATGATTATTTGTAGTTTCATAGCACTTTAAAATGTCATATTCTACCTGATAAAGCTGTGGGCTATGTGTTTTGATTTTCGTTTTGTAGCTGAAGAAACTAAGACTCAGAAAGTTTAAATAGACAGTGAGTAGTAGGTGAGGCAATGGAGCCTAAACTCCCTTCCTGTGTGTCAGTAAACATGGCCTTGTGAATTCACCGGGAGCCTCAGGGCTCATGAATGGGCTGAGGTGCCATAACCATTGTCCTGGGCGCAAGCTGCTTGACAGGTTGCTATACAGTGGATGTTTTCTCTCTTCTTTTTAAAGTTTGAAAGCAATACTTTAAAAGATAATCAAAATGAGCCCTTATAATTCCATAGCACCTCCCTTCTCCATTGCTAGTCACTGGGTGCTAGAAGCCAGGGGAGAATAAAAAGGAAATATTAAACAGTGAAGTAGCAATCAAAGCTTCAGCTGGGTTCCTTTAGAGGAGAGAGCTTCAGAAGGGGCCAAAGTCTGGGCCCCAGAACTTCCTGGTGGCAGAGAAATGGGCAGGCGGCCTTTCAGCTGATATCTCAGACCACAGACTCAAGGGACAATTCAGGCAGCTCCCCCAGTAAGCCAGCCACAGGCAAAGCAGAGGCCAATAACCCTGCACCTGGCTTCCTGGTCCTTCTCTCCCGAATGGCAGTCTGTTCTTTGGCTTCTGACGTTACCCAAATTGAATACACTGCTCCAGAATCTAAACTCTGGCTGACTTCTTTGCACAGGGTAGAGGATCCTCCATCACAATGCTCAGGGAGGACCCTGACACCCTGCCCTCCCTACCCCAGCCACAGCCACCCAAGACTGGAGGCACTAGAATCAGCTCCCCGGCCAGCCATCTGCACTAACCTTGGCTGACCCCACACATAAACTGGGACACTTCCCTGGCTGTGGAGAAGAACTTCATCAAAGATAAATAACAAAGAAACTCCTAGTCTTGTCTCTGTGTCTCAGGCCTCCACTGGAGGAGAAAGTGAGTGGTAATGAACATCTCAGCAGCCTCTTGACCAGCCCGGCGGATGGGTCACTGGGATTTCCCATGCATACAAATAAGAAGCCTGCTCAATGGACTAGTCACTGAAATAGGCTTTTCCATCAACAGTTTCAAATTAAAACCCTGAGAAAGCCATCTTTGGAAAATGTTTTCTAGTATATATCTCTTCCAATGCACTTCAATTAATTAATCTGCAATTGTCCTCGCAGCTGTGTGAAGGAGAAGAGTTTCTAAGAATTGAGTTTCTTCTAAGAACATGAGCTTATTTGCTTATTCGATTTGCCAAAGGCAGCAAGGGAGTGTTTTCTCTACACTTTCCCAAGATTTATTATAGGGCTACCAACTTTTTCTCTGTTAAATTGGGCGGCTCTAACCTGAGAAAGTTGTTAGAAAATGAATAGAAGAGAGAGGCATGTGATCGGAGTTCACTTGAACTGATGGAAACTTTTAACTGAGTCCTGCAGAATTTTAGAAATACCAATAAAAGAACAATGGAGGTGGGGCATGAGCTGATACTGCCACCAACAGAGCGGTTTTTCCGTCTTCAGGGACATGCAATCAGCAATCTCATTCTACCTCCATACACTCCTACCTGGCAAAGAGTAAGGTTCACTAACTCACAGGCAAGGAGAAAAGGAGAAGAGGTAAGGTCCTGGCTGAATCGACACCAAGCCACGTTGTCAAAGCTTTGAGAGTTTGTTATCCCAAGTCTCCCCTCCTCAGTGGAAAGTGTTTGAGAGAGAGGGCTTGGGACCCAGACTGGCAAGGTTCAAATCCTAGCTCCATCACTTACTAAGCTATTTCACCTCTCTGTGCCTCAGTTTCCTCCATGGAAAAATGAGGGTAATAATGGTTTTTCTCTCATAGGAGTTGGGTGGGTCACATTGAGTTAATGTATGTGAAGCTATTTATTAGAACAGTGCCTGTAAACTGTACTATGCATGTTTGCTAATATTCTAGGCATACAGTAACAACAGAAGATCAAGTCTTGCTAAGAAGGAGTTCTCTGAGCATCCCTTTAACGAACATGTCAGAGAGAGTGTTTTTTTGTTTGTTGTTTTTCTGTGTTTTTTTGAGATTGAGTCTCGCTCTGTCTCCCAGGCTGGAGTGCAGTGGCACAATCTCGGCTCACTGCAACCTCCGCCTCCTGGGCTCATGCAATTCTCCTATCTCAGCCTCCCTGAGTAGCTGGGATTACAGGCACCCGCCACCATGCCTGGCTAATTTTTGTACTTTTAGTAGAGACAGGGTTTCGCCATGTTGGCCAGGCTGGTCTTGAACTCCTGACCTCAGGTGATCTGCCCACCTTGGCCTCTCAAAGTGCTGGGATTACAGATGTGAGCCACAGCACCCGGCCAAGAGGTCATTTTTTGTATGCAGAAGTGACACAGCTAAAGTAGAGGGGTTTCTTGTTTCTTTAAGTATTTAGAAACAACTTGAATTTTAAAGTAGACTAGTCACTGAACCTGTTTGAGTACAAATTTACTTTGTAAATGCTTTCTTTTCTTAGAAAGTATAAAGAATCATCATAAGATTCAAATCATCCAGATCTGAATAATGGAAAATTTTTAGGTTCCTATTTTACTTGATTTATATCTGAGAAAAGATGCTGAAGTGGGAACAGATAGCTGTACACCCAAGAAATTGTTGTCAAACTTGAGATCTTTAAAAAAGACACAGTTTATTGATTTTATTTCTATTAGAACAGTGAATATACCTACTATAGAAAATAGGCGAAATTCAGAAAAGCAGGTAACAGAAAAGAAAAAAAAGATAAGCTGTAATACCACCTTCCAAAACAATTACCAAAAATGGTGTGGGCCAGGTGCGGTGGCTCACACCTGTAATCCCAGCACTTTGGGAGGCCGAGGTGGGTGGATCACCTGACGTCAAGAGTTGGAGACCAGCCTGGCCAACATGACAAAACCCCAGCTCTACTAAAAATACAAAAAATTAGCCTGGTTTGGTGGTGGGCGCCTGTGATCCCAGCTACTCGGGAGGCTGAGGCAGGAGAACCACTTGAATCCAGGAGGCAGAGGTAGTGGTGAGCCAAGATTGTGCCACTGCACTCCAGCCTGGGCAATAGAGCAAGACTCCATCTCAAAAAAAAAAAAAAAGGTGTGAAGTACTATATTTCCTTCCACTCTTTTCTCCATACATAGAATTTATAACCTTTATTGTTTCTATATAACAATAATTATATTAAATATAAGAATTATCTCTTTTCCTTTAACCTTGTAGCATAAGTAGTGTGTGTGTGTGTGTGTGTGTGTGTGCGCGCGTGCCAGGTTTCAAACCCTGTGTCATAACTCAGGGTTTGATGGTGAGTGTCTGTTCTATTCCTGCACCAAGACTTCGTCTTTCCTTTAGAGAGGAGCAGGAAGCCCTGTTCCATCCTTCACATGTGCGAGGCGGTGGGAGGGACATGCAGGCTTGTGTACAATAAAGCTAGATTAATAAAATGTTGTTTTTACAGTTCCCAGCACCATAATACTGGAATGGTTAGTTTCACGTGTCAACTTGGCAGGGCTAAGAGATGCCCAGATAGCTGGTAAAGTGTTGTTTCTGGGTGTGTCTGTGAGGGTGTTTCTGGAAGAGATGAGCATTTGAATCAATAAGCTGAGTAAAGAAGACCTCCCTCACCAGAGTAGGCAGGCATCAGCCAATCCTTTGAGGCATGGATAGAACAATAAAGTGGAGGAAGAGAGAATTCTCTTTTTCTTTGAGTTGGGTATCCATCTTCTCCTGTCCTCAGGCTTTGGTTCTCCTGGTTCTCAGGCCTTCAGACTCCAAGATTTATACCATTGGCCCCCCTGGTTCTTGGGCCTTCAGACTCAAACTGAATGATCCCACCAGCTTTCCTGGGTCTCCAGCTGGCAGACGGCAGGTCATGGGACTTCTCAGCCTCCATAATTGTGTGAGCTGATTACCATAATCAGTCTTCTTTCTGTGTATCTATACATATCCTACTGGCTCTGTTTCTCTGGAGAACCCTGACTAACACAAAGACATTTATTAACATTTCAATATGAGTTAAACTCTGCAGGCTCAATGCTGTATTAACCTACCATGGCAGTAACTAATCTCCCAAGTGGTCAGTCCTGAGGGAGAATTGTATCGATTGGCTTGGGCTGCCAATTACCACAGACTAAGTGGCTTAAACAATGTAAATTTATTTTCTCTCCATTCTTGAGGCTAGAAGCCTGAGATCAAGACGTTGGTAGGGTTGGTTTCCACTGAGGGCTTTCTTCTTGGCTTTTTTTTGGACAGAGTTTTGTTCTTGTCGCCCAGGCTGGAGTGCAATGGCGTAATCTCGGCTCACTGCAACTTCCGCCTCCTGGGTTCAAGCAATTCTCCTGACTCAGCCTCCCGAGTAGCTGGGATTACAGGCATGCACCACCATGCCCAGCTGATTTTATATTTGCAGTAGAGACGGGGTTTCTCCATGTTGGTCAGGCTGGTCTCGAACTCCCAACCTCAGGTGATCCACCTGCCTCAGCCTCCCAAAGTGCTGGGATTACAGGCATCATCTTCTTGGCTTTTAGATGGCTGTCTTCTTGCTGTGCCTTCACATGGTCTTCCCCCTGTGCATGTCTGTCTCCTAATCTCCTCTTCTTATGAGGACACTAGTCATATTGGATTAGGGTCCATTCTCATGACCTCATTTTAACTTAATTACCTCTGTAAAGAATATGTCTCCAAAAATAGTCACATTCTAAGGCACAGGGGGTTAGAACTTCACCACATGAATTTAGAGGGGAGACAATTAAGTCCATAACAAAGATCTGTTAGGTCATGCTAATCTACCCATGAGTTTGTTTATGTTTAATACAGACAGAAAATTCTTTCAGTGATATCAACTGCAGATCTAGAACAGCTAAGAGCTGAGACTGGGTCTTCAGTCACTCTTGACTGCTCAGATCTTACTACAGTGCTTGATGCTTAATATGTAACAAAAGAGAGAAGCAAAATAATGAGGTAATTAAGTGCACAAACCAAACAAACTTTCTCCATCTGCTCAGGCTTTCCAAAGCTAAAAGAGGAGGGAGGCTAAAATTCTATTGGATTATTCTCTAATTCAGCTCCTAACTCTATTCTCAGTCATGAAGATGAGCTGCGACTCATTTGTCCATAGTTAGGGTGAACTAAAACATACTACCTTTTTTCTTAATCTAAGGAAATTTTTTTTTCTCTCTTCACGTGTTGCCTTAAAAGACATTTTCTTGTATGAGTTTAGCTTTTACAAAAAAAAAAAAAAAAGAAAAAGAAACCCCGAAGTCATAGCCTTTTATAATTTTTTTCAGTCTTGTGGCTGTTAAGAGCATACATGTGGGGTTCACATACATTATTTCACTTAATCTTCCCAATAACTCACTTGGGTAGGTGTTATCATTAACGTTTAGACTAGAGGAACCAAGGTTGAAAAAATACGAAGAAATCTGAAAAAAAATCACATAGTTATTGGTGGCAGAATCAGACCTGAACTCTTATTTTCTCAACCCAAGCACTATCCACCTCTATCCTTGGCTCTCCTCCACAAATAGAGATCCACATGTTGGTCTCCCATGCCTTTTCTATCATGAAAAAGAACAGTGGGAAATTCGGGGAGAATGACAAACTGCAGGGTATGAAAATTCGCCTCTATGTCAAACTGTGTTACTCTGAGCACATAAATTTTCTGTTACCCTGGGTTCTCATTTGAAAGTGGGTGCATAGCACAAGATCATCTTTGAGATTCCATTAGTTATATAAAGTTCTATGATGGACATAAGGGAAGTTCACATACTGCCAGGAGGGTAGTACCCTGAACTAAGTTCGGGCAGCACTCCATAATACTTACAGTTAATTACCAACAGATGTATAGGCCCTTTGCCACCACCACATCCACCCCATCCCTCCTGCAGCCCCAGTGAGAGACATATCAAAGATAAACTTCGGGCTGGGTGCAGTGGCTCATGCTTGTAATCGCAGCACTCTGGAAGGCTGAGGCATGGGGATCACTTGAGGCCAGGGGTTTGAGACCAGTCTGAGCAACATAGAGAGACATACTTTTTCAGCACCACGCTCTAACCCACTGAGCTAAAGTTGATAAGAGACACACTTAAGACTGAGAGACACAATTAGGTTGAAGTAAAAGGATGGAAAACATACAAACAGTAAAAGGGGAGATGAGAAATCTAGAGTGACAATACTAATATCAGACAAAATAGACCTTAAGACAATCATTATTAGAGCCAAAGAGCCACATTATAAAACTCTCACCTAATTTACTGAATACTGTACTGAAAATGAAAGACAGCATGGTGGTATGGGTACTGGAAGTACAGTTTCTACTGAATATGTATCACTTTTTGCACCATTGTAAAGTCAAAAAATGGTAAGTTGAACCATGATAAGTCAGGGACTATCTGTCCACTATAATCAAATCCATTGAATTGTACACTTTAAAGGGATGAATTTATGGCATGTAAATTATGTTTCAATAAAGTGGTAAAATAAAGGGAAAAAAAGAACAGCAATCACTGTGATAATAAAGAAAGGTGAGGAGAAGCTGAAGACAATATTTGGCTTTCTTCACAATTTTGCTTTGGGTCAGCCCTGCCCAGGATTCTATGTCAACTATGTCTCTGTCCCCAGACCTACAGTCGCAGCAAGATGAGTGCTATAGAGAGAGGAGTAAACAACACACCCAGTAGAAAGGGGGAAGAAGTAGTTGGTGTCAGAGTTGGAACAATTTAAAGGATGCCTTGACCTGAGAGGCAGAGAACCACAGGAAGGGTTTTATATACAAAGAAAACAGTTGTACTGAGGACTGGAGTTAACCAGGAGTGAAGCATATTGAAGGTGGCTGGCAGGATGGAGGCATGGCCAAAGGCAGGGAGAAAGTAGCTGGAGGGAGAAGGAGCCCTGAAGGCCTCCCAAGATGTGCTAAAGAAGCTAGATTTTAACCCGATCAGGGAGAAGCCAGCAACAGCTCTTAACAAAAGCATCAGATTCGGTTTTTGAGAGCTCATCAGAGTAGATGATAAATGGGAATGGGAGAGAGAAAGGAATAACCAAGACTTGCAGGAAGCCAGATGCAACAGCCCAGGAGAGAGAAAGTGGCTGGTCCACTTTAATCAGAAGGTGGTGGTAGAAAAAAATCAATCTTTTAACACAGACATTCATCCACAACCTAAAATACTATGTTTTTGTCAAAAGGTTATATTCAACTGTATTAACTAGAGTGCATCACTCTGCTGATAAGAAGATTTGAGAGAGGAAGCTGTAATAAGAACATAATATGCAGAGAGAAAATGCACTTCTCCAAGTCCCCCGAGTCTTATTTCATTGGATGCATTTAAAAGCTCTATCATTAAAATAAGTTTAAATTCTGTGATGGGAAGAAATGTCATTTTCATCACAACTTAATGGAACGGTTCATCTTAGAGGCAGGAAGATACTTTGACAAATGGATGAAGGAGGCTTGGTATCTCTAACCTGGGGAGGGTGGCTCAGTGCAGTGGGAGGGAGTATATGGATTTTGCAGACCTGCTAGCTCTGGAAGGCTCTGCTCTGTGCTATTCCTTTTGCACTGTTTCCTCTCAAGGCCTCCATTTTTCTAAATGCTAAATAGATCATGGACACTTGTAACACACATTAAGTAGTATTGTGAGAATTAATACACTTCCATTGGTCAAAAAATCTCGTGTCAGGGAGACCTTAGTAGACTGTTACCATCCTTTATGTATAGTCAGACTCAGAGAGAAACTGTAAAATTCACCAAAGGGACTGTGTGGAAATTGATGGAAGCATTCTAACTGCAGTTAAAACATGCAAATAGAATTCTGAATGCTTTGAGAGAAAGGAAGTCAGCTGTCAGAAAAAGACTGCTAAATGCCAGTATGCATTCTGTACAGGTAAGGTGGAAGAACCCTGGAAGCTGAAGCACTAAGAACTATAGTTTCCCTATAAGAATCCTTCTAACAAGGAAAGAATCATCCGTCATGACTGTGTTTTGATTTGTTGTGGTCAGAAACAGAGAGCCACCTGAATGACATCACGAAATAGAGTTATGAAAATATAGCCTTGCCTTGCATATAGATACGTGAGCCAATGACAAACTACACATGACAACGGTGGTCCCATAAGATTATAGTGAAGCTGCCCTACACAGATGTACCACTTTTTATCTTTTATACAGTATTTTTGCTGTGCTTTTTCTGTTTCTATGATTTTTTTTCATTATGTCCCGTTTTCTCTTTTTTTTTTTTAACTTTTTTTTTTTCTTTTTGATGCGGAGTCTCACTCTGTCGCCCAGGCTAGAATGTAGTGGTGCGATCTCGGCTCACTGCAACCTCTGCCGCCCAGGTTCAAACGATTCTCCTGCCTCAGCCTCCCAAGTAGCTAGGATTACAGGCACCTGCCACTGTGCCCAGCTAATTTTTGTAGTTTTAGTAGAGACGGGGTTTCACCATCTTGGACAGGCTGGTCTTGAACTCCTGACCTCATGATCCACCCGCCTCGGCCTCCCAAAGTGCTGGGATTATAGGCGTGAGCCACCGCGCCTGGCCTTTTTTAACTTTCATGTTCAGGGGTACATATGCAGGTTTGTCATATAGGTAAACTCATGTAACAGGGGTTTGGTGTATAGATTACTCATCACCCAGGTGCTAAACATAGTACCTGATATGTATAGATATATTTAGATATGCAAATACAGTTATGTGTTGCTTAACAAAGGTGATACATCCCAAGAAATGCACCATTAGGCAATTCTGTTGTGGGAATATCACAGAGTGTACTTACACAATCTAGATGGTACAGCATACTACATACCTAGGCTATGTGGTATGGCCTATTGCCCCTAAGCTACAAATCTGCACAGCATGTTACTGTACCAAATACCATATGCAATTATAACACAAATCACTAGGCAATAGGAATTTTTCAGCTCCAGCATAATCTTATGGGACCACCTTCATATATGGTCATCTACCAAAGCATCATTATGTAGTCTATGACTGTACTTACCACTGTGTTACAGTTGCCTACAATATTCATTACAGTGACATGCTGTACAAGTTAGCCTAGGAGCAATAGGCCATACCACATAGTCTAGGTGTGTAGTTGGCTATACAATCTAGGTTTCTGTAAGTACACTCTATGATGTTCACACAAGGGTAAATCACCTAACAACCCATTTCTAAGAACGTATCCCCGTGCATGACTGTATCGTAATGCTGTCTAACAATTTTAAATACTTATAATATGTCAGAAGCTGTGCTAAGCCATTTACAAGCCAGGTCTCATTTAGGCCTCACCATAACCTTATGAAGTTGGCAATATTATTCCCCCTATTACACAACTAAGGAAACGGAAGTTCAAAGAGCTTAAGGGGCTTGCCTGGGGTCACACAGCTTGCATGGGACAGAGTTTGTATCCAAGTCTAAGTGTGGAAGCCAAACTCTAAGTGGCTTGATTAAATTGTCTCAGATTCTAAAATGCATGTGCACTGGAGCTGGTTCAAGAAACCATCCAAGCCCAAAGCAGAGCTAAGGGGTGTCTCTCTCTTGGTCTTTTGATGACTGTCCTCATGTCCTCACCCTGTACACAGCCATTTCTGCTTCCTTATAACTTTGACTCACAAAGGCTTGCCCTGGCCCCCACATCAGCCCCACTGCACCCTTATAATTGGAAGCTTACTGCTAATAAGCCCTATTCCAAATTCCTGTGAAAAGAACCTTCGCAGCCCAGCTCATCCTTTCAGGCCAGGATCACAGTTCAGAGTCCTCTGGCCAACCAGCCTTAAGGTGCCCCGATCCAGTGAGCAACACCAAGGTGGGTCCCATGGAGCAGAACATCGCCACTGCCGCAACAGGGGCCAGGGAAGGGTGGATGTCCCTGGAAGGAGAAGGGATGAGTGGCCAGAGAAGGCAAAGACCAGGGTCTCTAGCACACGCCAACAGGGCAGAGCATTTCTCATAAGGGCCTCCTCCCAAATCCAGTCTGCTCCTGCAGAAGTGGGGACTGAGAACCTACATGGTCTATTGATGACCAGACGGCTGATGGTTAGGAATGAGGACTATAGTGGACTGGTCAAAATTTATCAACATCTGTCCTTGTCCCAACCTCAACAACCACATTTCTATTGATGTCTTTTCTCTAACCACTCAAATCTAAAACTTCAGTTCTCCTCATTCTCTTCCTTCCTGGGCCTCCAAGACTAATCACCTTTTGGTTTGTTTGTTTTTCAATTCTCCCTAATAAATAGCTCTAGAATTCACTCTAGGTTTCCATTTCTGTATCTGTCAACTGAGTCCAGGCCCATATCTCAGGTTGCATCCATTGAACAAAAAATAGCAACACAGCGATCACAGCAATTCTGTAAGGAAGAACTACTATTATCCCCTTGTGACAGATAAGAAAACTGAGGCCAAGAGAAGCTAAGGGGCTTGTTTTAAGTCACATGGATCAGAAGTAGTGGACAAGGATTCAGACCCCTGCAGATATTCCTCTGCTCTTAAGCTCTCAGAGCCCTGCTGTGTGCCTGATGCTAGGAATCATGGATAATGCAGACAGGGGTCCTGCTCTCCCACCGCTGACAGCCTAGTACACAAAACAGGCCATACCCAAAGAGACAGAGAGATAAAGGTCTCATTACAAATGGCACAGGAAAGAGAACCAAGCATACCTGCTTGCGAGGTGGCCCCTGACTGGCATCTGGGAACCTGGCTCCCAGCACACTCCGAGTCAACAGCTAGCTGATGAGCTGACTCCTTATGCCTAGCTATGAAAACAATATGGTCTAGGCTGAACACTGCCTTTCTTCTAGGGGTGTGAAATTTGGCATGTGCTAGGCAGAGGATGCCTAGATAAACAGTCCCCAAGAAAAACTTTGGGTGCTGAGTCTCCACTGGGCTCCCCTGGGCAGAATCCTCACACATGTGCTGCTGCATTTTCACTGCTGGGGGAGGAGCGTGCATTGTGGGACCCTGCCATGGGAGGGAGAGCATCGGGAAACCATCCATGTGTTCTCCAGACTCTGCTTCTTTTCCCTTGTGATCCAGCTGTAGATCTTTGTTACGTCACTGTCATCAATCTTAGCTGTTAACACAACTATACGCCAAGTCCTGTGCATCCTTCCAGCAGATCTCAAATGTAGGGATGGTCTTGGGGATCCTCAACACTCCAACCATGGTAAATGCCACGAAGGAAGAGCACAAGTGATGTAAGGAAGACAGCAGGGGCCTCGTTAGCATGGGGGGTCCAGAAGAACCCTCTGTGGGAGTTCTATGTCAGCCAGTCCTAACGATAACGAGAAGTTCACGGGAACAAGAGCAGGAGGCACATGCTCCCGACAGAGGAAAAGCATGATCAAGAACATGATGGCCCAGTACGTGGCTCCCTAGAGAGCTGAACTACCTCCAGCCAGTGACATCCCTGAAAGCTGGGAGGTCCTTTGATGTCAGAGCTGCAGACAGATGCTGCTCCAAGGGCCTCGGGCCAGGGCCAGGAGTTGAACTTTATGCTACTCCCACTGGAGAGCTATAGAAGGTGTTTGCATGTAGGGAACATGATCCATGCACCTTTTTCAAGGCCCATTCTAGCTGCTATGTGGAAGATGGATTAGAGGGAAAGAGGCAGAAGCCAGGGAGCAGTCGGAGCCCACTCACAATCAAGGGGTACACAAGGCTATACATGGGTGATAGCTGCACTAGAGGATGGGATTTCAGGGGCAAAAAGGTTCAGACAGCAGCCTCCAAGTTGTCTCCCGCCCCCCGCCCCCCTCCAGTGCTCAGCCCATTTGACCCCTAGTCTGCCTGGGAACCCAAGGCTATGGCTCCCACCTAGAGACACAGCCCTACAGCTCCCACGGCCCTGGCGGAGCTTGTCTGTGTAACACAGCAGCCTGAGATGATGTTCTCAGTCTCCGGCGCCCGCGGGATATAAGGTTGCCAGCTGTCCTTCTGCAGAGATATTCTCCTTTAGTTTGACATTTTGTTCTTCGTGTGTTTTTTCTGAAGGGTGTTAAGATTTCTCCTCTTTTATGACAGCAGGCTGATAGTTGATGGGGGTTCGCTGTGTGTCTCATGGAAAAATTAAGTTGGCAACCATGTTCGTTCCTCTCCACCTTAGCTCTACTTCTCTAAAAAAAAATAATGCCATGCACAGTGGTTCACGCCCATAATCCCAGCACACTGGAAGGTCCAGGTGGGAGGATTGCTTGAGGCCAGGAGTTCAAGATGACCCTGGGCAACATAGCAAGACCCTATTTCTACAAAAAATTAAAAATTAGCTGACTGTGGTGTCATGAGCCTGTAGTCCCAGCTATTCAGGAGGCTGAGGCAGGAGGATCGCTGGAGCCCAGGAGATGAAGGCTGCAGTGAGCTATGATCACGCCCTGTACTCCAGCCTGGGCAACAGAGCAAGACCTTGTGTCAAAAAAAAAAAAAAATCAGTGATTTGTGAAATCCAGAGGTCTGGTGACCACTTAATTGGGGGCAGAGTCCAAACTCCTTCCTCTGGCATGAGGCTCTCTACAATTTTGCCTGCACCTGCCTTGACCTTTCCAGCCTTCTCTCTCACCATTCCCCCACCCTCTGCTCCTGCCAATGGACAGAGTCTCTTGGCTTTTCACCCCATCTTTCCCCTAGGCCAGGCCTGTCCTTTCCTGGTTGCCTCAGCCTACAGCAATCTCTCCCTCTCAACTGCCTCCTCTCAATCAACTCCTTTCTCCTTGGACAGTGCTTTCATTGGGCCAGTTTGCCCTTTCCTGCATTTCTGCCTGTGTTCCAAACCCTACCTTCTGGGAGGCTGGCATTGCCCAGTCTCTACAACGCCCTCTTCCCACACAGCCTGGCAAGGTGGATCTACGAGAAGGTGCTCCCCTCCACCTCTCTCTGCAGCCTCCCCTCGAGCTGAGCTGATGATGTCCAGGTTGTGGTTGTCTCACCAGCAATGAGAGCCAGGAGAGGAAATGAGTTTCAAGGTTTGAAAGGCCACATTCACAATCATTAAGAGGGGAAGTAAGCAAGAATCACTCCCCTGTGTTATCCGGTTGCACAATCCTAGAACAAAGAGGCCACTGATAGGAATTACAGGAAAGTCGGTGCACAGCTAATGCAGAGAGAATTCGGTTTGCAAACTCCACCTGTCAGGATGGAGGCCTCGGAACATGGTTAGATGATTCTAGGGCAGTAGAAATAGTTCTCTGACATAATTGTAGTTATGCAAGCTATAATAATGATACACTTCCTTAAAAACTTGGATTTTAGAATATAAATAGATTGCTTTCAGGGGATTAGAAAAGCTCTTCCCACAAAGGCTTACCTGCTTCCCCAGCAAAGCATATCTTGGGAGCTTCATTTTTCTCAAGTGCCAATGTCATCATCCCAAGTAAAACATTTTTTAAAAAATAGGTAAAAATAAATCTTCAACCTATCAACAGGCCAGCCACGTACTCAGCACTGGGTTATAGGCTGTCCAAAATACAAGTTTAGCTTTAGTTGGGGATATATGAAAAAAACGATAAACAATGTAAAACTGAATATTCTTGAAATCTGCAAAACTGATGACGAAGGCCTTGTGCCATGTGTAACTCAATGTCCTTTACACGAGGACTTAGTGGTAAATTCTGCTTAAAATGTAAAGTCAAGGAAAACGTTTTCTAAAACAATAAGCAGACCGGGCACGGTGGCTCATGCCTGTAATCCCAACACTTTGGGAGGCCAAGGTGGGAGGTTCACTTGAACCCAGGATTTTGCGACCCCCTTGGGCAACATAGTGAGACCTGGTCTCTACTAAAAACCGAATAACAATAATAATAAGTAAAGCTTTCCCAAATGAGGAGTGCCTGCAGCCGCCGGCTCTACGGCCCATGGGCAATACGCTGCAGGCTGCCCGGCCCCAGCCTGATGCTGCATCAGCCTCCCCAGGGTCAGCTGCCCTCACCTACTTGCCTGTCTCCACCCAGCCGCCAGGGTTCCAGCAGCTGCTGCCTCCCCCTCTCCTGTGGGACTGAATGATTCTGGCTTCTCCTTTGCCTGGATCTGTCTTTGCCCCCTTTACCCTTCTTTGAGTGTCTCACAGCCTGGGTAGGGGAGCACCTCTCTCCTTCTCCCTCCCCAGTCCCCAGCTCCCAGTCACCACTGAGGCAAAGCCTGGGGCCTCTCTTGCCCAAGAAGGGAGAACTACAGTGTTGATCTATCTCAGTCTGTCAGGGGCACAGAGAAAAGTGTTATGTTAGACTCCCTCAGTTGTCCAAACAGCCTGCCCCTCCCTCCGTTCCTCCCTTCCTTCCTTCCTTCCTTCTTTCCTTCTTTCTTTCCTTTCTTGTTTTAAGTTACCACTTTATTATGTAAATAAAACTCAAACAGAAAACTGCGCAAAATGAACATGCAGCTGAATGGATTAGGGTAGGGTGAACCCCTGTAACCAACTCTCCCTGCTCTCCCCGCCTACCTCCCACCTCAGGAAAAGCAACTCCATTCACCCAGTGCTGTGTCTAGAATCACTGGCCTCCTCTCAGTTCGCTTTCTCCTTCAAACCCACAGCCATCCAGACCTGTTGATTCTGTCTTCCCAGGCTCTCCCCGTCCGAGTGCTGAGCCTGGATGGGGCCAGCCCCAGTCTCTCCCCACTGTCCTTTCTGTTGCAAGAGGCCTCTGAGCCCTGCAAGCCCCCAGCTCAGCCATGGGAGGTTGTAAGAGATGGGGGTGGGGACAGTGGGGAGCCTTGGGCACAGTCAGGGGCAGTGGCTGCAGAGAGGCCTCTCCCTGGCTCCAGCTCCCATAGGATAGACCCATGGGGGCCTCAGAGTCATCAACACCACCTTTGTCTTCCTCTCCTTGTTGGGGGGTGGGAGTGGCTTCCTGCCTCCCCACCCTGATTGCCATGCTGGCTCCCCTCTCACCAGAGTAATCAATCCCGGCATTCGACCCCTCTGTTGTAGAGGCACTTACTCACCCCTTCTCCACAGCCCTCACCCCTCCCTGCAACAGCCTCCTTGCAGGCCTCCAGAGCTGCTCCGCTCTTCCCTCCCAAACATGACTGACCACACGTCTGGTGTGACTAGAACAATATAACTGGCACACCGTCCCTGCGTACTTACACACAGACGCCTCATTCTCAAAATTATCCTGGGTGGGATAGTAAATTATGAGGACTTCCTACCCCACACTTCATTCTCGCCACAGTGGCCTTCAAAAACACAAAGCAGATCTCATCATTCTCCTGCTCAGAATCCTCTAAAACATGCCCATTAAGATGGCTAGTATTAAAAAAAAAAGAAGGCAATAACAAGCACTGGCAAAGGCGTGGAGCAATGGGAACCCTTGTGTATTGTTGGTGGAAGTGTAAAATGATGCTGCCGCTATGGAAAACAGTACGGCGGCTCCCCTCAAAATTAAAATGGAATTGTCATATTACCCAGCAATCTCACTTCTGGGTAGGCAGCCAAAAGAACTGAAGCCAGGTGCAGTGGCTCACGCCTGTAATCCCAGCACTTTGGGAGGCTGAGGTGGGTGGGATCACTTGAGGTCAGGAGTTTGAGACCAGCCTTGCCAACGTGGTGAAACCCATCTTTACTAAAAATACAAAAATTAGCTGGGCACAGTGGCTCGCGCCTGTAATCCCAGCACTTTGGGAAGCCAAGGTGGGCAGATCACTTGAGGACAGTAGTTTGAGACCAGCCTGGCTAACACGGTGAAATCCCATCTCTACTAAAAATACAAAAATTAATCGGCATGGTGGTGGATGCCTGTAATTCCAGCTACTCAGGAGGCTGAGGTACGAGAATTGCTTGAACCCGGGAGGTGGAGGTTGCAGTTAGCCGAGATCGTGCCACTGCACTCCAGCCTGGGCGACAGAGAGACTCTTGTCCCCCACCCAAAAAAAAAGAATAGTTAAAATGGTGGCCAGGCGCAGTGGCTTAAGCCTGTAATCCCAGCACTTTGGGAGGCCGAGGCGGGAGGATCATGAGGTCAGGAGATTGAGACCATCCTGGCTAACACAGTGAAACCCCGTCTCTACTGAAAATACAAAAAAATTAGCCGGCCGTGGTGGCAGTCGCCTGTAGTCCCAGCTACTCAGGAGGCTGAGGCAGGAGAATGGCGTGAACCCAGGAGGCGGAGCTTGCAGTGGGCTGAGATCGTGCCACTGCACTCCAGCCTGGGCGACAGAGTGAGACTCCATCAAAAAAAAAAAAAAAATGGTATACAAATCTTGGATGATATTCCATTGTATGGGCCACATTGCATAGACCACATTTTGTTCAACCACTCTTTTGCTGATGGACACTTGAGAGGGGACTCCCCTCTTGGCTGTTGTGAATAACATTCCTATCTCAAATACCTAAGAAAACAAGAGTGTCAAGTCCTGCAGCTGAAAGTGCCCTCCCACGTGAGTATATGTCTCCTCCCAAGCATGACTCTTGGAAAGGAGGGAGTGAGCAAGAATGAGGCCTGGGGAAGAAGGGGTCTGGGACGGACACCAGGAAAGGATGGAAGGTTCTGGATCTCAAGGAACCCACAGTGGCTCTCTGGAAAGATGGCCAAGTTGAACTTTGTCCCATTCCTGGCTGAGTTCTCCCACTTTCCCACTCTCACCCTATGAGAGCTGATTCGAGAACAATAGGTTTTGATCAACACCTGACTGACATCTACGAATGTGGTTTTTTAGGGTCAACATCTCCCGGATGTAACAACTAATTTGGAACATAAAGAAAATGAGAGAGAAACCCTTGTCCAACATGTTATTGAATCATGCATTGTTTGCTTCAGATTCAGAGTTGGAAACAATCTGACTACCAGAAACCAAAAAGCAGATTAAAAAGGAATAACACTAATCAACATTGTTAAGCTTCTATCACGTGCCAGTCACTTCATATGCACTTTCTCTCAATTGCACAAAAAGCCTTGCAAGGTGAGTATTACTGACACTGCATTACAGATGAGAAAACTGGGGCTCAGGGGGTTCATGAGCTCGCCCGAGTCTGACCCCAGAGCCTGTTCTCCTGGCTGTATATCATCTGCAGTTTCAGGGTCAAAGGCCGTTCTATTAAATCATCTGCACAGCCCGTTTTCGTACTTCAGATGAATAACCCTTTGGTTGATTTATAACTTTTAAAGTGTGACTAGTCAGTCATAATGGCTGACCAGAGCAACTTAGGCATGGTTTATGAGCAGAAATGGTATTACGAACAGAAAAGGTATATATTGTCTACTATATGCAGAGTCCAGGCTACAAACTGTGACGTTTGTGAAAAAATTCAAGTTGCAATGCCTGCCCTCAGGAGCTTAAAATCTAGTCCTGATATCTTGCTGTTTTGGATGCTTTCTTCACCCTGCACCCTGATGGCCACCCTGTTCTATGGCCGATACTGCTGCAATGGCCTGTGCGCCATTAGTCACACACTCAGAGGGCACCATCGCAGGCCGGGTCTGCCCTCGGCACTTGGCATGGAAAAATGAAGGCTGTCTGAGCCTCAGTTGCTTTATCCACAGGCGGGGCTCATGATCCTTGTCCTGCCTCTCGCATGGGGATTGCAGAAAAATAAAATGAGATAATAGAAGTGATCGCACTGCAAAATGAAAAGCATTCTATCAGTCTAAAATGGTATTTCTTATGATTTATGACTGGAAACCTTTGCTTTTTATTTTATTGGAGACTTACTTGATTCCAATTTGAGCTGATATTGTGGTTTTTACAGAACAGACTGCCATTTATTGAATTCCTGATTTGTGGCAGACACATAGATTATCTCATTTAATCCTCACAACAGCTCTGTGATGTAGGCACTATTATTATTATCCCCATTTAACCAATGAGGAAGCTAAGATTCGGAGAGCTTAGGTGAATGGCAGAGGAAAGACGTGGCTGCAGGCTTGTCTGTCTCCACAGCCCATGTCGGGCCACCAGGATCCAGGTCGCAGCAGAAGAAACAACCTTAGGACTGAGAGCAAGCAGGCATTTCTACCCACTCAATGCATCAGCGCTCAGGCAAGCAAGAGGTGCCTTGCTATGGATGCTTACTTAAGAGGACACACCCTTGGCACGGGTGGTTCTCCAAATACAATAACACAAGCCAGTGAGGATGCTCAGATTTAGAAAAGCAAAACTCACATCAAGTGCATCACCCCTAAAGCCCCCCAGCATTGTGTATGAACAGTGACCCCCACCTAGAGACACACACATCAAGAGTGTGTGGCTGGCATAATCTCACCAGATTACTAGGAACCTGGTCTGTTTGTATTACCTCAGATGTTTGTTTTTGCTTACAAGCCGGGTATGATGTTGAGACAAATTATCTAACAACCCTCACAGATGAATGATATTTTCCTAGTTATTAAAGGTCATCTGCAGTCACTGCTGTATTGCAAGGCTTCTCACCGTGGAACTCGGTCCCTTCTTCCTGTCTGAAACTGTTCAGCTATAGAAAGATTCCTCCTCGGCTTCCAAAAAAGAAAACCAAGTTGATATTTTGCCGAATTTGAATTGCAACCAGAAAAGAAGGTCAAGTTTTAAAAGAAGTAACACGGGAGGGGATTGTAATTAAATCGCTCTGGGCTGGGTAGGGATGATTCATTTCAAGTACATAACATTCTGGGAAGCATGTGACCAAAGGTATTTTTCTAAATAACCTCAAGTACTAGTCAAGTGAGTCTTTAAATTGCATGCCAGCGACATCTCCTAACTGGTATTTTGCTTGGCAGGCGCTGAGCCACCACCACAGCCCGGATTTTCCTGCAGGCAGAGCCCAGTCTTGTTTCGGCAGTCATGCCTGCTGCTTTTTGCTTCTGCCTGGAAAGATGGCACAGCTGCAGAGGATAGGCACATTTGGTGGCCTCTACCTGTCAAGGGTGACTCTACTCAGTTAGGGGGTCTTCTCTAAGGCCCATGAAGATGGCATGACCAGAGTCCTTGGGTTGGGTATGACAAAGCCTTAGGTTTTCTCCAAATGGTGGCACTGCTGAAATTCTACCTCTTCCAGGAAATTTTTGTCAAAAACAATGAGGAGACCCTAGGTGATGGCCACTCAAACATCACCCCCCTTACTCTGACAGTACCCAGCCCCCACCCTCATGCTGCTCCACTCCCATCATCCAAATTGTGCCCAAGGTTGCTGTCAGATTAGTATAGTGACTCTTCTCTCAAGATGCACCAGGGTATGTCCTGGCGTGACCACCTGACCCAAGCTGAGCCCATCAGAGACCTTTCAAAGCCAGACCACAAAAGTGGAGGAAGCTGATCTCTAGAAGAGAAGGACAATTGATCAAATGTCCAGAGAGGGGCAGGACTAAATTTAGCAACAGAGTGTTCTGAGGGTGTTTGAGTCCCTGGTCTGTTTGCCCTGACATCCAGCTATTCCTAGATCCTGCAGGACACCGAGCCTTAAAATTAGTTTCCTTGTTCTCTCAGGCTGGTTCAAGTGCAGTGTCTGTCACTTGCAACCAAAAGATTCCTAATAATGTCACCTGACTCTCTTTCACTCATGATCTCACTATTACATATGAAATCTCTGTAATTGTACTTTGTCTACTTGCACAGGCATCTGGTTTATAGGTGGACTTACTTTAAGAAAGCTTGATATGTTCAAATGCAAATAATCCAGCCTGAAGAATGATGGATAAGTATTAACACCCCCTAAAGAATTTTTTATTCTACAAAAAAAGAACTTACTACATGGGGTTTTTTCCAATTACCTAATGCATTTTCCTAATGCGTGAAAAGTATTCTTTTGAATTCAAAGTGTTTATCAAAGAGATTAGTAAAATAAATTATGATGCACCATATGTGTTAGTCTGTTCAGGCTACCCTAACGAAGTACCACAGACTGGGTGGCTTAAAAACAGAGATTTATTGTCTCACAGTACTGGAGTTTGGAAGTCCAAGACCAAGGTGTTGGCAGAGTTGGTTTCTTCTGAGGCCTTTCTACTTGGCCTGTAGACAGCCATCTTCTCCCCGTGCTCTTCAGATCAACTTCCCGCTCTATGTGTCTAAAGTTCCCCTTTTAATCATGTGAACAAATGTGAACCTGAAAAAGCCAACCCTTTAAGTGGCTAACTGGGCCTAAATTTAAAATAGAGCCAAGCAGCCATTTGCTGCCTAGAGGTCACGCATGTACTCTATGTTCTCCCAAAAACCCACACTTTTTAACCTTTGGGACTTTCAGAGCTCACCATAACCAACCAATCAGTGCTCATCTACCTTAGCCAATCAGGGCTCAGCTGTATCTAGCAATGGGCACTCAGCTGCACTGACCAATAAGAACTCAGTTGTGTCAACCAGTAAGAACTAAATGAATCTCAATCCTTCATTTGCATAAATGGACCTGATTGGGAACCTGGGCAAGAACTTTTGCTATAAAACCTGTCTTCCTTTTGCTCTCTGGAACAAATTTTTGTTTCATAACAAAGGCTGTGTTTTCCTAGTTTGCAAACTGTTTACTAGAATAAAGTCTCTTTCTTCTAAATTCTTTTTCAAAGAACTTTTGTTCACAATAGGAACACCAGTCATTTTGGATGAGGGCCCACTTAATGACTTCGTTTTTACTTAATTAATCTGTAAATACAATCTACATATAAGGTTACATTTTGAGGTACTGGAGTTACATATCTTTTTGTGGGGGACACAATTTAACCCTTAACATTATAGAATGAAATACTATACAGCCAGGACAAAGAGGGAGAGGTGTTGAGTGTGCTGAGAGTAAAAATCTCCTTACAAAGCATGTGAAAAAGCCAGTCCTCATGCCTGTATATTTTGAACCCCCTGTAAATTATGTGTGTGGGTGTGTGTGCATGAACATGAACATATATACATACATACAGGTGTGTTTCTTTAAGTTCTGAAAGAAATCAAGAAAACAAAATAGCCTTTTTGAAGAGGAAATTGTAGAAGAAGGGAAAGAGATGAACTTTTCATCTGTGCTTTATTGAATTTCTATTTCTATATTTTCTGAATCATACATATTTCTTTTCTTGCTTATAATTTTCTGCATCCTATTAAAAATGTAAGCTATGTACTGCCTTAAAAATATGAGTTGATTTACACATCAGTTCTCAGAATAGGTTTTGTGTGCCAAGCATGACCTACATTCTGTGTACCTGTGTGTATTGGTAGGCTCTTAAAGGTTGTTTGTTTTAACCCACACATTGTGGGGCCTGGCATGGTTGGCCAGGAAATCAGGTCCCTCCTAGTGTTGTGGAGACAGTGATGAGGAGGGGGTGATGGTGATGTGGGTAATGGTGAAGAAAACAAAGTTGGTCATGGCGTGTATACTGGCTAGAACTGCTTTCTCAGATGATGAAATAGAGGCTTTTTCTTATATACCAACAGTCATCAAGCAAGACCTGTATCAGAGGACTTGGTCTACCATAGACTGTTACTACATCTAACACCTGCTACGCTTTTGTAGGTTCAAGAAAGATATCCTTGGAAGGAAAAAGAAGGTTGGATTCAGTGCATCATTTTTACTTTACAGAGCCCTGTCTTTACAGCAGTCCTTCTCAACCCCAGGTCCAGGAGAAAAGTAAGCCCTGAGGTCCTGAGACATCCATGGAATAGAAGCAATTCACTTTTCCCCTGCACTCCTGGAATGATCCTTGCTAAGTACTGCTCTTGGAACATTGAGAAAAAAAAGTCACTCCCATTAGGTTCTGCAGGGCTTAATTCTCTCGCAGAGCCTTTTTGAAAGGCTGGCCTAGACTCTGCTGCGCCTGCCCAGTGTTTTATGTAGGGCCCCACCCTACATGGTCAAACATCTACTTCTAAGAAGGAGCCAGGACACACTATGGCCCCTGTAAAAGATAACAGCCAGGCCAGAGCCATCTGAGAGTTCTAGCCCCGCTCCAGAAGGTGGGTACTACCTGGCATGTTCACTCTAGACTTAAAATCTAGTCTGGGCAGTTCAAAATGGTAGCCACTAGCCATATAGCTATTTAGACTTAAATTTAAATACAGTTTCAGATTTAGTTCCCTGGTCTCACTAACCACATCTCAAATGTTTGATAGCCACCATATTCAATAGCTTCCATCTCCACCGACAGTTTTTTGTTTGTTTGTTTGTTTTTTGTTTTTGAGATGGAGTTTTTCACTCTTGTTGCTCAGACTGGAGTGCAATGGTGCAATCTCGGCTCACCGCAACCTCCGCTGCCTGGGTTCAAGTGATTCTCCTGCCCCAGTCTCCCTAGTAGCTGGGATTACAGGCATGCACCACCATGCCCAACTAATTTTGTATTTTTAGTAGGGATGGGGTTTCTCCATGTTGGTCAGGCTGGTCTCGAACTCCCGACCTCAGGTAATCCGCCCACCTAGGCCTCCCAAAGTGCTGGGATTACAGGCGTGAGCCACTGCACCCGGCCAACCACCAACAGTTTTATTGGAGGGCCCTGGTAGACTATGATTGTGAGGTGAGCCCAGAACTACACCAAGAGGACATCCTTGCTTCAGACTTCGTTGAATCCACAGAGGGAATACTTGAGAATGTCCAAGCCCACAGCATGGGATGAGAACTATATGCAGCCTATTCAATAGCTCTAAAAATAAATAATTATAATATTAAAGATGTCAACTAAGCATAGATATGAATACTAAATAAAGATAAGTCAATTGGTATTAACTTCCCATCTCTGCAGCATGCTGTGGGGCAAAGAGTGGTGCTCGTCTGGGTACATCCATGTCTCCCTTGTCGTGCTCCCAGATGCAACTGCTCCTTTCATTTCTCCCTGTCTACATTGAAATGTTTTCTATACACAGTGTAGGGAGTTCTCAGGCTTTCTTTTTGCAATGCTCAAAGTGATTTTTTTTCCCTCTCCTTAGCTTGCTAAAGAAATCTGGCAAATGTTGGGTAGAAGCATGTACATTCTAGCTCTTCGAAAAAAGTTTCATATATTTTTTCCAATTTTGGTATGGTGGTGAAATATGTGGTAAACATGAAATTCACCATTTTAACCATTTTCAAGTGTATAATTCAGTGAACTATAAGGTCAAGCAGCCATCATCATACTCCTTTTCCAGAACTTTCTCGCACTCCCGCTCTGAAATTCTGTGCCCATTGAACACTAACTCCCCATTCCCCGCCTCCCTCCCAGTCCCTGGCAACCACCGTTCTATTCTCTGTATATGAATTTGACAACTCTAGGCTCCTTGTACAAATGGAATCATGGGATATTTGTATTTTTGTGACTGGCTTCTTTCGCTTAGCATAATGTCCTCAGGGTTCACCCATGTTCTAACCTGTGGCAGAATTTCCTCCCCTTTTAAAGCTGAATAATATTCCATTGTATGTACATTTTTCAATTTTTTTTAAATTAAACATTAATGGATTAGTAGATGATATGGGCATAAGAACATGCCAGAGGTCTCTCCCTACTTCTTCATGCATCCATCCAACCTGCCAGGCACAGGCAGGGCATGGTCCAGACCAGGAGACAAGTCAACCAAAGCCTGCAGCAGACTCTGGGGCCATCTGGGTGAGGCTGTGACTACATTTAAGATGAGCCGGGGGCTTTCTGCAACCCAGGACACTTATGAATCTTCCCCTTTTGTCCATCCTTGGATGGCTCTCATTTACTCAAAGTTTAGAGATTCCCAGCTTGCCAAAACTTGAGAACATCTGTATGGACCCATTATGACCTGGAACGCTAGCGGTCACTGCCTGCAGGCCAGGAATGGTACCTCTGCGTGTGCATTTCCTGACCTGTGCTACCAGCTGCCTCTGAGTCTCATCTTGTAGTGTGAGACGCATGTGGTCCTGGCATTATAACAGGAAGAGATCTACTTGAGGGCAGTGGCTCCCCTCATGCCCCAAGGAAAAAAGTCATTTTCCCCACTGTGCAGAAATTGAGCGTTCTGTGTATTTTTGGTTGATATGCCCAAATCAATAATCTGTTGCCATTCTTATCTTCCCTGTTTCAATGACATCACTCTCCCCTGGCTATGAGCCAGACAACAGAGGGTGGCCTCCACTGTCACTCACGCCCTCTCTCAGCCGGTCACCACGCACTGTTCATCCTCCTTCCCCACGTCTCTTGCTGCAGCCCTCTTCTCCAGCCCTAGCACTGTTATCTTTAACTCAGGTCATGCCCACATCTGAGCCATTCTTTCAATAAATAATAACTGAGTGCACTGCACAGCTGATACTGGGCTACATCCCCAGGATTACACTGGAACAAGGCAGGACAGTCTCTGAGAACTGACTTCGAAAGAGGACATTTCAATACCCTGTGACAACTGCCCTGACAGCCTGCGGGAGGCACTTCTCACTGGCTCCGGAGGTGGAGGAGGACTTCCTGGTGGAGGTGACAGCCAAGCTGAGATCACAGGGATCATTAGTTCTCTGGCAGAGCGAGGTTTGGGGGAGGGCAGGTTGGGAGCCAGGTGGGGAAGAATGTTCCAGGCCGATGAAACTGCCAAGGCAAAGGCCCAGGGGCAGCGCAGAGTCTGACAGAGCCACCAGGGCTGGAGCCACAGCACGGAGCATGGGTATGAGAGGAGGCCAGGGGAGGGCAGGACAGGAAGGGCCACATGGGCCTGGGCCCATGTGGCATGTTTGATTTTGCACAAATGGAGAATGCCTGAGCCCTGTGAGACCGCAGAGGGGTGGTGCCTGTAGATTTTTATTTTGGAAAGATCATCATGCCCATTTTCTAGGACTGCAGTAACGAAGTATCACAAACTAAGTGACTTTAAAACAACAGAAATTTATTCTCTAACAGGTCTGGAGGCCAAAAGTCCAAAACCAAGGTGTCTGCAGGGCCATAATTCCTCTGAAGGCTCAGGGTGGTGGCGGGAGAGGGACAGCAATCCTTCCTTGCCTCTTCCGGTTTCTGGTGGCTCCAGGCGTCCCTTGGCTTGTGGTTGCACAGCTCCATCTTGGCCTCCAACTTCACATGGCCTCTGCCCCTCTATGTCTCTTCTCCCCTTCTCTTTTCTTTTTTGGGTCGGGGGAGGTGGGGGGCACAGAGTCTTGCTCTGTCACCCAGGCTGGAGTGCAGTGGTGCAATCTCGGCTCACTGCAACCTCTGCCTCCAGGGTTCAACCAATTTTCGTGCCTCAGCTTCCCAAGTAACTGGGATTATAGGCACCCGCCACCACGCCTGACTAATTTTTGTATTTTTAGTAGAGACGAGGTTTCCCCATGTTGGCCAGGCTGGACTCGAACTGCTGACCTCCAGTGATCCACCTGCCTTGGCCTCCCAAAGTGCTGGGATTACAGGCGTGAGCCACTGCGCCTGGCCTCCTCTCCCCTTATCTTGTTAGGACAATTGTCATTGGATTTAGGGCCACCATAACCCAGGACAATCTCATCTCAAGATCCCTAATTCCATCACACCTGCAAAGACCCTTTTTTCCCAAATAAGCTAGCACAGGCTCTGGGGCATGGACACCTTGCTTGGGGAGGCCACCCTTCAACCCCCTGCAACTACTCAAGCAGCAACACTGAGAAATAAACTGCAAATGGGACCATGGCCCTCCCCGCCTTGGGCTTATCCAGGGCCTCCTGATGACTGTCAGGATAGAGCTCACCTCCGCACAAGGTCCCCCGGCTCTGGCTCCGCACCAGCTCTCTGCTCCAACCTGGCAAGCCCCAGACAGTGCAGAGTGCTCCGGCTCTCACAGGTTCTGTGCCTTCTCCAGCATTCCCCTCCCACATCCTTGAACATGATGCCTCCTAGGGGAGCCTGGGGACTCCCCACAGCCTCCTGCCTGGGTGAGGTGTACCTCCCTAAGTCCCCAGAGCGTCAGCGACTACAGCTGTCCATCAGCCATCTACTCATCTGTCTCCATGTCTTCTTTACACCGGTCCCAGAGTAAATGCAACAAACAGTACCTGTTTGTTGAACTAATAATTGAAGGACCCACTATCCCCGTGACTGCGGCAGGTTTCTGTCCACTGCTGGGGCCTGTCTGTAAATACAGTCTCCACTGGAAGTTTTGCTCATCCATCCTCCCCACCGTGGGCTGTCTCCTTTCTATCGACCTCCCCAGCCCCATCCTTACAAATCCATCTGACACCACAACACCCTCCCTGATTTCTTTGTACTCAAGAGAAGAGGAGAACCTAGTAAGATCAGGTAACCATGAGGGGAAAAAAATGAAAACAACTAAAAAAGCAATGTCAATCATCCATTCCAAAATTGTTCTGTGCTGCCTCCGAGGAGATGACATGAACAGAATACACAGAGACCCAGCTCTCATGAAGCTTAAGGTTCTGTGGGAGAAACAGTGATTAAATAGGAGCCGGCAGGAGTCACAGCTGTGTCCAGTGTGAGGCGCCTGCTGGAGCGGCCGGGGAAGGCTCCTCCCCGGAAGTGAGGCCTGAGTTCCGAGGGCTGGTTACCCAGGCAGAACCAGTGGGAACAGGTTTCTGGAAGGGAGGAACAGCGTGTGCAAACAGTCTGAGCCCAGACAACCACCATGAGCTAAGGGAAGGGCCGTGTGGCTGAGCGTTCTGGACCTGCTGGAAGAGGAGCTGAGAGGCAGGTGGGCAGCCAGGGGCAGTCCCCCCACAAAGGGGTTAAACCCATATCCTGAGCAATTTTGGAGTCTGAAGGGGAGAAGACAGGCAAGGATTTTCAGCAGGGAATCAATGATCAGGTTTATGTTTTTAACAGCTCACTCTGGCTGCGGTGGGAGAAAGAAACCAGAGAGGCCAAGGCTAGACCCGAGTTAGCAATGACAACGGAGGCTATCGCTGTTGCCCTGGTAAAAGACTGCAGTGGTGACAGCGGAGTGGGAGAGAAACAGGCAGGTGGGAGGGGTATTTAGGTGGTAAAATCAAGAGAAACTGGAGAGGGACTCGACGCAGTGGGAGCTCACTGGCCACGTTTCAAATCCTAACCTCCAGCCCCATGTCCCCATTACAGAGCGAGAGTAGCCTGCTACCTGCATTTAATTGCTTCATAGTGGTGACCACATAATTCTGATCCAGTGAACAACCAACATATTCCACCCTCACCATCTCTCTCTACTAAGAGAGATGATAGCACAGTAATATAGAAGGCAGGGAGGAGTCTATATGTCATGCCATTTTTTTCTTCAGAGAAGCCCGCTGTGGGAACCACCGTGAAGAGCATCTCTCACGTGTTGTATTGGTTAGGATGCTCACGCATAGGGGTTTGTTATCTCATTTAACGAGGAGGTCCCAGACAGGAGGTGGCTTGGTTCGGCAGCTCAACTCATCTTCAAACACGCAGGCCCCCCTCTGTCTCCTGGCCCTGCCACTCTCTGAACACTGACTTGGATTTCAGGCTTGTCACCTCATGGACCCAAGATAGCTGCCATGGTTCCAGGCAACACATGTAATCTCAACAACATTCAGCCAAAGAAGAGGCTCCTGAACTCGTCCTGTTCTAGCCTGACCAATCTTCTAAATCTGCGTCCCTGCCTTCACAACTGTTCCATTACTATTGCTGTTGTGAATAACCAACATTCATGGGACAGCTACTGTGCCTGGGACACTGGACTAGGCACTTTATATGAAGTCACATGATCTGTGCCAGTTCATAGCTTCTTACCATTTTGCAGGTGGGGAAATGAACATCAACTAACTTCAGTAAATTGCCCAAGGTCACCAACATAGCAGAGCTGGGATTGGAACATGGATCTGATTCTAGAGCTCAGGCTCTTAAAACCAGGAAGCTGTGCTGCTCAAATTTCTTTCAAGACTGACAAGATGCCTTTCTCTCACTGGTTTCCAGCATGCCACCTGCCACCATCACCCCAAGACATGCAATTCATGCCTCCCAGGGCAGCCACGCCTGAGGCACCAACTGCAGCTCCAGCTCTACTCTTGCAGAACTTCAGGATACTGAGTACCTTCTGCTCTGCCAGCCCCGTACTCCCTACCCTTCCTACAGCATCCATCCTCAAGCCCTTGTGCTTCACTGCAGCTGTGTCTGGTCTTGGACTTGGACAGCCTTAGCTAGGTCATCCTACCACTGACCAAAGTCTAGCTCAGACACTAACCTTTATGCTGCATCCATCATCTCATTCGTCTCCTCCGGCCCTCCTCGCCCCACTGTCCTCATCTCTTTGAGCTGCTATAATACATTACCATAGACTGGGCAACTTATAAGCAACAGAAATCTATTCTAGCTTTATCTCAGGCTGAAAATCTGAGATCAAGGTGCTGGCATGGTTAGGGTCTGGTGAGGGCCCTCCTGCAGGTTGCAAACAGCCCATTTCTTGCTGTGTCCTTGAGCGGCAGAAGGAGCTACCTAGCTCTACAGTCTCAAATGCACAAATCCGGCCGGGCGCGGTGGCTCACTCCTGTAATCCCAGCACTTTGGGAGGCCGAGGCAGGCGGATCACGAGGTCAGGAGATCGAGACCATCCTGGCTAACATGGTGAAACCTCGTCTTTATTAAAAAAATACAAAAAATTAGCCAGGCGTGGTGGTAGGTGCCTGTAGTCCCAGCTACTTGGGAGGCTGAGGCAGGAGAATGGCGTGAACCCAGGAGGTGGAGCTTGCAGTGAGCCGAGATCGCGCCACTGCACTCCAGCCTGGACGACAGAGCAAGACTCTATCTCAAAAAAAAAAAAAGCACAAATCCCATTCATGAGGGCTCCACCCTTATGATGTAATCTCCCAAAGGGCCCATCTCCTATCACCCTGGGCTTCAACACTGGAATTTTGAGGGGACACATACATTCAGACCATCGCGCACCCACTAACCCTTAAAGGTGGACAATTTCCAGTGTATATCTATGCTCAGCCAACTTCTCTTCTGTGTACAGTCTCTATCAAACATTGCATCAGTTCCCATGATTTCAACTGTTATTTCCCGTAGATGCCTTCTGCACTGGTACCCTCACCCCCGACCTCACTGCTAAATCTCAGTTTTGCATTTCCACCTCCCAGTGTCATCTTTCTAGAGACTTGAGATCAGTATCTCCAAAATAAAGCTCATGTCTTCTGTCCCACTCCTGCTCCAGTCCACGCCTTCTGTCTTCTTCATTTCAGACAACGGCACCTACCTTCTGTCTGCTGTGGTTCATTTATTCATCAAATTGTCAATGGAGTACTGCATTCCATGAGCCCAAAGAATCGCCCCACCTTGTTCCCTCTCCCTTCCTCATGGCTGGTCTGTTGCAAGTCCTGATGAATCTAGCCATTGTTTTCAGAATATGCCTTCTAGTCTTTGGCAATTCTGGTCTTTTAAAAGGAATGTTGTCCACTTGTGCAAACAGAATAATTTAGGCTCCCTCCTTCAAAAAAAGAAAATCTGAAATCAGAAATATGAGTCTCCATTAAAGAATTAACTTTAAATTAAAGGGAAATTATGAAATCACTTAAACTGAAAAGGCACTATGTATCTGGATGCTGTGCTGTACAGTTTCTTTATCTTACTTTTAAGGCTACTGAATATATAACCTAATGCATTAAAGAGCTTTGTTTGGCCAAGTAGGCAGGTAGAAACATAGGACTTTAAATCAGATTAAATGCTTTGTTCACTATCAACAATGACAGGGTTTTCTCTGTTGTTTTTTCTTTTCCTTTCAATGTCAAATGATAAGGACTTTCTTGTGAGGAAATTGTTTTTTATTCAAGACTATGTTTACCTCCAATCACCCCTGAATTAATAATCCTATTGCTGGCTGGGTGCAGTGGCTCACGCCGTAATCCCAGCACTTTGGGATGCCAAGGAGGGTTGATCACCTGAGGTCAGGAGTTCAAGACCAGCCTGGCCAGCATGGTGAAACCCCATCTCTACTAAAAATACAAAAATTAGCCAGGTGTGGTGGTGGGCACCTGTAATTCCAGCTACTAGGGAGGCTGACGCAGGAGAATCATCTGAACCAGTAGGTGGTAACCTCTGGTACCGGTGAATGTGACTTTATTTAGAAATAGGGTCTTTGCAGGCCGGGTGCGGTGGCTCACACTTGTAATCCCAGCAATTTGGGAGGCTGAGGCGGGCGGATCACAAGGTCAGGAGATCGAGACCATCCTGGCTAACATGGTGAAACCCCGTCTCTATGAAAAATACAAAAAATTAGCTGGGCGTGGTGGTGGGCACCTGTAATCCCAGCCACTCGGGAGGCTGAGTCAGGAGAATGGCATGAACCCAGGAGGCAGAGCTTGCAGTGAGCCGAGATCGCGCCACTGCACTCCAGCCTGGGTGACAGAGCAAGACTCCGTCTCAAATAAAAAAAAAAAAAAGAAAGAAAGAAAGAAATAGGATCTTTGCAAATACACTCAAATTAAGATAAAGCCCTCCTGGATGAGAGTGGAACTTGACTAATATGGCCGGTGTTCTTATGAAAAAAAGGAGAGGGAGATTTGGACACAGAGCCAAACATAGAGAAGGCCATGCAACAAGAGAGGCAGAGATCGGAGAGATGCTTCGACAAGCCCAAAACTTCAAGCAAGGAAGGACCCTCCCCTAGAGCCCTCACAGGGAGCTTGGCCCTGCCTGCAGTGTAGCTTTAGGCTTCTAGCTCCCAGAACTGTGAGGAAATCGATTTCTGTTGTTTTAAGACACTCAGTTTTTAATAATTACTTCAGCAGCCCTAGAAAACTAATAGAGTTGATGCTGTTTTCTGATAGCCTCTAAACCTGTAATATAACATGAAGAGTTTCAAAAATACTTGGACATTTCCCACCACGCCTCTCCAAATCCCGCCAGACTTTCCAGGCTCAGCACAGTGTCTGCCCTTTCTCCGACAATTGTTGCATTTTGCCTTGTGTCCTGGAGCATCAGGGACTTGTGATCTCCGTAATTCCCTGAATACCTAAAGCCTGGATGAGAGCAATGATCTCAACTTTGGAGCCACCTTTTCTTGGTGTGTGTACAGGAGGATGGAGTGGGGATCAGGACCATGTTCAGGGACCAGGAAACAGTGTTTTGCACAAAGTGTGGGGCTGTCGGGTGGCTGACCTTCCGAACTGCTTTCTAGCTACACTGGGAGCCTGTGGGCAAGTGGTCTGTCACCCACCACGGCACGGTGAGGTGGCTTCCTCACAAGGCACTACTGTAGCAGAAGGCCAGTGGAGACTCTGCACGATTAGGTGGGGAGGACGTAACCCAGGAAGCCACCTGCTGCTGGGCAGAAGACTTGGGAGAGCCAACAGCCTCCCGAGAGTTGGGCCAGGAAGATGTGCTGCATGCTGTGTCTGATTGCAGGAGGGTGAGAGAGTGAACTCTTGGCTCTGGATGGTTGGGCTGGGGGGTGGGGAACCCTATATCTCCCCCACCCTGTTTTCACTGTTTTCCTTCCCCTTGCATTAATATAATGTGCCTCTGGCTCAAAACCATTGGTGTTATGGAAATAAAGAGTGCTGGGGGGCAGAGCAGGAAGGTTGAGTCTCACTTCTCTGAGCCTTAGAGATTCTCACTAAAAAATCAGCAGCAGCCTCATCTTTCTGCCTCCAGAAACTGTCATGCAGACCAAACGAGGTCCCGCAGTTGAATATGCTCTGTAGGTGGTAGAATAAGATAAAGCCCTTCTGGATGAGAGCAGGCCTTGACTAATATGACTCTCCACGTGTTATGTGTTATTGCTTATCATTGTCATAGTCCATATCATAATTAGTAGAAGCCTCTCAAAAAGCAAGAGTCCTTTGGTAAAGGGCAGCTCAGTGTCCTCTGTGTCATGTGCGCTCTGCAGGGAAGGATGCTGCGTAGATGAATGAACTTGGCACCATCTCTGATTCCCCATCTCCCCCTCCACAGCTTCTCGCCATGCCTGCCAGGCTCCCTTCTGACTCTCAGCCCTTTTCCTCGGGGATTAGCCATTCTCAGGAACCTCTGCCCCTGGCCGAAGGGCCCTTCCCTCCAGGGAGTAACACAGGTAGATGCTCCCGGTGCCCACAGGGTTCGTCCAGAGACAGCCACCTTATCTATCGGGTCCCTCAGGCTACTCACTCGTTAAAGGACCTTGGTTAAGACACACAGTCCCCTTCATCATTTAATTCACCAGTGACATGAGATGACAAATGGAAATGCCAGTCCAGGGTGAGGGTTAGTAGGCAAAGTCAGGCAATATTCATTCTTCCAGACAGATGCTTCTTAGCCTCTGACCTCATCACGCGCTGATCAGTGTTTTCTAGCTCTCTGGAGCATCAGCTCTCTGCAGGCATCTTGCCAATGGGCCCCATGTGGCACATAAAAAGCATGTGTACAGTCCTGGCCTGATTCCTGCCACCACCCTTGCTTTGTTAAGGTAGAGCAACAGAATAATGACAGATAACTTGCCGCGTTGTAAGATCTCAATTGAAAATGCAACATCCTACCTGCCGTGCACTGTGGTTAGATTAATATACAGTCTGTACATTTAAGTAAAATTCATAAAAATCTGCATGAGCCTTTCACACAGACACACAAACACTCACACACACATCCCTCACCAATACCACGCCTCCCATTTTCTTCTATTGTTGTTCATGTCTTTACATCAAGAGAGTAAAGTATTTGAGGAAAGAACCTCCTACTTGAGGGTCACAGGATAGCGGTCAGACTGGAGCTGCTGTGTTACTTTATACAAGTCACTTAACGTTTCTGAATGTCAGTTTCCTCACCTATAAATTGAAGATAGTTGAACCTAGCTCACAAGATGGTTGTATAGGCAGATGCAAAAGCGTAGTGAAAATACAATGAGGCCATTGCCATTGCTATTACTGCCTCTTTCAAATATATCCACAATTCTCTTAAAATCTGGTGATTTTTATGAAAGCCAACTGAAAAGAGACAAGCAAACATAAAAGGAATAACTGTACTGTCACGAGATGGCTTTCTCAAGCTACACATGGAAATAAACGTCTGATCTTGTACATTCCACTTCAGATGATGAGGAGGCACAGACTGGGCCCCAGCTTGGAGGAGAAGCACCTGCCACCTTCCAAGAGCCAGGGCCACCCAGGAGAAAACCTGGACACAGGGGAGGAGTGGGTGAGGCAGGGATGGGGAACTCCAGAGGCCTCTGGATGCCTGGTAGGGAGAGAAGAGGCCATGAGCCCTCCCGGGACAGGAGACCCAACTGGTAATGACATTCTCTGACCTGCCCGCAGCGTGGCTTGTAAGGTGGACCTCAAGGGGCATCAGCTGGCCAGTTAGGCACTGTGCTGGTTAAACTTCTCCAGGATACTCTGATCACTGACCAATCCCAGCCTCTCCACCAACTGGTTCAAACTGTATTCTCTGGGGGCTAAATCTTGTCCAATGCAGCTGAAAGATGGGTTTCATTTGCCCAGGCTGTGTTGTCTGTTCCTTCCCCATCTCTCCCAGCCAGCCTCCCCACCACGTGCCGCTCTGTTTCTGTTTCACATGTGGTAGCTACTGTGAGTTGACTTTTTCAACCTCCATTCCTCTCCCACTCTAATGCACTTTCCTGCACAGAAGGAGCTGGAAAGCTCAAGTTTACATTTTCCAGATTTCTTGGCAACTAGGGATCAGGGTGAGACTTAGGAACTACAGATCAGATGCAAGCACAGGCAACTTGGATTCTGAAATTATTTGCATGGAGAGAGGGCATATCAACTTGCAAGTACCAGTCCAGGCCTAGGCAGCATGGTCCTGGGCTTCTGTGACAGCAGCCTCCTTGGTACCCAGCTCTGTGGGGTGATTTTGGACCTTGTTCCTGTGAGTTTATTGTAGAGTCTTTTTTCATCCTTGCCAGCAATTCTGAAGGCTGGCTCCATCCCTCATAAATCTCTGCTTAAACAGAGATGGTTCTTTTACCTACAACTAAGAACCCAGACCAATATAGTCTGTTACATTTTACAGATCCCTGAGATAAAATGTACCAGGGAAGCCCTTCCCTAGAGAACCATTCTAGGAATGTTTTTGTGAAGTGATTTGCTTAAAGTTATAACCTGGCATCAGCAGGTTGGTATGTTATGGCATGCCTAGTGTCCGGCATAAATAAATATAAACAAGATTTTTAAAAGCATCACTTTGCCTCAGCCCTTGAGCTGAAAATGGTTTAATTTACAGAGGCAAGTAAGAAAGAAAAAAGTCACAAAAGTGAAGGGTTGTACTGAAGTTGCATCTGAAAAGGCTGGTTTTCATTTATCTTTTACACTAAGTAGTCATTCAGGCTTGACATGTGTGAATTTCCTGCCTTTTACAAATGAAATTCACAATTCTAATGGGAGAGTTGCAAATCAATTCAAAAGTTCTAGAAATCTCAGGCTGAAGATCAGCTTTCATATCAGACATCACCCATATTTGGGTTATTTCCAGAGCTAATACCATTCTTAAGATCATCTTCATTATCTCTATTAAGTGCATAAATGTAATTTCTTCTACTACGAATACCACCCGTAAGAGAGAAAAACAAGCAATACTAAACAATTTTTGTAAGAGTCTTCTTGGATATTTTTAGGGAAAGGCATTTTGAATCTTTCAGTTGTGTGAGACAGCCTGTTGCTGGGCAGGGAAGCCGGCCTGCTTGCATGAGAGTCATCTCTGCCTGGAAAAAAAGGTTTCTATCCTGGGCCTGGCTGCATCTGCCCTGGCAACGCTGACGCACAGAATGTTATTGGAATTGGAAAAGGTAACGCTGGGAAATGCAATGCCGGAGACTCTGAACCACGAGAACCACAGGCCTCTGAGGGTGCCTTTGAGTCCATCCCCCAGGGCTTTCGTGAGCCTGGAGCCACATCTGACAAGATGGGATAACTGTGGGATTGGGGACTGTCTTAGTCTGTTCAGACTACTATAACAAAATACCATGGACTGATGGCTTATAAACAACAGAAATTAATTAGCCAGGCATGGTGGCACGTACCTGTATTCCCAGCTGCTTGGGAGGCTGACGTGGGAAGACCACTCGAACCTAGGAGTTCGAGATCAGCCTGGGCAACATAGCAAGACCTCATTTCTACCAAAAAACAAAAAAATTAGTCGGGTGTGGTGGTGCACCTGCAGTCCCAGCTACTTGAGGAGGGGGGACAGAGGGGTGGGGGGATCGCAGTTGCTGAGGTGAAAGGATCACTTGAGCCCAGGAGGTCGAGGCTGCAGTGAGTCATGACCATGCTACTGCACTCCAGCCTGGGTGACAGAGCAAGACCCTGTCTCTTAGAAGAAAAAAACCCAAACAGAAATGTTTATTTCTCACAGTTCTGGAGGCTAGAAGTCCAAGATCAGGGTGCCAGTAGGGTTTTCTGATGAGGGCCCACTTCCTGGCTTATAGACGGCACCTTCTCACTGCGTCCTTATAGGATGGAAGGGGCCAGGGGTCTCTCTCAGGCCTCTTTTATAAGGGCATGAATTTCATTCATGCAGACTCCACTCCCATGACTGAATCACCTTCCAAAGTCTCCACCTCCTAACACCACCACCTTGGGGGTAAAGATTTCGAGCTATGAATTTTGGAAGCAGAGGGGACACATCATTTGGACCACAGCAGTGACAGAGATACTTTTTCAATATGAATAAAAACAAAAGTAATGACTTCTCTAAAAATATAATTGGTCTTATGGATTTAAAACTGGATGGAATTCTGCTTACCATTAGGAATTTAATATTAAAAATTGCCAAGCCACTAGCAGTCATAGCAGAAAACTACCATATGGAAAAGTTATCAACATGTCCTTTTTGGAAACCGAAAATCACTGCAATGTTTCTAAGTATCAAATAAAACCCATTAAACATGTTTCTGGGCATCTTCCCTCCCATTGGGATGAGAACAGCATTCCCATTTATGACAGAGTGAACTATTCGTGTTCTCAGAAGGAGCGACTGGCTAATTGCAGACAAAGGATGTAAATTCAGCCCAAGAGCCCAGCTATGACTCCCACACCCACACAGGGGCTTGTTCCCATTGGTTCCGGCACTCAGATGGAAACACCACTTCTTTATTACAGAAGCCCTACTGGGTAGCTCAGGCCCTGCGCATGAAGGGGCTGGAGAACTATTATTTCCCAGCGGTCCTTGTAACCTTCTCCTGGATCCAACTGTTAGGAAGTGGGAAGTGCAGGCAGTTGTGGGGGTGTATGTCAGGATTTAAATCAAAATTCATTTTAACAAATTGCCTGCTGTTATCTTCTCTCTATGGCTATCGCACATTCTCAATTGCTTTGATCTATCTTTTTAACTATCATGGGTGAAAAGTCAAGGTGTGATCCTTAATAATTGCTGAATGGCACAGCGACCAGAAGAGAGATGCTCATTGGAGTGGGCATGCAGTGAAGGTGCACATCCCAAATCCTCCATCTATGGACAGCAGAGGGAAGGGTGGGGTTCCAGGACTTTCAGGGTGATTCAGGCCAGGAAAGCCAGGGGTTACTGAGTGAACAGTCTTCTCTCTCATCCTCTTGGTTCCTGCATTATTCTTCATGTCACTTCTAGTGAAATGGAAGTGTGTAGAATTCTCCTGTTCTTTCTCCAGAGGGCTACCAGTGCAGCTGGGAGAGAGTGGCTACTTGGAAAGTCTGGGGAACTGTATTAGTCTGTTTTCACACTGCTATAAAGAAATACCCAAGACTGGGTATTTATAAAGGAAAGAGGTTTCATTGACCCACAGTTCCACATGGATGGGGAGGCCTCAGGAAACTTACAATCATGGCAGAAAGGGAAGCAAATACGTACTTCTTCACAAGGCAGCAGGAGAGAGAAGTGCCGAGTCAAGGGACAAGAGCCCCTTATATAACCATGGGGGGTTATACCAAGCATGGGGGAACTACCCCCATGATCCAATCACCTCCCACCAGGTCCCTCCCCCAACACATGGGAATTACAATTCAGATTACAATTGAAGACGAGATTTGGGTGGGAACACAGAGCCAGATGGTATCAGGAACAGAGGCAGGAAAGGCCACACTGGGGTTCCAAGTGGCAGAGTTCTTCAGCAGGTAGCTCGGGACAGATTGCAGGTGATTGCTGTCAGATGGCCAAGTCCTGCCACAAGAGCCAGTTCCAGGCACCATCTCAGGGGATGCTGTGCTTGGAGCCCAGGGCAGAGCCTGGGCAACACTCATCTGAGAAGGCAACTTCCTCAGGCCGCATGGCCCACACAAACCTCTGGTGTTTGGGACGGCAATTCCTTAATGGCAGTGCATGAGGATTCTTCAAACTGGGGACAGGCTGCTCTTGGCCCCTTTATTTCTTTCTGCTGATAATTCAGCATCCATTTTATGAAAAAAATAAAAGGAGGGTGGGAAGGGGAAGGGAAAGGAGAGAGAAAAGAAGAAGAGACCGGCACTAGATTGCCAATGATTGCTCTGAATGAAAGAGCAATTCTATTACTTGGAGTTAGTGGAGTGCCAAAATTGTGCCCAAATAAAAAAAATACAAACATACATTGCCCTCATGGGGATACTAAAGACACGTGTGCAAGACAAAATCATTGTCTTCTGGAGCTATCCCCTTCTCAGAGCTCTTCCTGAAACCTCACTCAGGAGGAACAACTGAACCTAGTTTGTGCTTCCTCTCACCCCACTGTCCCCCTGTCTTCAGGACAGACTGAGTCAGGTGTGCACACTTCTGGGGACTCCTCTGTCCCATCACTTCTGAGAAGATGCAGGAATTTCCATCTCTCTGCCCTCAGCAATCTAAGGAGGTAGCCATGAAGAAATCAAGAAAACTACAAGAAGGTGTGCATTATTAATTTCTAAAATATATGTATAATACCCACTAGGATGGCTACTATTTAAGAAAAACAGAAAAATACCAAATGTTGGAGAGGATGTAGAACAACAGGACCTTTCATACACTGTTGTGGGAATATGAAATGGTGCAGCCACTGTGAAAAACAGTATGGCAGGTCCTCAAAAATTTAAAAATAGAATTATGTGATCAAGCCATTCCTCTTCTGGGTATATACTCAAAAGACTTGAAAGCAAGGACTTGAACCGATCTCTCTGTACACTCATGTACATAGCAGCACTACTCACAGCAGCCAAGAGAGGAAAGCAACGCAAGCATCTATCAGTGGATGAGTGGATAAACAGAGTGTGGTCTATACACTCGATGAGATAGTATTCAGCCTTATAAAGGAAGGGAATTCTGACACATGCTACAACATAGATGAACCTTGACAACATCCTAGTGAAGTCAGTCAATCACGAAAGAACAAACACTGTATGATTCCACTTACATGAGGCCGCTAGAGTAGTCAGATTCATAGAGACAGAAAGTAGAATGGGGGTTGCCAGGAGCTGGGGGGAAATGGGGAGTTAGTGTTAATGAGGACAGAATTCAAGTTTTGCAAGATGAAAAGACTTCTGGAGATGGATGGGGTGATGGTTGCACAATGTGATATACTTAATCCACTGAATTGTACACAAAAAATGATTTAAATGGTAAATTTTTATTATGTCTATTTTATCATATTATGATATCATATCATATTACCCCTTTATTATGATAAAGGGTTGTGTGTGTTTGGTAGGGCGGTGTGTACATACACGCGCAACTGCCCGAAGCTCTCTGTATCTGGATTCAGGTGATGAGGAATCCTTCAGATGGGTCTCTTTCCCAGCGGAGGAAGGACCGAAATAATTTTTTCCCTTTCCCAGTAGAGGAAGGACTGAAATAATGCAGGAAGCAGAGGCCTGCTGACCAGAGCCAAAGGGGCTGCCCCAGCACCGAGAGTGAAGGAAGAGCTTGCCTGCATGATGGGATAGGGAGTGCTGCCAGAGGCCCATCTTTAAAAAGAGAGTTGTATGTGTCAGTGTCCTCTTTGCAGGGTGCCTCACTCATATCAGCTCATTTAGCCCTCACCACCCCCACCCCGAACTTGAAAACTCTTTCCTATCCTCCCTTTTACAGACTCAGAGAAGTCAAGTAAACTGCCTGGGTGATCCAGGCCCTCAGTGGTGATATGGTGACAATGAAATCCAAGACCAGGTGGGCCTATTTCTAAAGCTCTTGATCCTGCAACAGGTTATGCTGTCTCCTCCTGCAAAATATATCATCCCTTCCAGAGTCCTCGTGCAAAGGTACCAACCTCCCACCCTTTGCATCATCACCCTAAGGGCTTCCTGAGTTCTAGGGTATTTCGAATGGATCAGGAGTCTATGTGACTAATCCCCTGAGTTGTGCAGTGCACAACCTGCACAGCTGAATGCTAGAGCCCTGGTTAACCCATTATGTTACTTAACGGAGGTCATACACAACTTCACCAACATGTGAACAGGATTCCTTCACCATGGTTAACTGTCCACAATGCATTCTCCTCTGGTAGGAAACAAAGACTGCCTTAAAGGCCCAGAACACAGGACAGGCAAGCCTGGATGACAAGGGCCAGGAGGAGGCATAAGGTGACATTAAAAAAAAAAAAAGCAGTGCCACCATGGACATCTGCACAGACTTGCTGCACAGCAACGGGACACTCCGAGGCATCTGCAGCTGCTTTTAGATCTGACATGGAAGCCCTGAGTGGCCTCATCCCCCTTTGCCACATCCCCATCCAACTTGCTGTCTTTTCACTCAGTGATTAAGGCAGGATTTAAGTGCTGCTTCTGGGACTTCTCAATTCATTCCTTTGAACTCATCAGGAATTCTAACCATTTGCAATCTGCCTCTGCTAGAATCTTGGCATGAGTGTATCTGAACCTGGACATCCCGGATGGCCCCAGGTGATTCTGGTGCTGACCGGTGTGGAACTGAACATGAAGGAGGCAGAGCTGGACCACAGTTCCTTGGAGACCGATGAGCGAAATGGGCCTCCCTGGAGAACAATGAGGGGATAGATGCTGTGAGGAGGAGAGAAGGTGGTCAGGTGGCTGGATGCGTTGAGACCCTGCACTCCCAGAGGCTCAGGAGGGAGAGAGGAATGTGGTCAGTGGGGAGCCAGGGGGTGGGAAGCTTCTCCAAGGGAATCAGGGACAGGACCTCAACAGAAGGCTGTGTGCATAATCACCATGCACAACTCTCCATCCATTCCAGGCCTACTGCGTACGTGGGGGATGGCATCTGGAACATCACGGAATCTCTATGAGCCGCAGTTTCCTCATCAGCTAAAGAGGGAAGCACTGGCCTGAGCAGGTGGTTGTGAGAATTAAGTGTCAACATGTACAGCACCCGGCACACAGCAAGAACTCAAAGCTTCCTAAAACTGCCTCCACGTCTCCATCATGCAACCAAATATCCCTGTGTGCAGGACTTAAGGCCATGAGGCTGTGCCACAGAGGGGAGGAAGGGCAGCCAGGAACACTCTCTGACCCTGAGAATGCCAGGAGAGGTCACTGGAACAGAACCAACTCTGAAGCCCTCGGCTGGGATCTAGGATATAAAATGCAAGCTCTCGTCCACTTGCAAGTCCCTGATAGGGCACTGCAATTTTATTCTCTCTTATTTCAACTGGACATTGACTTTGTATGTGAAATGTCCTTTCTGCTCACCAGTTCAGGAAAGTTAGAACTGTCACTACTTTTTTTTTTTTTTTACCAAAAAAACAGATTTCACCACTACGCAATACACGCTTGCAAGGAATCTGTACTTGTACTCCATAAATCTATAAAAATTTTTAAAATGAATAAATAAAATAAAAATTAAAAATGGAAGCTGTTAAAATATTTTGCTCACAGACACACTAGAGCTTACAACTCAAAGCGCATGAGGTTTAATTTAAGAGAGACATTTAAGTATGAAGTGTAGCAGGGAAAAGCTGTGAATTCTGCATATGTTGGACGCCATTCTCCCACTGCCTAAGTTAGGACTTAGGAAGTTTACTTTGCCAAGTAGGCAATGGGGTATTTAAGGCTGGAGCTACTCATCTGGGAGCCGATGGCCCATGGATTGGACAGAACTTCCAGCCATGAGGCTGGATGAACTGACCAGATTCGTAAGTATGGTAGGTAGAGAGGGCATCTGAAGCCCACACCCTGGAAGCAAGAGTTCTTTTTCTATATGAAAAACAATCCTAACTGATAGAACCATTTTTATGCACTTGACCATAAACATGGACATAAAAATACATACAAGAATATGTACATATGTATATATGCGTACATATGTGTGCCATGAGGAAGAAAGGCTACTTCTGACAGGACTCAGAGACAACTTCTTGGAAGTGGTAGCACATGATCAAGACCTCAAGGGACAGAAGGAGTTTCAGCAGACCGAGAAGGGAAGAAAGGCAAATGCAAGGATGTGGTGCTGGGAGAGCAAAAGCCCATACTGTCCAGGGACCTCACTGTAGGGAGGAGTGGAAGACAGACCAGAAAGCTGGATTATGGCTAAATTAAGATGGACCCCAAGGGCCGGGCGTGGTGGCTTATGCCTGTAATCCCAGCACTTTGGGAGGCTGAGGCAGGCAGATCACTTGAGGTCAGTAGTTCGAGAGCAGCCTGGCCAACATGGTGAAACCCCATCTCTACTCAAAATACAAAGAAATATTAGCCAGGCATAGTGGTGCATGCCTGTAGTCCCAGCTACTAGGGAGGCTGAGGCAGGAGAATCACCTGAACCTGGGAGGTGGAGGTTGCAGTGAGCCGAGATCGCACCACTGCACTACTCTAGCCTGGACGACAGAGTGAGACTCCATCTCCAAAAAAAAAAAGATGGACCCCAAGAATGCCAAGGAGTGTGGACTTGATTTGACAGCCGCTGGAGAAGCCAGGGGTTCCAGGGTCAGAGCTGTACCACAGCACAGACATCCACAGGGCCCTGGGCCCCTGATCGCCATGTGGTGGGGAGTTTCAGGGAGTCCTACAGGATCAGCAGGAAGGCGGGAGATCATTGGGGGCTCAGGATGGTGGCTGTTTAGCAACCAGCACAAAATATTTTAGCATGTTAACCACCAGTATGGCGGTGCCAGTGTACACTGGCTCAGTTATCAGGCCTGTTAATGGGGCTCTCCGAACCCACTCCCTTGGGTATCTTTCCATTTTCCCAAGGCAACCTGCTTCTTGAACAGGCTTCTCTCCAGGCCCTTGGGTTTTATCTTCTTTTGTGCAACTCTCTTGCAAAACCTCCAGCACGGAGGTCACAGCAGGAATTTTGAAGCCCTCCCTTCAGCTGCAAATTTACATCCTTTTTCTCTACAATTCATGTTCTGTAGCTACTATGGCCAGTAAGAAGGTTAGTGAATATTCCTTATTAGGGCTAAACTGCAGAAAACAGAGACAGTGGGAATGGGAAGGAAGAGCTGGGTGAAAGCAAGAAGTGGAAGCAAGAATCTCCTGGGATTCAGTGACTGAACAATGGGAGAAGACGAGGGAGACAGAGTTTAAAGGCAGAGTTCAGCTTCAAGCTCAGATAACTGGGAGAAAAGTAACCTCATGAATAGGACTAGCGAGGCTGGGAGAAAGAGCTGGGGTAGGGAGAAGAGGGAAAAAGGAATCGATGTAGTGTTAGACAAGCTAAGTTGGAGATGTCCAAATGGAAATATCAGCAGGCAGTTGGGAGTGTGGGAGGAGAGCTGAGAGAAGCTGTCAGGATCAGAGGTACAGATGAGAGAGACTTTGGAAAAGAACCACAGGGCTGGGCTCTCCCCAGAGAGAAAGAGAAGAGCAAGAGACTAAAGATAGAACCTTGGAGACGTGCTCACTTATGGGGCAGCAGGAAGAAGCAAAAGAAGAAGAAGGGGAGCGGCATGAGGAGGAGGAGAAGGATAGGTCAGGCCTGGGCGTGAAGGAAGCATGACGTTGGAAGGATGAACAAGGCTTCAAGAAGGAAGAGTTGGTTATATTTTCCATTTTTCGGTTAATAACTTTATTCAGACATAACTCACATACCATACAATTAACCTGTGTAAAGTGTACAACCCAATGGTTTTCAGCGTGTTCACAGTCATGCAAACTTCACCGCAATCAATTTTGGGACATTTTCATTACCCCCTAAAGCCCCATACCCTTTATCCATTACATTCCAAGTCCCCATGTCCCCAGAAATAGGCAACGAAAATCTACTCTCTGTTTTATAGATTTGCCTACTCTAGACTTTCATATAAAAGGAATCCTCAATTATTGAATTTGTCTTCTTTTGTGACTGCCTTCTTTCACTTAATGTTTTCAAGACCCATTCGTGTGGTGGCACGTTATCTGTACTTCATTCCTTTTTATGGCCAAATAATATTCTAATGTATAGATATACCACATTTTGCTTATCTGTTCATCAACTGACAGACATTTGGGCTGTTTCCAGTTTTTGGCTATTACAAATAATGCTGTTATGAACACTTGTCCAAGTTTTTGTGTGGACATTTGTTTTCATTTCTTTTGGGTACATATCTAGGACTGGAATGGCCTAATCACATGGTAACTATGTTTAACTTTTTGAACAGCTGTCCTCTGGTTTTCCAAGGGACTGCACCGTTTTACACTCCTACCAGCAGTGTATAAGGGTTTCAATTTCTCCACATCCTCGTCAACACTAGTCATTTTCAATTTTTTAAAATTTATTAACCTAATGAATGTGAAGTGGTATCTCATGTTGATTTTAATTCACATTTCCTTCATGACTCATAATGTTGAGCATCTTTCCATGTGCTTTTTGGCCAAGTGTATACTTTCTATACACTATAGATAAGTCTATTCAGATCTTTTGCCTATTTTAAAATTAGATTATTTGTCTTTCATTACTGAGTTATAAGAGTTTTATAATTGCAGATACAAGTCCCTTATCGGATACATGCTTTGCAAATATTTTCTCCCACTTTATGGGTTGTCTTTTCACTTTCTAGATAGTATCATCACAAGTTGTCACTTCTGATGAAGTCTAATGTATCTTTTTCTTTGGTTGCTTGTGCTTTTGGTGTTATACAAGAGTCCTTTGCCAATTTTAGAATCCTTTGCCAAATTCAAGGTCATGATGCTTTACCACCTACATTTTCTTCCTGGCGATTTTATCATTTTAACTCTTATATTTATGCAGTTGATCCATTTGAGTTAATTTTTGAACATGATGCAAGGTAGAGATCCAACTTCATTTGTGTCTTGATATCCAGTCCCAGGACTATTTGTTTGTTAGAAAGACTACTCTTGGCTGGGCATGGAGGCTCACGCCTGTAATCCCAGTACTCTGGGAGGCCGAGGCAGGCAGATCACCTGAGGTCAGGAGTTCAAAACCAGCCTGACCAACAAGGTGAAACCCCATCTCTACTAAAACTACAAAAATTAGCCGGGCATAGTGGCGTGTGCCTGTAATTCCAGCTATTAGGGAGGCTGAGGCAGGAGAATTGCTTGAACCTAGGAAGTGGATGTTGCAGCGAGCTGAGATCACACCATTGCACTCCAGCCTGGACAATATGGCATGACTCTGTCTCAAAAAAAAAAAAAAAAAGAAAAGAAAAGAAAAGAAGACAAGACTACTCCTTCCCCATTGAATTGTCTTGGTACTTTTGTCAAAATCAATTGACCATAAATGTAAGGGTGTATTTCTGTGCTCTCATTCTATTACCTTAATGTTTTACACTTGTCATCCATGTCCTATGCCAATTTTTTATTTTTATGTTACAGTACAGACATCTACTTCTTGACTTGGTGACCCAAGTTAGTGTCATTTCCCTTAGACTACCAGCTCCAGTGAGTTCAAACAATGCCTACAGAACTTGCTTTGCACTGTGGCAGGCACAGCCCCTGCAGTTCATAAATCTGCTGTACATTACAGGGGGAGTTACATTACAGGGAGTTACAGGATGCCTGTAACTCAGTGTCCCACCCTGCCGGCTTCCGCTTATCTGACAGCCACATCAAGCCAACTGGTTCATCACACACCCTGAAGTCAGAAGGTTGTGGCTCAACACTATGTTTTAGACTCGACCAAACTGTACTCTGATGAGGAGCTAATGAGAAAGAGATCAACGATAGGATGATCATATGTTAAAGTACTCATGTCCATGGAGCAGGGAGGGAGGGAGAGACAGTGAGAGCAAGAGAGAGAAGAAATGACCAGGAGACACTGAGAGAAAGGGAAGGGACCAAGGAATTGAGAAACGGGGAGAAGAATTGAGGAAGGCTTATTTAAAATTCTTATCAATCACTTGACTAAGTATCCCCTCAAGATAGCATAACTGTAGGCTGCTCAAAGCACAGGTGTGGGTGGCAGAGAGGCCCACGTGTCCAACCTGGCTCTGCTCCCTGCCAGCCATGTTGCCTTATGCAAGTAACTCCACATCTCTAGGCCTCCATTCCATCATCTGTCAAATCGGATAATAAGAAAATTGCCCTCAGGGGGTAGGCGTGAAGATTAAATAAGTTAATGCTCTTAGCCCAGGGCCTGGCACAGGAAGATCAATACAATTAGTGCAAACCACAGGAGAGTTGAATAACCCCCTACTAGCCTCATCACCAACTGTATAAACCAGTGGACCTCGAATGAACTTCATGTGCATTGGAATCTCCAGAAAGGTTGTTTGACAGAGATTGCTGGGCTGGCACCCCAGGGTTTCAGGTTCCGCAGGTCTGGGGTAGTGCTTCTAAATTTGCATTTCTAACAAGTTCACAGGTGACACTGATGCTGTTCTTCCAAAGAACATACTTTGAAGACCACTACTCTGAATTATGAAGGGTCAGGAAAACAAAATGCCACTTATTGGCATTTTAAATTCTCAAGTGAAAAGTCTTTAAATAAAAGCCCTAATAACTGATCCCGGATATAGGCACCCTGAACCATCTGGAACTCACTAATAGAAAGAAAAGGTGACTTTAATTACCAATTTCTGGAATGTAAAAATACAATCAAGCCTAGTTGCCACGATAAAAGTGTCCTTTAAAGCCTTTATTTGACTGGAAAGGAAGAAATCTGAAGCAACATGTAATAGCACATGTGCATTAACAACATCAAATGAGGTTGTCTTTACCATGGAATCGTGTTCACTGTCCACACAAGTGCTCAACTGGGGCCATTGAGAAAAGCTTTTTTCTCACCAAAATCTTGCAACAAAACATACTAATAAAACAATGCTTACCCATACAGGAAATGCGTTGTCTGCTGTCTACTTGGGAGGGGCTATAAATAGCTCCTTGGAGAACATTGTTCTATAATTAGCTTTCACTTCAAGTGAACTATGTGTAATGAATTTCATATCACTAGATGTTCTTCCTGGGCAAAGTATATGGCAGATTATGCATCTGTTAATGTTGAAACTGAACAAACGGCATTGCACGGAAGTCAGAGAATTTTTAAATGAGACAGAGATGGAAACCACACTATGAAATTGACTGGAAGTGCCCATTTGGGGTGTATGTGCTCTTACAAACAGACGTGTGCAAACACATTAAATTACCTCTTCATAGTTGAGTTAAACAGGCAGGTGTTGAGAGCAACTAAAGACAATGGCTGCTTGAGCCTCCATACAGCTGTTTCTTGGCCCTATTCTTAAAGGGTGTTCCTTGCACTTTTTAGAAAAGTGCAAATCTCAAATTTGTTTGAGTCTCCACGAAGGAGGGCCAGGGCAAACACCTGAAAGAGCTGAAATGGATTTTTCTACATTCAATGCACTTTAGTTCCAATTCCACAGTGACTTCTGAAATCCTCTCAGCTAATTGCAGGAGCTAAACAACACCTCCCATTCTTCTGGTACATTTACAGTTCCCCCACATTTGCTGCCCTCGCACCTTCCTCCCCCCACAACTCCCAGCACCCTGCTACACAAAAGACTTTTCTTCATTCTATTTTCCACATGCTCTGAAATCAGTGTCCCTTCTGCATTCCATAGGTTCCCTCTTGATGGCTGTTTGGCTAGGATGGGGTCATTTAAATGCCTCCCTGGAGCACTCAGAATTTGCGCTGACCATTGAAAAATGTTCCTGTTCCAGTGAGAAAGGCTCCATCCCCGGCCACTACCTTAACCAGCAGGATGACCGGAGGTAACAGCTGAGCAAAGCCCCTGCCTTGGGCTGACCTGCACTGGTCCCATATTCTTGGGCCAAGATGAGCATGCCTGACCTGCACCCAAACTTTCCATTTAATGAGAGGAACTTGCATCCTTTCCCAACCTGAAGCCCAGAGCTGGTTTGAAGATTGCATATGTTTACAAAAGAACACTCCCATCCAGTCTGTTGCCAAAGTCCAAACAGTGCCCTTGGTGAGATGCCAGTAGGCCAATAACCCATGTATCGACCCACTGACTTCATTTCCTTATATGAATGATCAGGACCTAGTATTGCTCTTTTGCCAATCCAATCCTTTATCCTGGAATTCTATTTCAAGCACTTGGAAGACAGCTGCTTTAAGAATGGAGTAAAGATATTAATAACTGATGCACTGATGGGAGGATGAGAGAAAACAGAGACAAGAAGTGTGTAACACTGCTTTGGTATCAGTTCATTACCCAGCAAGATCTCATGGGGAGTGAATGATGCCGTGAATATCTTTGTGTTGGCATTGGATGTGGCGATGTGCTGGGCTGGGTGGGAGAAAGCCCGGGCTTGGCAGTCATCAGGGTCAGTTTCAAGTCCTGCTCTGTCTTGCATTTGCCAAGGGACTGAGGGCACCTTGAGCCTCTAAGTCAGATTCCTTATCTGCCAACTGGAAATAATTAAACACTTTTTTTGTACAGGACCTTATGAAGATGAAATGAGGTAATGTAAATACCTTGGCATATAAGTATTAGATAAATGTCACCTTTTATTCCTGAAAACATTATTAAGTAAAATATCATTTAAAAATTCTCTTATCCAGATGATGGAATAGTATTCAATGCTTTTAAAAAAAAGTGCTATCAAGCCACAAAAGACATGAAGGAACCTTAAATGCATACTACTAACTGAAAGGAGCCAATTTGAAAAGGTACGCACCATATGATTCCAACTCTATGACATTCCAGAGAAGGTAAAACTATGGAGACAATAAAAAGATCAGTGGCTGCCAGTAGTTGGGGGGAGGAAGGGATGAATAGGCACAGAATAGAGGATTTTTAGGGCAGTGGAGCTATTCTGTATTATACTATTATACCTTAATGGTGGATTTGTGTCATTACACATTTGACCAAACACACCAAGAGTGAACCCTCATGTCAACTATGGACTCTAGGTGATTATGATGTGTCAATGTATACAACAAACCTAGCACTGAGGGAGGGGATGCTGATAGTGGGGGAGGCTGTACATGGGAGGGGGGGTGTATGGGACCTTTCTGTATTTCCTCTCAGTTATTTAGAGTCAAAAGCTGCTCAAAACAATAATGTCTATTTATGAAAATCCTCTTAGAAGTAGATAGGATCTAAAATCACACTTTATTGTTAGAGAAAATGTACATGAAAGAACTTCCTCAGCGGGGCTTAAGCATAAGGAAATATTATTCTCAAGTGCCGGTATTGGCAATAATCTCACCTCTTTTTCAGATTTGTGTATATGTTTGTGCTAAGGCTTTAGGGCTTTGTCACCTCCAGACTCCTCCAGCCCTGTTTTCCTCCCTGGCTCCTCCACACGGTCTTTGTAAGGAAATCTTACTTCATTCTTTAGTTTGCCAACCACATGATCTAATAGGCACAAAAACCAAGTTAAGTCTTAACCCTACCAGGCAGGCTGTACAAGGCCTTGATTGTCTCCTGGTAGCATCCTCTGGCCCAGGCGGGAGGGCGAGAGCCTGCTGCCTCCTGCGCTCTTCTATTCTATGAAGCTTATGCAGAAACAGCACATCAAGGTGCTAACCTTGATATTGTTTCTTTTTTTAATTAATTAATTAATTTTTTTTTTTTTTTGAGAGACGGAGTTTCACCATGTTGCCCAGGCTGGTCTCGAACTTCTGAGCTCAAGCAATTTGCCCACCTCAGCCTCCCAAAGTGCTGGGGATTAGACATGAGCCACTGTCACGGCCTAATCTTGATATTTGAAACACATGATAGGCGTTCCTCAGTCTTGCTTTCAAAGGTACTCTTCATAAGCCCTGGCCTCTGAGTCAGTCTCCAATTATTGGGTTCTAAAGCCTCTTCTTCACGTTTATACTGACCCAACTTCCCTTTGCCTTGGTTGCTACAATTTTCTTCTCTAGCATAATGTTATTCTATCCAATGATGCGTGGTATTGTGTTTTTTCTTTTGAGTTTTGAAGTGAAAACTGATAATCAGAGGTAAGAATCCACAAATGGGCTTCTGGACATTCACATGAAGAAAGAGGGCCTTCCCACCTTGTGATTAACTAGAAAAACTGTGCTAACATCTGGCATGGAACCCTGTTCTTATTGTCTGTTCCAAAGCTTATGCTGAAGTCATTGAATGTATACATCCAACAAGAGTCCCAAGCCCTGGGCTAGTGCTGTAATTCGTATAGCAGCCCACACATTCTTGCCCTTGTGTAATACCACGAATGAACACCCATAGTCACCCAATACATATTTTGAAAATTTAATGTGTGCATATTTAAAATGAGGATATGCCACAGATTCAACTTCTATGATGGAAAAGAATATCCAATTTGACTGTGAGAACTTTGAATTATTTCACCGATACCTCTAAAGACTGATAAAATTGACTGCAAAAATTTTTTTATCCTCCCTTCCATACATTTGGATTCTTTGAAAAATATCTGGAGTTCCTGAATACATCAAGGCAACATTCAATCAGTAAAGCCATGTTCTTTTAAAGGCCCAATGACTGGAACTCAGTGAGAATGTCCCAAAACTGGCAATGCAGTTTTGAAATGGCTCTTTTGCTCCATGCTGCACATTTTGAACAATGCATAGATGATCTATTGTAGCTTGGCTTTGTTATTTGGTTAACGAAAAATCCAAGCACCAATGTCACCTCTTCCAAGAAGCTCATCCTGAGTCCTTCCTCGGCACCCATGGGACATCTGCTTTTGGCTTGGAGGGCTTTTCTGACCCTAGCCCTATTTGGCTGGTGTTTATGCCTGCCTCAACATAGTAAACCCTTTGTGTATAGAAACTGCCTTAATGTTCCCTTGATCCCTCACAGGCCAAGCCCAGCCTGACTCATGGCAAGCCTTCAACAGATGTCAGTAAAAGGAACTCAACCGTCAAATGCATAGAATGAACATGGGGTCAACTCTCCTCCGTAGCTCTCTTCCGCATGTGGGGGAAAGGGCCTAGTCTAACTGGCTTCTGTGATGCAGAATCCACTCTGCCTTATGGTCAGATAGGATATGTGGCCTATCTTAGAGGTATCCTTCCCATCTGGGTGAGATTAACATTAGGACACGGGATGGAGTTTGGAATAAATACGACAACCACATACACGTCATCTCCAGGACTAAAAAGGCAGAAACCACATTTAGTAGGGGCATCTACTGGACAACAGAGAAAAAGAGACCACAGCAAAAACACTTTTTGTACTGCAGAATTATTTGATGAGTTACTACTACAGGACATTCCAGGTTTCCTAAAAGAAAATTTAATGATTGTTCAACAAGTTCCCAAAAGGGAGTAGGAAAAGGGAGTTGGAATCTCTTCCAAAGCAAAAAAGGAAGGGAGGTGACTTTAAATAATGCTTTAAAACCGGTTAGAAGTACACAATTTCATCCTTTAGTAATATTAGTCATGGCCACGCTCTAAAGGCGGGGTGAAACCTACTTGCCTGGAGGAAAAGGACGGGGTAGAAAAACAAAGCAAAATAAAATCCATCAAACAAAAGTTTCTTCTTTTGGAAAGGGAGGGACTTCAAAATCATGACAGGCCAAATGCCTCCTCCTCTTTCTTGAAAAGCCCTCCAAGTCAGAAGCAAGCCTGAGAATAACAGCTGCTCTTAGGATGCTCAAAGCTCCTTGCAGCTGATTATTTTTCAGGAGGAGAATTAGACACAAATAATACAAGTGGGAAATAAAGAGAATGACCTACTTTACAGGGGGGGTAAAAAGGAGCTCTGTGTGAGCGTTTTGATCTAATTGACGGTGTGGGGTTGCATGCCCAAATAAGGCGCTGCTGGTCGGATCTGCGAGGGAGAGGGCACGTCTCAAACTCGAGGGAGAGGACGAGACAGCGAGAGGAACAGCGTCCGGGGCGACCCCCAGTCCACCGCGGGGGCCTGGCGCGCTTGGGGCAAAGGCCCTAGGAGACCCCTTCTGGCCACAAAATCGAGTATGACAGAAAAGGGCCAGCGGGGGCGCTTTCCTTCCAGGGCCACTTGCCGGAATGTAAGAGGGACGGAGAGACGTCCGGAAAAGGCTGCCACGCTCGGAGCGCTGCGCCAGGCCAGGCACCTAGGCCAGGGGAGCGGAGACCTCGTGGGAGCGGGCAGGGGGACCTTTCCCCTCTCCCGGGCTTCCACCCAGGCGCCTCCCCGCTGTGAACGCCGCCGCCCAGGTGAAGGGGAAACCGGCCACGTTTCCGGACCTCGGCGGGGCACACGGTCTCCGGTTTTCACCGGCTCTGTCTTGGAGCCCCGAAGGGCATCAGACAGCAGCCCCGGCACCCGGGGATTATTCCTGTACCTCTGCCTCCCTCCGCTTGGCGTTTGCGGGAACCTTGGTAAAATCCTCCCTGTTTCTCGCGCGCGCCTCTCTCTCCAGCTTCTTTTTCTTGGATTCTCGCCTGTCTCCTCCCACAGAGGAAAAAAAAAAAAAGGTCACGTATGTTTGGAAAAATATGTAGGTCAGTGGAACATTTCCTGCACTGGTGCAAAAGGAGAGGAGGGCAGCGGAGGAGGGGAGGGAGAGGCAGAGTGGAGCTCCAAGTGCCCGCTCCTGGCCGCAGCCCCACACCCCACGTGCCCCTGCCGGGGAGGGGGGCAATTAGCCGGTTCCTTTCCATCCTTGACCCATTTTCCGGACCAGCTACGTTCGCCTTAGGACAGGCACTGGTTATTCCTCCCCAGCAGTCGCTGCTGTCCTCCGCCGACCACCGCTCGCCCGCATCTTCCCCGACCCCCGCCTCCCACCTGCCCCCGGGCCGCACCCCCGCCGCTCATTGAGAAATCGCAGTGGTCCCCGCAGAGACGCGCTTTGTGCCCTGGGTCGAGACCTGCGCGCAACCCTGCCCCTGGAGGACAGTGTGGAGGGGGTGACAGTCGCGTGCTCGTCCCCCTTCATCCCCTGCGCGGGACAGCAGGGTGGCGGCCCGCACTGCGAGGGTCTACACTAGGCGGGGGCGGCAGATTCCTTGTTCCCCCCGAGTGACAACTTTAATGGGACCTCGGCTGGCAGCCTCTAGTCCACTTGCCTCTCCTCTGGGCCGGCTCACCTGGAAGCACAACCCCCCCCTCCCCCAGCCCCGGCGCCCAACCCCGACCCTGCGCCCCAGGCCCGACCCCGCCGCGCGTCCCTGGCAGCCCAGCAGAGGCTGCGGCGGCCTGGGGACTCGCGGGTGTCTGCGCCGCCCAGGGAAGCCGGGGGTCTAGGGGGCCGGGGGTCCGTCTGCCTGCGGCGCGCGCGGGGTGCTTGTCCCAGGCTGGGTCGGGGCCAGGAGAGACCCCGCAGGCGGAGGCAGGCGAGGGGAGGAGGAGGAGGGTGGGGGTAGGAGGGGGAGGTGGAGAGGGAGGAGGGTGGAGGGAGGAGGCAGGGGAGGAGGCAGAGGCGGAGGCGGCTCTCCCCGCCGGCTCTGCGTGCGGAAGAGTTTGCCGCGCGAGCAGCCGGCCTCTCGCAGGAGCCGAGGGACCCGCGCGGCTGCGGCCCAGGAGCGGCGGCCGCGGAGCCCGGAGACCCGCAGCCGCGGCGGCGGCGGCGGCGGCGGCAGCAGCTAGAGCAGCGCCTCCCGCCGCCGCCCGGGAGGAGCTCGCCGCGCCCGCTCGCCGCCTCGTCTCCCAGCGGCGGCGGGAGGCGCGTCTCCCCGGCCCAGTCCGCGCCCGGCCCCGCGGGGCCGCTCCGGCCCGCTCCGAGGTAAGGGGCCGCGCCTAGGGGCGCGGGGGACCCAGGGTGGGTAGTACGTGCGCGCGGGGTCGCAGGACTCGGTCACCTGCTCGCCAGCGTGGAGGACGCGCGGGGGCGGAGGGGCGCTCAGGCGCGAGGCTGCGCGGCACCGGGGACCCCGGACGCGGGGGCGCGGAGAGGTGGGTTCCCCTCCACAGTCAGGCCGCTGGGGGCTTCGCGTCCTGCAGGAGGTAGCAATCGCTGGGCCGGTGGGCTCCGGGCGCGTCTCGACGCAGAAGACAGAGGACTGGGCATCCGAGCCTCGGAATTTGGGGGTCCTCGGGGTGTCCGACAGGGTGGAGAAGGATCGTGCCCCAGGGCAACAGCTTTGGGGATTGCCCGTGGTTGTCTTCGAGACCCATCGCGCTACCCTCCGAAACGTCGGGCGTCCTGGACCCCCGGAGAGTGCGGCGTGCGCGCCCTGGGCCCGCGGTCTCTCGGAGTCCCTGGGTCGGAATTGGTTCCGGGCCGGATTGGGTGCGGAATCGGTGCCCCCAACCCCCGTGTGCGCAGACAGCGTGCAGCCTGGCTCCTCACGTCGCTGCCGCCCCCCCACCCCAACTCCGGAGCTCCCCAGGTTGGATGTATGCGTATGGTTTTGTTGGGAGATGTGCCCCTTTCCCAGCCGAGGAGGGACGCACCTTTGACCTTTCTGAAGAGCTGGGCAGGTCGGTAACCAGGGAAGGGACAGGCACCACCCGGCTAAATTCAGAACCAGTCCCGCTCCTCTGCTTGCCACTCCTTAATTGCTCAAGGTAAGAAAGTTTGTTTCAGCCCTGTGATTCATAAATAATTAGTAACTAGTTTTGTTGATTAAGCAAGATGGAAACCTTGAATATACGCACGCACTTCCACAAAGTCTAAACACTCCCGAGCTTGTGTCCGGGAGGCTTTAGTACGGAAAGTTAGAAGCCCTGGAGTTCAACAGGTGTTCAGGAGGGTCCCGGAGAGGAGTTTCGTCTTTACGCGTTGCTTTGGCATCCACCCCAACTTCATTAAAGTGGTTAGCCTGTTTTCCTACAGGTAAAACATTGATCACTTATTAAATTAACTTAATCAGCAGAGACGAGCTAAACCGTCTTGATCATTTAGAACCCAAACCTTATTTTCCTTAATAGAAAGGTTTTTCCTGTTTGAACTTCCCAGGTAATTAGTTCTAAAGTAGTTCCCAGCAAGACATCTCTGCCAGCATCTCTCTCTCACTGTAGCTTGGTCCCCATCAGTGAATTGACCAACTAATTATGGCTTGCATTAAACACAGAGCTGCCCTCCTTGGGAGGCACTGTTCACATTCAAGCGCACACACTAGCTCCATCTTCCTGCCACTAAGATGTCCTTAAAGGAAAAAGTTAGCCAAAAATAACCCCCAAATAAATAGTGTAATGTTTAAAAGAGTTATCCTGACCTGCGCCACTATTTTATAAAAGCAAAAATTCAGTGTTTCATTACAGCGCTAAACCAGGACCAGTAGAAGTATTGGTATCTCTCAGCAGTCTACTTAAATATTTAGTTAAAAATAAAGTGTGCAAAGTAAAGACGTTCAGTAATTATCTTCCATCTCACAGAGAGATGTGGAGTATGGCTTAGAAGAATTGTAAATGCGCTGCTTTTAGCCGTTTTCTTCTTGGAAATCGATGCCTCTATTTATTTGCTGATCTGTCCCACTGTGCGTAAATGTAGAATCGGTTTTATTCTCACTGCTTCCCAGAGGGGCTCCTGTGGAGGTGAAAGAAGGAAATACGTTCTAGAGGAAATATGTTATTAATAAAACGTTACCCCCAAAGAGTTAACCACGCCAAAAATAACCAAGTGAGGCTTTACTAATTAGTGGTCTGATGAGAGAGTGTTCAGATGATGACTAAAGAATTGATCTTTATGTAGAAAACAACAATTGTTTTTAAGCTCATTTGGTTCTCTTAAAACAGTTTGGGCCCTTTAAAAAAATTTCTGGCTGTTTAATAATGCAAATGATGAAAATCGTTAAAGATAACACATATAACCTGATGTGTGCCATGTTTAAGTTGAATTCACCCTATTTTTTTGAACAATCTTTCTTAACTCTTGGTAATCTTTATAGCTCACTCAACACTGCAACTTATTAGATTAAAAACTGAAAGTTAATTTTTTCAGAATAAAATAATAAGGCATGCGTATACTTTTTAATTTAACCATCTTTATATGTTCATTTTTTCAGAGTCTTGCTTTTGAATCTTAAGAACCCAAAGGGCTAAGTCTTCTTTCTTAATTTTTAAAACAAGCATGTGTTTTGTTCTTTACATGAATCGTCGGTTCTCCCAGTGTGATCACGACACTGTCCCATGCTGATTCCATGCACGGTGCAACTCTTTCCCAAGAGAGGTCAGATTTCGAGGTGTTGAAAATAGCCCAGTGACTCAGTATTCTTGGCTGCTTTATGCCAACGGTTTAATTGGCTGCATCATAGCAAGCATCTAATTGAGTTTCACATTTAAATAGTGGATAGGGTACTTGGTGCATTATTTGCTTAC